>NC_000008.11:25314648-25617678 GCF_000001405.40 Homo sapiens | reverse complement strand
GTAATTGTCTATATGGAAGGACTTACCATTGCCATTTTGTTAATTGTTTTCCATATGTCTTACAGCTTTTTGTTCTTTTTCTCTCTTATTGCTTTCCTTTTATGTTTTGTTGATTTTTCTGTATTGGCATGCTTTGATTTCCTTCTCATTTCCTTTTGTGTATATTCTATAAATTTTTTTTATAGTTACCACTGTAATAACATATAACATCTTAGAGTTATAACACTCTATTTTAAACTAATAAATTAATTTCAATGTCATACAAAAACTCTAGTACTACATGCTCAATCTCCCACTTGTTATTGCTATCATAAATTACCTCTTCATAGGTTGTATACCGATTAACATAGATTTATAGTTTTTTAATGTTTTGTAATTTAAATTCTATACAATAATTAAAAGTGAAGGTGTGCAATAAAATTACAGTAATAAAGTTTACTATGTCTATGAATTTACCTTTATCAGAGAACTTTATATTTTTTAGTGGCTTTGTGCTACTGTCTACCATCCTTTCCCTTCACCTTGAGGAACTTCCCATTAGCATTTCTTGCCAAGCAGATCTAGTGATAATGAACTCCCTTTGTTTTTGTTCACCTGAATAAATCTTAATTTCTTTTTTAGTTTTAAAGAACAGTTTGCTGGACACGATATTCTCAGTTGACAGGTTTATTGGAGTGTATTTTTGCTTTTCCTTTTTTCTTTCAGCACCCTGAGTATAACATCCTACTTCCTCTAGCCGTCAAAGTTTCTGCTGAGAAATTCACTAGTAATCTTATCAAAGTTCTCTTTGATGTGATGGGTTGCTTTTCTTTTGCTGGTTTCAAGATTGTCTCTTTGTCTTTGATGTTTCACAGTTTGATTATATCTAGGTGTGGGTCTTTTGGGATTTATCCTTGTTGGAATCTTTGAGCTTCTTAAATTTGTATGTCCATTTTATCCTTCAATTTGGGAGACATTTGGCCATTATTTCTTCAGCTAAGAGCTCTGGCCTTTTCTTTCTCTTCTCCTTCTGGAAATTCTGTAATAAGTATATTGAGCTGCTTGATACTTCCCCATAAGTTCCTTGGGTTCTCTTCACTTTCTTCATTCTTTTTACTTTTTGTTCCTCTAACTTGAGGATTTCAAATAACCTGTCTTCAAGTTCAGTGATTTCTTCTTCTGCGTTATCAAGTCTGTTGTTGAACCTTTTTGGTGATATTCTGAGGTCACTTATTATGGTTTTTAGCACCAGAATTTCTGTTTGGTGTTCTTAAAATAGTTTCTCTTTGTTGATAGTCTCAATTTATACATGTGTCATTTACTGGATTTCATTTAGTCATCTATCTGTATTCTCTTTTAGCTCATTGAGCATATTTATGACAGTTATTTTAAATTCTTTGTCAGCAAGCCCATATGTTTTCATTTCTTTAGGGTTGGCTTCTGAAGTTTTGTTTTGGCCCTCTGATTGGACCATAAATCTTTGTTTCTTTGTGTGCCTTGTGATTTTTGTTGTGCTGATGATGCTGTTAAGACATGGACATTCAAAACAACAACCACTTTTCATAAACTTTATGGTCTGGCTTCACGCAAAAGACTTCACTGATCAGCGCAGCTAGAGTCTATTTTAGGATCTTTCAAACTCTGAGAATGTGTCTTCTCTGGGCATGTACATAAGCTTTTTAGTCCTGTGAAATTCCCATTGCAGCTTGTCCTTGCTTCTTTTCAGAAGCCTGAAATCTCTTGCTCCCTCTGGCACCTGCCTGTGGAACTGCAGCTCAAATGTGCCACTATTATTGAACCTGTTTTCAGCAGCTTGCAAACAAGGTCACAAACTCAATCAGCCCTCTGAGCCAATTGAGATGGATACCAATTCTTGAGGCAGCTCCCAGACTAGCCAGACTGCTGTACACATGGTCCTTTCCTTCGTTTTCATTCAAAGAGAGGATCCCTGGCATGGGAAGTTTCCTTCCAGTTGTGTTGCATTAGGTCAAATGGGGGCAGAGCACAGATGAGCATACAAAGTGCTATGAACTTCCTTAACCCTTTATCTGAAATCCCTTCCTGTTGTATGTAGCTCAGGGTGCTTAGACTTCTCAAGTAGTCTCCAGAGTTCTCACAAAAATATTTTGGCCCACATATTTTTACTAACTTCTTGTCTCTGTGAAGCTTCCTAGTCTGCATCTCTAAATGTGTGTTATTTTAATAGTAAGAATAAACTATTAGAGGTTCCAAGATGGCCGAATAGGGACAGCTCCAGTATGCAGCTCCCAGTGTGAGTGATGCAGAAGATGGGTGATTTCTGCATTTCCAACTGAGGTACCAGGTTCATCTCACTGGGGCTTGTCAGACAGTGGGTGCAGCCCATGGAGCAGGGTGGGGCATTGCCTCACCCAGGAAGCACAAGAGGTCAGGGAATTCCCTTTCCTAGCAAAGGGAAGCCGTGACAGACACCACCTGGAAAATCGGGGAACTCCCACCCTAATACTGCGCTTTTCCAATGGCCTTAGCAAATGGCACACTGGGAGATTATATCCCACACCTGGCTCAGAGGGGCCCATGCCCACGGAGCCTCACTCACTGCTAGCACAGCAGTCTGAGATCAAACTGCAAGGTGGCAGCGAGGCTCGGGGAGGGGTGTCCGCCATTGCTGAGGCTTGAGTAGGTAAACAAAGCAGCCCATAAGCTCGAACTGGGTGGAGCCCACTGCAGCTCAAGGAGGTCTGCCTGCATCTGTAGACTCCACCTCTGGGGGCAGGGCACAGCTAAACAAAAGGCAGCAGAAACTTCTGCAGACTTAAACGTCCCTGTCTGGCAGGTTTGAAGAGAGCAGTGGTTCTCCCAGCACGGAGTTTGAGATCTGTGAGCAGACAGACTGCCTCCTGAAGTGGATCGCTGACCCCTGAGTAGCCTAACTTGGAGACACCTCCCAGTAGGGGCCGACTGACACCTCATACAGCTGGGTGCCCCACTGAGATAAAGCTTCCAAAGAAAGGATCAGGCAGCAGCATCTGCCCTTCTGCAATATTTGCTGTTCTGCAGCCTCCGCTGGTGACACTCAGGCAAACAGGGTCTGGAGTGGACCTCCAGCAAACACCAACAGACCTGCAGCTGAGGATCCTGACTGTTAGAAGGAAAACTAACAAACAGAAAGGACATCCACACCAAAACCCCATCTGGGTGTCACCATCATCAAAGACCAAAGGAAGATAAAACCACAAATATGGGGAGAAACCAGAGTAGAAAAGCTGAAAATTCTAAAAATCAGGGCACCTCTTCTCCTCCAAAGGAATGCAGCTCCTCGCCAGCAGTGGAACAAAGCTGGATGGAGAATGACTTTGAGCAGCTGAGAGAAGAAAGCTTCAGACAATCACTAATAAGAAACTTCTCTGAGCTAAAGGAGGATGTTCAAACCCATCGCAAAGAAGCTAAAAACCTTGAAAAAAGATTAGACGGATGGCTAACTGGAATAAACAGTGTAGAGAAGTCCTTAAATGACCTTATGGAGCTGAAAACCATGGCACGAGAACTAAGTGATGCATGCACAAGCTTCAATAGCTGACTTGATCAAGTGGAAGAAAGGGTATCAGTGATTGAAGATCAAATGAATGAAATGCAGCGAGAAGAGAAGTTTAGAGAAAAAAGACTAAAAAGAAACGAACAAAGACTCCAAGAAATATGGGACTATGTGAAAAGACCAAATCTACGTCTGATTGATGTACCTGAAAGTGATGGAGAGAATGGAACCAAGTTGGCAAACACTCTTCAGGATATTATCCAGGAGAACTTCCCCATCCTAGTGAGGCAGGCCAACATTCAAATTCAGGAAACACAGAGAATGCCACAAAGATACTCCTTGAGAAGAGCAACTCCAAGACACATAATTGTCAGATTCACCAAAGTTGAAATGGAGGAAAAAATGTTAAGGGCAGCCAGAGAGAAAGGTTGGTTACCTGCAAACAGAAGCTCATCAGACTAACAGCAGATCTCTTGGCAGAAACTCTACAAGCCAGTAGAGAGTGGGGGCCAATATTCAACATTCTTAAAGGAAAGAATTTTCAACACAGAATTTCATATCCAGCCAAATTAACCTTCATAAGTGAAGGAGAAATAAAATCCTTTATAGACAAACAAATGCTGAGAGATTTTGTCACCACCAGGCCTGCCCTAAAAGAGCTCCTGAAGGAAGCACTAAACATGGAAAGGAACAACCAGTACCAGCCACTGCAAAAATATGCCAAATTGTAAAGATCATTGAGGCTAGGAAGAAACCGCATCAACTAACGAGCAAAATAACCAGCTAACATCATAATGACAGGATCAAATTCACACATAACAATATTAACCTTAAATGTAAATGGGCTAAATCCTCCGATTAAAAGACACAGACTGGCAAATTGGATAAAGAGTCAAGACCTATCAGTGTGCTGTATTCAGGAGACCCATCTCACATGCAGAGACACACATAGTTTCAAAATAAAGGGATGGAGGAAGATCTACAAAGCAAATGGAAAAGAAAAAAAAAAGCAGGGGTTGCAATCCTAGTCTCTGATAAAACAGACTTTAAACCAACAAAGAACAAAGAGACAAAGAAGGCCATTACATAATGGTAAAGGGATTGATTCAACAAGGAGAGCTAACTATCCTAAATATATATGCACCCAATACAGGAGCACCCAGATTCAAAAACCAAGTCCTTAGAGACCTACAAAGAGACTTAGATGCCCACACAATAATAATGTGTGGGTTTAACACCCCACTGTCAACATTAGACAGATCAACGAGACAGAAAGTTAACAAGGATATCCAGGAATTGAACTCAGCTCTGCACCAAGTGGACCTAATAGACATCTACAGAACTCTCCACCCCAAATCAACAGAATATACATTCTTCTCAGCACCACATCACACCTATTCCAAAATTGACCACATAGTTGGAAGTAAAGCACTCCTCAGCAAATGTAAAAGAACAGAAATCATAACAAACTGTTTCTCAGACCGCAGTGCAATCAAACTAGAACTCAGGATTAAGAAACTCACTCACAACCACTCAACTACATAGAACTGAACAACTCGCTCCTGAATGACTGCTGGGTACATAACGAAATGAAGGCAGAAATAAAGATGTTCTTTGAAACCAACAAGAACAAAGACACAACATACCAGAATCTCTGGGACACATTTAAAGCAGTGTGTAGAGGGAAATTTATAGCACTAAATGCCCACAAGAGAAAGCAGGAAAGGTCTAAAATTGACACCCTAACATCACAATGAAAAGAACTAGAGAAGCAAGAGCAAACACATTCAAAAGCTAGCAGAAGCCAAGAAATAACTAAGATCAGAGCAGAACTGAAGGAGATAGAGACACAAAAAACCCTTCAAAAAATCTATGAATCCAGGAGCTGTTTTTTTGAAAAGATCAACAAAATTGATACACTGCTAGCAAGACTAATAAAGAAGAAGAGAGAGAAGAATCAAATAGATGCAATAAAAAATGATAAAGGGGATATCACCACCGATCCCACGGAAATACAAACTACCATCAGAGAATACTATAAACACCTCTATGCAAATAAACTAGAAAATCTAGAAGAAATGGATAAATTCCTGGATGCATACACCCTCCCAAAACTAAACCAGGAATAGACCAATAACAGGTTCTGAAATTGAGGCAATAATTAATAGCCTACCAACCAAAAACTGTCCAGGACCAGGCAGATTTACAGTTGAATTCTACCACAGGTACAAAGAGGAGCTGGTACCATTCCTTCTGAAACTATTCCAATCAATAGAAAAAGAGGGAATCCTCCCTAATTTACTTTCTGAGGCCAACATCATCCTGATACCAAAGCCTGGCAGAGACACAACAAAAAAAGAGAATTTTAGACCAATATCCCTGATGAACATCGATGCAAAAATCCTCAATACTGGCAAACCGAATCCAGCAGCACATCAAAAAGCTTATCCACCACGATAAAGTTGGCTTCATCCCTGGGATGCAAGGCTGGTTCAACATATGCAAATCAATAAATGTAATCCAGCATATAAACAGAACCAAAGACAAAAACCAAATGATTATCTCAATAGATGCAGAAAAGGCCTTTGACAAAATTCAACAGCCCTTCATGCTAAAAACTCTCAAAAAACTAGGTATTGATGGGACGTATCACAAAATAATAAGAGCTATTTATGACAAACCCACAGCCGATATCATACTGAATGGGCAAAAACTGGAAGCATTCCTTTGAAAACTGGCACAAGACAGGGATGCCCTCTCTCATCACTCCTATTCAACATAGTGTTGGAAGTTCTGGCCAGGGCAATCAGGCAAGAGAAAGAAATAAAGGGTATTCAATTAGGAAAAGAAAAAGTCAAATTGTCCTTGTTTGCAGATGACATGATTATATATTTAGAAAACCCAATCTTCTCACCCCAAAATCTCCGTAAGCTAATAAGCAACTTAAGCAAAGTCTCAGGACACAAAATCAATGTGCAAAAATCACAACCATTCATATACACCAATAACAGGCAAACAGAGAGCCAAATCATAAGTGAATTCCAATTCACAATTGCTTCAAAGAGAATAAAATACCCAGGAATCAAACTTACAAGGGATGTGAAGGACCTCTTCAAGGAGAACTACAAACCACTGCTCAACAAAACAAAAGAGGACACAAACAAATGGAAGAAGATTCCATGCTCGTGGATAGGAAGAATTAATATTGTGAAAATGGCCATACTGCCCAAGGTAATTTATAGATTCACTGCCATCCCCATCAAGCTACCAATGACTTTCTTCACAGAATTGGAAAAAACTACTTTAAAGTTCATATGGAACCAAAAAAGAGCCTGCATTGCCAAGACAATCCTAAGCCAAAAGAACAAAGCTGGAGGCATCACGCTACCTGACTTCAAACTATGCTACAAGGCTACAGTAACCAAAACAGCATGGTACTTGTACCAAAACAGAGATATAGACCAATGGAACAGAATAGAGCCCTCGGAAATAATACCATACATCTACAAACATCTGATCTTTGACAAACCTGACAAAAACAAGAAATGGGGAAAGGGTTCCCTATTTAATAAATGGTGCTGGGAAAACTGGCTAGCCATATGTAGAAAGCTGAAACTGGATCCCTGCCTTATACCTTATACAAAAATTAATTCAAGATGGATTTAAGAATTAAATGTTAGACCTAAAACCATAAAAACCCTAGAGGAATAGCTAGGAAATACCATTCAGGCCATAGGCATGTGCAAGGACTTCATGACTAAAACACCAAAAGCAATGGCAACAAAAGCCAATATTGACAAATGGGATCTAATTAAACTAAAGAGCTTCTGCACAGCAGAAGAAACTACCATCAGAGTGAACAGGCAACCTACAGAATGGGAGAACATTTTTGCAACCTACTCATCTGACAAAGGGCTAATATCCAGAATCTACAATGAACACAAACAAATTTACAAGAAAAAAACAAACAACCCCATCAAAAAGTGGACGAAGGATATGAACAGACACTTCTCAAAAGAAGACATTTATGCAGCCAGAAAACACATGAAAAAATGCTCATCATCACTGGCCATCAGAGAAATGCAAATCAAAACCACAATGAGATACCATCTCACACCAGTTAGAATGGCGATCATTAAAAAGTCAGGAAAGAACAGGTACTGGAGAGGATGTGGAGAAACAGGAATACTTTTACACTATTGGTGGGACTGTAAACTAGTTCAACCATTGTGGAAGACAGTGTGGCGATTCCTCAGGGATCTAGAACTAGAAATACCATTTGACACAGCCATCCCATTACTGGGCATATACACAAATGATTATAAATCATGTTGCTATAAAGACATATGCACACGTATATTTATTGTGGCACTATTTACGATAGCAAAGACTTGGAACCAACCCAAATGTCCATCAATGATAGACTGGATTCAGAAAATGTGGCACATACACACCATGGAATACTATGCAGCCATAAAAAGGATGAGTTCATGTCCTTTGTAGGGACATGGATGAAGCTAGAAACCATCATTCTGAGCAAACTAACACAAGGACAGGAGACCAGACACCACATGTTCTCACTCATAGGTGGGAACTGAACAATGAGAACACTTGGACACAGGGTGGGGAACATCACACACTGGGGCCTGTTGTGGGGCGGGGGGCAGGGGGAGGGATAGCATTAGGAGATATAACTAATGTAAATGACGAGTTAACGGGTGCAGCACATCAACATGGCACATGTATAGATGTGTAACTAACCTGCACATTGTGCACATGTACCCTAGAACTTACAGTATAATAATAAAACAAAATAAAATAAAAACAAAGAAATCGGTGACCAAGGGGATTATCATTATTAAAAACATTTGAATACCTTGAAAAAAAAAAGAATAAACTATTACATTTTCTAAAAGAGATGATTCTTCATTTAATGGGTATCTCTCCCCTTTTCACTCCCAAAGCACTTGGCTTTAATCTTTCTCATATTTATCACATTCTGCCTTTATAGTCACCCTTGACATGTGTTGAATCTCTCCTCTAGGGTGTCAGGCACCCTGAACTGTGTGTGTATTGTAGGCTGGTGTCTTTTAAGTGAAAAATAAAATAAAACAAAGTGAAGGGACTTCAAATAACAAGTCAAGGAAGGTAGTGGATTGAGGAAAAATATGTGTTCCAGGCACAGAATATGATAAATTAAAGAATGAAAGAGTTGGTGATCAAGAGTAGATAAATCTGAAGGAGCTAAGGGAAGGTGATAGAGGACCCAGAGTAGTCTGGCAGAGACCAGCAAAGGAGTAGGGGGAAAAAAATCACCATTTTAGTTTGCAACTGTCAAAGACCTATGAGTGTTGGGATGCTCATAAATGTCCTCTACACATTTTAGCTTTAATTGACACAGAGACATGAGGACTGCAGCTCCACTGTGCTTTAAAAATCAAGTCTAGGCTGGATGCAGTGGCTCAAACCTGTAATCCCAGCACTTTGGGAGGCCGAGGCAGGCGGATCACGAGGTTAGCAGATCGAGACCATCCTGGCTAACATGGTCAAACCCCATCTCTACTAAAAATACAAAAAATTAGCTGGGCATGGTGGCGGGCACCTGTAATCCTGCTACTCAGGAAGCTGAGGCAGGAGAATGGTGTGAACCCGGGAGGTGGAGCCAACAGTGAGCAGAGACTGCACCACTGCACTCCAGCCTGGATAACAGAGCAAGACTTTATCTCAAAAAAAAAAAAAAAAAAAAAAAAAAAAAAAAATCAAGTCTATACCCGAGTGCGGTGGCTCATGCCTGTAATCCCAGCACTTTGGGAGGCCAAGGCGAGCAGATCACCTGACGTCAGGAGTTCAAGACTAGCCTGACCAACATGGAGAAACCCCGTCTCTACTAAAAATACAAAAATTAGCTGGATGTGGTGGCACGTGCCTGTAGTCCCAGCTACTCGGGAGGCTGAGGCAGGAGAATCGCTTGAACCCAGGAGGCAGAGGTTGCAGTGAGCCGAGATCGCATCACTGCACTCCAGCCTGGGCAACAGAGCAAGACTCCATCCCAGAAAAAAAAATTGCTCACATGGGAAATGTTAAGACACCTTGACATAAAAAAAAAAAAGTATTGGACTTTCACAGTTTTACACAAACAATTGCGTGCTGACTACCAGTCCATTGAACAGGAGCCCTGTTTTATTTTCTGTTTCCTGGTGTTGAGTACTGAAACTCATTTAAAAAATAATACAAGTAAAGAGGGAAGACAAAGAGAAATAACCCAGTATGAAACTTGCTTGGTTTTCAGGCCTCAGTGAAGGAATTGTGTCTCAGGTTCAGGGCCACCAAGATCACCTGCAGAGCCATTTGACTCAGTAGAGTTAGAGGGAGAGCCATCCTTGTTTTTTTTTATCAAGTAGGGATACAGAAGTAATAGTTACTAACCATCCTGCTGCCTGAGAAACACATTAACACATATACTAACATGGGCACCTCTGATTTATAAGGGTTCAAGTCCTAATTAACTGACAATGAGCAAAGTTAACTGATAGGCCAATTATTTGAACATTTACTTTAACTACCCCAGTGTACCGTACTAAGTCTCAAAAGGCTGATTTTCAAATTGATGGGAAAAACTCTGTTTGGAGGTTTTGGTAGTGGTGGTGGTAATTTGGTTTGTCTTAACAATGGCATGTTTTAACCTCAATGGCCAGCCCTACCCAAAGGGAAATGGATCATGGCATTGCTCTTAAAAATGACCTGAGCTATTAGCCTAATGATTGAGGAGGGCAATGCACTAGACATGATGAATCAAAAACAACCACGTGAATGCTGACAACACAGTCAGGAAACAAAAGAACGCAGCTGTAAACATGAACCATAAGGCTTCCTAACTAACAACACCTTTAAATATCTGTATTGTTGCTGTTGGTTTAAATCTGGCTAACATTTGGCCTCTCTTATTATAACTGAAATGTTATCTATAGATGCAATCTCTCTTGTATTTCAAAATGTTGTTTTTAAAGCCAGCTATGAATACATCAGAGACTCTTTCATATCTTGCGGAGGGAAAGTTCAAATGCACGAGTCTCTGAAATAAAGCCTACCCAGATATAATAAATGGGGCTGTCAGATTGATTCTCACTTGAGACACCAACTGTAGCTAATATTACTCGATATGCAGATGTTTTCTGTCTCTTTCTCTCAGACAAAAAAAAAGAGCATTTAAATGGAATAATGATAAATTAGTATTAATATGAAAAGACTCTGCTATAGTGTGGCAAAGGGCTCAACAGGTCAAGGCTTGGGGACCCATGTGAGCAACGGAGCTCTCACCTCTGTGCTAAAGGGTCTGAGGAATTTATTAGCTGAACTATTCACTCTGCTCAGGACCACACAATACTATTTAAAAAGAAAAGAAAAGAAAAGAAAGCCCTGAATTATACTACAACTTCTGGTGGGAGACAGACAAGGTCCCCCGCAGTGCCTGAAACATTGCACTGCATTGCACACAGATAGAAATGAACGGCTTAGTCGCAAACAAAAGTACTCACAAGTCCATCAAAAGGGTGAAAAATAGAAAAGGAAATCCTGACAATTCTTTATCCCAGTGCCAGAGCTGGTACTTTTTCTCAATGATTCTGCTGTCCCTGGATGCACCGCCAGGCTGCCTTCTGGAATTTCATTCCACAGCACCAGCAAATAGTCACCTTCACATTTGTTTCCACTTAAGTTTCCCCCACCTCTCTCGCCTTCTTGCCAACTTGTGTGCAGGTACACAGCATTGCAGAGGAATGTGGGAAAATGTCACTTCGCTGCTTTTCAAAAAAGGAAGAAAAGCTAATGATAGGAGCAAAGGGCAAAGGTTCTAATGGGGCATCTCCCTAAATGATGAGGCATTTCTTCCTGGAGAACATTTGGGAAGCTCTTACGAAGCGTCTCTTGGTGGTAATCAAATGCTCTCTGAAGTCCTTAGGACCTGGAGTCTGTAAACCTGGAGCACAGCCTTTTATTATGCTTCTGAGAGTTTACTTTGGACAAATAAATGAACTCCATGGGGGGAGGGAGACTTAAGTCACCTGAAAACATAGTGATATAAGACACAGTCTGCAAATGAATAACCTGAGTGGGCAGTGGTTTAGGTATTCATTTATTTACATATATGTTATTAGTGGAAGTCAGAAACTAGAAGATAACCATAGAAAGTGAACCAAATATTTATTCTATTCATCAGGACTCTCTAAATGGCTACACACTCAACTTCTAATTTTCCATGGAAATAGTCTGGAATTCATATTATATTATATTATATATATAATATATTTTATATATATTATATATGATATGTATAATATATAATATATTATATATTATATATGATATGTATCATATATAATATATTATATATATTATATATCATATATAATATATTATATATATTATATATCATATATAATATATTATATATATTATATATCATATATAATATATTATATATATTATATATCATATATAATATATGATATAATATATCATATATATAATATATATGATATAATATAATATATAATATATAATATATCATATATAATATATTATATATATTATATCATATATATATCATATATGATATATATATCATATATAATATATATAATATATTATATATATTATATATATTATACATATCATATATAATATATTATATATTATACATATAATATATTATAGAATTCATCACAAAACAACTATTCCTCCTTCTCTGTCTCAAAGTTTATCTCCTTAATTAAATTGAGTTAGACTAATATTAAAGATTGCCAAATCTCAGCACCCACCAAATTCTCAGTTGAGAAAGGCAACGGAGAGCGTTACCATGATGGAGAGACCAAGCTGATTCAGGGAATTGCCAGAGAGGATTCGTTAGGTAGGAGGATCTGACCTACTAGATTTGCAGGTTCAAGTTCTACAGCTTCTAAGAATTGAGAAGAGTAAAGAACTTGGAATTGGTGCTTCTGCACTCTCTTCCCCTCCTCATTTCCTGCAAACTCAGGAGTAGTCACTCAATGTGCTTATGGACTTCAAAGTTCTGGAGTCGAGCTTGCTGCTAACACAATGCGCTGCAGAGCTCTTTCTCTCATTCATTGATCAGCCAAGGGGAGGAAGGGGAGCTATGCCCAACTAAACTAAGCCCAAGAAGTGGAATTAAACAGGTGATGACATGTCCTCCCTCCATGCTTCTCCTTGAGTGCACTGTCACCCATTTCCAGGCACATCCTCTCTGCTGTGCAGCCCTGGCCAGCCTTACTTTGCCCTCTTCATTGTGGATCTGTGATGCTCCAACTGCAAATGCACAGCCTGTTCTGCTCCTTTCCATTCCAGGACCTTCCCTCTACATTTCCCCTTCCAAGGGACCTCAGATTGATTTCCTTTACACAGGGCAGTTGGTAGCTTTACAGAAAACAAAAGGCACATGTGTCATCCTGTGCAAAGGGTCAGCAGGGCAACGGGAGTCCTTTTCTAATGTAAGGGCCTGAGTCTGGCCCTTCTGTAACAGTCAGGGTTTCCTGATGGGCCCCAGGTATGCAGGGGTTCCTCTGCTGTAAAATAGAAGTGGTAACAATACCTCCTCCCAGTTGTAGATGGTTCCAGCACCATTGTGATTGGATTCAACTCCTGGCTGCCACATTTAATAACTGTGTGACCTTGCGCACATTACTTGGGCTTTCCGGCCTTAGCTTGCTCATATGTAAAATGGGTTGGTAATAGTACCTACCTCATCAGGTTATTGTGAGGATTAAATTACCTGGTTCAAGTAAAGCACCTAGAATGGAACTTGTCACAGAGCAAATGTTGGTAAGTATTGGCTGATGGAATTTTTCCTCGGATTTGTATAACGTTCTAAGAAGATAACGTGAATGAAATTGCTTTATGAGCCCCGTACAAGTATAGGCCCTCATACTCTCTACTCCTTGAAGCTGAATTTGAGAAAAGTCCACAGGTTTTTGAAAATGCAGGAAGACCCTCATTGTCACTGTTTTCAACAGTGACTTGCATCTCACAAACGGATCCCAAGGCTACTTTGAGGAGAGGTTTTCCCTGGAGCTGAGAACAGAAAACAAAGGTTCCTGCTGTCATGTAGCATTGACCACAAGTTCCACAGGCCTACCACCTATGTCATTTCTTACTTGAACAAGAACTTTATTACTCTCATCTTATAGATAAGAGTTGAGGCATAGTGAGTATAGGCCTAAGGTAACCTACTCACAGGTAAAATAATGATGCAAGTCAAGCATGTCTTCATCGCTCTCTTATTTTCTTCCTCTCTATGTTAAAAACATCTTCTTCCATGTTCCCGTTCCCTTCCACATCTCAGTGCATCCTCATAGGCCAGAGTCTAACTTGTAAGTAATTTAGACTTCAGATAAGCTGATTTATACTAAGAAGTGGGTGGCTAACGGCATCATGTTCTTCCCACAGGATTTACATTCTAAGAGAGGTCCATTGACAGAGCAGGACAATGTCTAACCAAACAACCCTTGACACTCAGAAAGCCAATTCATTAAAATGAATCAGAGGGTACTTTTAAGATGACCAACTTCCCAGTTTGCATGGGGCTGAGGAAGGTGCCCATGATGTGGGATTTTCAATCTGAAAACAGGGACAAGTTGGCCACCCTGCTTCCCAGGCACATCCTCTGCTTCCAGATGAAGCCAACTTCTCTTTGGTGGCCAGTAGTGATAACAACTGCTTCTTTGCAATTTGGCTTGCACAGCTACTGTTTGATCTGCTGAAACCATCTCTACACCCCCTTCTCCACACCACCTTGGCCTATGAGCTGCTCGTCATTCTTCAGAATATAGCTCAGTGGTAATGGCACTGGGGAAACCTTTCGCGCCCACTCCACCTCAGATCCACTGGAGTTTCCCGATTATATGTTTTTGTGGCACCCTGGACATTTTCTCCCTAACACCTGAACTGTGATAACAGCTTAGAAAAATCTATTTATTTGCTTGCCATTGTTTCAGGAATGGCTTCCCCATGAGTCTCTAGGCTTCATAAGAATAAGGACAAACAGAATAACCAAGTCATCCATTGATTATGGTGTGAGGCAGTTGAAGGAATCAGATTCTCCTGGTGACCAAACCAAAGTAACAGAAGGAGTGACGCTCGATGTCTTTATAGGCAGGAGCTCTCAAGGTTAGATATTTAAAATCTCCCAATCAAACCTCCACCAGTCAGGGTGGCCCGGGCCCTTCTCAGCTCGGCTCATAAGCACTCCCGAGTGGCTCTCACGAAGGCAAGCTGAATTTCCAGGGTGAGTGACTCCAATCCAGATCTGCAGGTGTGGAGCTCCTCTGGCTGAGCCACCCGTTCCAGCCACTGCTCCGGGTTATGCACCTCAAGGCTCTCCAAAGGTGTTACTGTGAGGTGGTTGCCTGAAACCATGCATGGGCGAAATAACTGATAAACTAAATGAAGGGGAGGTGGCTCAAAAGGAAACACTTCCCTGCACCCTCACCCTCACTTAAATTTATCTCTCCTCTAAAATATACCCTTTGAACCCGTAACATCCTTCCTATGAACCTATTCCAAGACAGGCAACCAGATTTATGCATTAAGAGCATGGAGAGAAAGGACTTTATTTCTTTATCTTGTTTGCAACTCTTCTCAACAGATACAGGCATCTAACAGCAATTTACTCAATTACTTACACGGTATGATTGCCACGTATGAAATCTCTCAGTATCCATGCCTAGAAAAAAACCTGAGAACTAAAAGTGTTTACAGACAGTTGCTTGGGGTGAGTGAGGCTTGCATAAATGTTTTCTTCTTTCTGCTCTTTCCAAATTTTATATTATGTGCATGATACGTTCTATTAAACAATAAATGAATGAATATGGAACGGGTAGAACCCTTGGTGATAGCTGGTTTAAAGCTATGGCAGTAGATGGATGTCTAGGGTAGCCAGACAAGGGGATGCTAATTAGAGTCTCACACAGCCCCTTGCTGTTGCTGACCCAAGCCCAGCCTCCTGGGGTCCTGCTGCCCAGACATAGCTGACCTCATCTTCAGGACAAGCTTCTTCCTCTCCAAGTCCCCTCTCCCCTTTCCCACAATCATGCAAAGAAAAGAAACATATATATTGAAAAAAAACTGCCCACTTCACAATTACTTAGGGGATGGGTCTTATTTGCATCCAACTCTGCAGGAGTAAAAAGTGGTCATACGGTGAAAGTAAAAAATACAGGAGAAAGTATTCTTCAAGGTAAGGTCAACACTCCTGCAACTCATTTGTCAGAGGACACATGGTAACTGACTTCAGGAAATACAAGAACTGCTTGAAAAAAAGAAAAGACTATTCATTTCCAGATCTTGCTAGGAAAGGTCATTTTAAAACCCTTGAGCCAGAAGGAACAGACATATATAAACAAGAGACTGAATTGTATTCTAGATCCATTCATTATTGCTGTTTATCCTGCACGTAACCCTCAGCTTCCAGTAGTCCTCAATATTTGTTTCTGAATATCCCAGGGAATGAAGCCAACTAATATTCTCTTTCTTCACTGCCAGATTAAGAAAGTGAAAGTTTTTCTTTTTTCTTTTTTCTAGAAATATGCAAGGACCCAGAAAGCTTTGAAAATCTAATTTAGAGCCATTTAGACTCCAGGACTTACAGCCCTTATTTAATTAACATTTATGGAACACCTGTTATGGGGAGGGTACTGTGGAAGGATAAAAAGATGGTTAAGATGCAATTCCCACCCTCAAGAAATTTTTCAGTCCCGCAGGGCAACAGTCTGGTGGGACAGCTGGGAGCAGCAGGGCGAGAATATGCCCAGGTGAGCTTGAAGAGATCTGGTCTCCAAATCTTTTCTGGCCCTGCGTCGACTCACTGAGAAACACTGGTTCAGTCCTGTCGCTGCTGAAGGGCTTGGTTTTGTCAGCTATAAAATCAAAATTAAGAGTCATTGTCCTACCACCTTCCCTGGGACTGCTACCAGGGAAGCAAACGAGATGCCGGGTAAGAAAGCCTCCTGACTAAAGCATAAGATGGTCCTATTAACACTGTGAGATCCTCAACTCCTACAACTCTTTAAAACAGCTGCAAAAGGGCTTTTATTGTTACTTATGGATGTCCTTGTCTTCATAGAATGTTTTTGAATGTAAGACAGTCGAGCACCGTGAGGAAGAGAATAAATGACATCTTCCCTGTGACTATTTTCCCTCCTGAATAGGTGACGGTGTGCATAATGGTTTCTGTCTTTGGCCATCACCTTTTCTTTTATGAAAATGCCTTTTATTTTAAGAGTAAAGGAATTTACAAATCATCGACTTTGGTCCCTGGAGAAACTTCAACAAGGTGGTTTGAGGAAGAAATTTTTGTGTCATTTTCTTCTAAATGTCTCTTTCTGAACACTAAAAGGACTCAGTTCAAGGACATAACAGTGAAGTATTGACTGTTTACACAACTCAAAAATGGTTTGAAATCGTGGGGAAAATAAGACTTATTAATTCAGTGTTTTATTGAAATTCTCCAAACATTCTATTTCACCTTACTGAAATCTACAAGTTCAGCTTTTTTTCTTTGAGAATTTTTTTTTAATAAAAATGTAGGATTTGGCTACATTAAAGCAACTCAATTTCAACCTTTGTTTTCAACTTTTAGCTTCTGTGTTCATTCCTTGATTTGTTTATTCTCGATTTGAGCTGATCAGCAGATACAGTAACATAAAAGGAAAACAGGCCAGATCTTTAGTTGTCTTCCAGGGCATTCTAAGCCCCAGACTTCAACTTCCATATCTCCCCACATGGCCCCCACACTATAACACACAAAGTTCCCCACTTCCACTACCACCACCCACCCCTGGGCATCAAATATGACACGCGTTTTGCCCACCTCTGTGCATTCGTTTGTCTTACCTCCTTGGGTTGCAAATACCCTTTCCTACCACATTCATCTGTCAAATCCTATTGCATATCAAAGGTCAGCACAAATGCCTCCCCAATCTGGTCTTCCCAGATTACTCCAAATTGACATCAATGTTCGCTAATCTGTGTTCCCATCACTCTTTCTTTGCAATTCTCCCATCAGCTATTGCATTCTGCCCAGTTTAAACTATTTCTTTATATGCTTAGCGGAGAGTCATGCTGGAAACCGAACCTGTGTTTGTTTTTTACCGAGTTAGCAAGAGGGGTCCTGGTGATTATCCCTGCGCATTCTTTGGAAGGTGACTCATCCCTGTGATAGAGAAGGCTTTCCTTCAAGTGAAGGGAAGCCATTGTTTTGTGTTTCTGGTGGCTAGGAACACCTTTGAGGAAAGGAGTTTATTTAAGGGAGGCAGGAAGTGGGTGGAGTGACTGGTGAGAAACGCTGGCATTTCTCGGGTTGAAAGGCAGCATCCATGAGCCTGGCAGGGGGCTGACTCCTGAACCTTCCTGGCACAGCTCCCCAAGGTGAGGAGGAGGACTGTATAGAACCCAAATGGCTGGGCACTGAGGGCTGTCGTCTAGAAACCCAATGAGAACAGGGGATAATTTAGGAAGTGGAATCAGCTGGGACTTACCTGCCTGAAAAAAGCCACTATGCCCATTCAACAGTGGCACCGTGTGGCAGTGAGGGACAACGGCAGGGGCAGGGGCAGCCCAAGGACAGACCCGGTCTCTTACCTGTTTGCAGGAGGGATCACAAGGATCTCCTTTATTAGAGGGGTTTTATTCACTTTATTTATATAGTTATTTATTATTTTTAGAGACAGGATCTCACTGTTACCTAGGCTGGAGGGCAGTGGTGCAATTATAGCTCATTGCAGCCTACAACTCCTGGGCTCAAACGAGCCTCCAGCCTTAGCCTCCCCAGTAGCTAGGACTATAGGCATGTGCTGCCACAGACCTATTTTTTTTTTAATTTTGTAGAGACAGGATCTCACTGTGTTACCCAGGCTGATGTCAAACTCCTGGCCTCAAGTGATCCTCCTGCCTCAGCCTCCCAAAGCACTGGGACTACAGGCATGAGCCACTGCACCCAGCCTTGGAGGAGTTTTCTTTAGATGGTTCTGAGGATGGAGCAAGAGAGCCGTAAGATGGTGATATTGGACTTCTGACAAAGTTAGTGGGTAGGGAAAGAGACAGGAGAGGATTTTAATTTAATTGGAGAAATTAACTAATTATGGAAAAGTCTTAAATCCCCTACTAAGTTGCAAGCTCCTAGAGGACAGAGACCATTTTCATCTTAGTGCCTTGGATGCAAACAAAGCACTGACTTGACTATATTAAATATAAGTATTTTTACTTTGCATATATTTGAGGACTAAATAAATGAGACCATAGACTCCGGAAGGATGGGATGATTGATTTAACCACTTTCAGCATGGGCTATCCCCAAATGTTGTTTACTTATCTTTGAAAGCAATTGTTTTGCTTCTTCTTGGATGGACACCCACACATGCATATATACATACATATATACATATATACACACATATATACACATACATATATACACACATGCTTGGTCAAAGACCAGCCAGTTGGTCTACAAAGATATTGTCCATGATCCTCTAGGATTTAAACTTTGCTGAATTTTGTGATGTTTACTAGGACATAATTTTCTGCTTCTGAAGACGTTGCCTGCTAAGTCATCCCCACCCTACTAAGGTCCGCAAAGGTCCCCAAACAGTAACCCAGTTCAACTGACTCGGGTTCTGGCCAAGTTAGAGTCCCTGATTCTTGGCACCTGCCATTCCCCACTTTATTCTGCATCAGACTCAATAGCATTCTCTTCTTCTTTATAAGCTACAGTGATACGTTCAGCTCATGAATATACACTTCCACATCCTTTCAGAGAGTTAATTTTCACCCAGGGTGGCAAAGTTTTAAGTCAAAATTTCCTCCCTTACTCTGCATTTTGTACACTTATACCTCCTTAACTGATGGCCTCAATCGTGAGCAAAACTATTTTCAAGTAGATGAGAGAAGTGGGGCTTGAAATATAGAATATATCGTCATCTCCTCTTTCATGATAAATAGCTGTTATGGTCATTTATTGTTCCCATGTTCCAAAATCTAAAACTGCTTTACAGATGTTCTGCAGCCCAGCTTCCTAACATCTGTGTGGGGAAGGCAGGGCGCAGAGTTACCAGGTCCATTTTGCAGATGAGAATAGTTATGGGAGGCCCAAGGGGCATGGACTTGACATTTTTAGGACGTTGTGATTATACTTTATTAGCCTTTTCTCATAACATACTGGAGCAGCAGGCAAACAGCATGTGTCAATGTCCAGCACAAGGTCATTCCATGAAGTCAGTAAGAGCTAGAAACAGAACCCAAGATTTGGGGACTTTCTATCTCAAGTTGCATTTGCTATTTTCCTAAGTTAAAGAGGTAGGCATAGAATCACAAATACATACAGATACACCCAGAAACAAGAATACTTAGGAACCCACAGAGGTATATGTTAATACAAGGCAACAGAGTAATTTGCTTTACTTTCAAAAGCAAAGCAGCTCATTCTGCCTTTCTGGTCTCTTTTGTGACAATTGACCTCAATCCAGTGGGCCACCCTAAAGACATGGTCCCTCCACAGGGACTATTTGTCTTCTGGGCTCCTCGAGTCTCTAATGAATATAAAGTAGGACTGTACTTTTTCTGCATGTCATTGGAGTCTATCCAAATAGGAATCAGGGAAAAAAAAGTAATAGAACATTACGCTGGGATTTCCATATCAACACTTCAGAGATAGTTAGATGTTCTCTCAATTTTTTTCCTAAATGAAGTCTAATACCTCGAGGTATTTCCCGAGTTGCATTGTCTATTGTCTATATAAGCACTGGGTACTTCAAAGGCCAGGTTTGGGTTGCGCTGTGCAGCTGGTTGGAAAACTGCATTAACCTACGTCCCAAGGTGAAAACAGCAAAGCTCCCTGGAAACATGTGGGAAAATGCCCCATTTCTAATTATTTTCCCCTTCCTTCTTTGGTACTTGGCACTCGGCACTCATACTGCACACCAACTTGAGAAGCATTTCCAGGGAATCGTGCCTACCTCCACTCACCCCACATCATTTAAAACCCACCCAGGCTGGGACAGCTCTGCAGAGCTGGCCAAGACTCTCTGGTATCCACAGGTCAGAGGGAGAGGGCCCAGCTGCAGCTTTGAGAAATTGCCCCAGTACTTTATGGCTGTCTTATTCGAGATGTCCTATCCATCTTCGGCAGGGTGATAAACTCAAGCACCAGGTTTGGGACCCTACTGTCTAATCATCAGTGACGGTTTGGAATTTAAGGAGCTGTTTAATCCCCTTAGACACCTGCAATCAGGTTACCCCATAATCTGATGAGAAGCGTTCCTTTAGCTGTGTTTCACCTGACATGAAAATACCAATATACTCTTCCACTCAGGAATCCTGCTTCTCATCTAGGACTAAGGCTGTTCAATGCAACCATGCTGAAGAGTACCATGTTTTCAGCCAGGCGTTGTGGCTCACACCTGTAATCCCAGCACTTTGGGAGGCTGAGGTGGAGAGATTGTTTGAGGCCAGGACTTTGAGACCAGCCTGGGCAACATGGCAAGAACTTATCGCTACAAAAAGAAAGAAAGAAAGAAAGAAAGAAAGAAAGAAAGAAAGAAAGAAAGAAAGAAAGAAAGAAAGAAAGAAAGAAAGAAAGAAAGAAAGAAAGAAAGAAAGAAAGAAAGAAAGAAAGAAAGAAAGAAAGAAAGAAAGAAAGAAAGAAAGAAAGAAAGAAAGAAAGAAAGAAAGAAAGAAAGAAAGAAAGAAAGAAAGAAAGAAAGAAAGAAAGAAAGAGAGAAGGAGAGAGAGAGAGAGAGAGAGAGAGAAAGAAAGAGAGAGAGAGAGAGAGAGAGAGAAAGAAAGAAAGAAAGAAAGAAAGAAAGAAAGAAAGAAAGAAAGAAAGAAAGAAAGAAAAGAACATCATGTTTTAAAAGGAGATTGAGGCCAGGTGCAATGGCTCACACCTGTAACCTCAGCACTTTGGGAGGTCTCTACAAAAAATACAAAAATTAACAGGGGGTGATGCCATGCACCTCTAGTCCCAGCTACTTGGGAGGCTGAGGCAGGAGAATCGCTTGAACCCAGGAGGTTGAAGCTGCAGTGAGCCGTGTTCATGCTACTGCACTCCAGCCTGGGCCACAAAGTGAGACCCTGTCTCAAAAAAGGGAAAAAGGAGGCTGGGCACGGTGACTCACACCTGTAATCCCAGAACTTTGGAAGGCCGAGGAGGGTGGATCACCTGAGGTCAAGAGTTTGAGACCAGCCTGGCCAATATGGGAAAAACCTGTCTCTACTAACAATACAAAAATTAGCCAGGTGTGGAGGCAGGCGCTTGTAATGCCAGCTACTCAGGAGGCTGAGACATGAGAATCCCTTGAACCTGGGAAGTGAAGATTGCAGTGAGTCGAGATCGTGCCACTGCACTCTAGCCTGGGCGACAGAGCAAGACTCTGTCTCAAAAGAAAAGAAAAGAGAAGAGAAGAGAAGAAAAGAGAAGAGAAGAGAAAAGAGTAGACCGAAATGCAAAGTAACTCAGGAAATGATACACATCTAGGTATAATTTGGCTCTTTTTTCACTTCCTTAACCAATCTTGGTGATTTAATTTAGCCTTAATCTATCTTCTTCGGTTATCATTAAAATGCTTTTTCCTAACTCACCTTAAAACATTCTCTTCTAATTCAATCTTTTCTGGGAAAGAAATGTATCAAGCCTGTTTGGGATGAGAGCCCTGTCTGGTGCACGTCCTCCACTGTCAGAGCTGATCTCTGCTGCCCCAGGTCCCCTCTTCACCTGGCCAGGCTGCTGGAGAAGGGCTGGTTTAATTGGTAGTCAGGAAAGGCATCACCATCCCTGCCAGCAGAGCTGCCATGTCCTACCAGGGAGGACGCAGAAAGCCACCACCTTGCCCATATTTGACATTATCAAAGTCTTCCCTCTTTTTTATAATCAAAAGGAAAGATTTTTCTGCTCTCAGATTGAACAGGTTTTCTAAGAGAAGCCAACAGTGGTTTCATCATCACACCCTGAAGCAAACATTTCAGAAAAGTTTCCTCTTGCCCTTTGTTGGTTGCAAAACAAACACCAGA
This sequence comes from Homo sapiens, assembly GCF_000001405.40. Taxonomy (NCBI): domain Eukaryota; kingdom Metazoa; phylum Chordata; class Mammalia; order Primates; family Hominidae; genus Homo; species Homo sapiens. The sequence goes on along the minus strand of NC_000008.11, from coordinate 25,595,111 downwards.
GGTCAATTGCTGCTTTCTCTGGCAACCTTAACATACAGATGCTCTTGGCCAGCACTTACCCTCATGCTTCAGATGAGGTGGAGACCTTCTCCTGCCAGGGATCCTGCGAGCCCAGTCCTTGACACCATGGCAGGATTTTAAAGTTTCTATGTTACTTTAATAAAAAGCAGCAGCTTAATAAATCTATCCTTCTGCCAGGGAGAAAAATTTACTTTGTGTCTCTCAGAAAGAAGCCCTATTTCAAGTTTATAATGGGAACCTAGGAATGTTCTAGTAGGTCAGCACCATCGAAGTCTCCATCCCCACCACCCCCACACACTGCTCCCCATCTTGCCCATTTAGTGTGGGCTTGTGGAAGCAGAGAGGGACACATAAGGAATGTTCTAGGCCAGGCACAGTGGCTCACACCTGTAATCACAGCACTTTTGGAGGCCGAGGCAGGTGGATCACCTGATGTCAGGAGTTCGAGACCAGCCTGGCCAACATGGCAAAACCCCATCTCTACTAAGAATATAAAAAATTAGCCAGGCATAGTGGTGCATGCCTGTAGTCCCAGCTTCTCAGGAGGCTGAGGCATGAGAATCACTTGGACCTGGGAGGTGAAGGTTCCAGTGAGCCAAGATTACACCACTGCACCCCAGCCTGGGTGACAGAGTGAGACTCTGTCTCAAAAAAAAAAAAGAAAGAAAAAGAAATGTTCTAGGTTATAAGAAAAAATATGGCCACCAGAAAACTCCAACTTTCATATGACATAAATAATAGAGACATAAAATTATTTTGCCAAAATTTCATCATACAAAAGCTATTTAGCACCCTGGTAAAATCGTGGTGAGGAAAGTGTCCAGGTGGTCTCACTGTGTTGTCTGGTATTCTATTAGAAAATAAGGATTGACTGGAGTCCTTTGTAAAAATAGATTAAAATGGACACCAAAAAACATGGGACTTCGTAGGGTCTGTAATAAAATTGCTATTGATTCTGTCTGACAAACGGTTAAGAGAAAAAATGTTGGCAGATGCAGTGGCTCACGCCTATAATCCCAGCACTTTGGGAGGTTGAGGCAGGAGGGTCACTTGAGACCAGGAGTTCAGTATCAGCCTGGGCAACATAGCGAGACCCCGTCTCTGCAAAAAATTAACAAATTAGCCAAGTAGTGGCGTGTCCCTGTAACCCCAGCTACATGGGAGTCTGAGGCAGAAGGATCACTTGAGCTCAGGAGTTGGGAGCTGCAGTGAGCTATGACTACACCACTGAACTTCAGCCTGGGTAACACAGTGAAGAAAAAAAAAAATAATAAATAAATAAATAAATAAATATATATATATATATATATATATATATATATATATACCCCTCTGATTAGAAAAGGCAAAGCACCCAGCTCTGTTTTCTGCCTCACCCCACAGTTGCCAGGCTGAGTAGAAAGCTGTGGACAAAAGTGGGTGGCCATGGAGAGCTGAACCTTGGCTTTAGGAGTCTCTGACAGGAGATCTGCCTCTTCTCAAAGGGAAAAACTGCCTGTAGAACAAGGCCCAATTCTCCCTGAGGTACCTAGGCATCTTCCCAGCGGGCTGAAGATGCCCCACTCTTCAGGTGTGGTCCTGTATCTAAGGTCTCGCCAGAAATGACCTGACAGAAGATGGAAGCTCTGTGAGACAGGGAGGGAAAGAACCGCAGTGGGAGCACCAGGATCAAATCCCAAGACCCACAGCTTTCCAGAAGTCAGTCCATTGCTCATCCCAATCATGGAAGGGCTCACATGCAAAAAACATGCACAATTTACATACCTCTCACCAAAGAGCAGTGACTCCAGAGCAGACACCTGCAAAGCAAGAGTATCTTTTTTGGGGGTACTTCCCTTTATCTAAAGGAATGCAAAAATGCCTCCTTCTACCTCCTGTCTTCCCAATCCTTTCTGTTTCATTCTCCTTTTTTTCCTTTCTTCTTTCAGTCTTCTTCCAACTCCCCTCTAAGATTTGAGCTTCAGAAAACAGGAGAGGATTCTGATAAGGTTTGGGAAGAAAACTCTTCCAATTTCTGGTCCTGGCCGTGGAGCCCGAAGGATTTTTGAGGCATTAAGTAATTGACCTCTCACCACCTCCGAGTGTTAAGGGACACGTGCTACTGTTATCTCCCATTTTATAGTCAGCACAACAGAGGCAAACCGAGGTTTAGAGACTTGCCCCACATACCAGGGTCAATAAACAAGCAAGAAACACATGCTCCCTTCTGTACTCACTACTCACTTCCAATAGCCTCATTTATTGTCAAATGCATGCTTGTTTGGTTAGTTTTAATCCCCATGCTATTAACATGGGAGCCTGGAACATGTTGGCTTCTTAACAGCTCCCAGAACCACAATCATTTAGGTTGGAAAGTAAACAGAATCTTATCCGTATGAGGGTAGATGGGAGGTCAGTGGAAAGGGAGGCTGCTGCTGTGGACGGCCAACAAGGCGGGCTGGCTGCACCAGCTCTCACTGATCAGGCCGCACAACTCAGTGTGGGGCTCTGGTCTGAGATGTGCTCACTGATCTTTCCATTGTCTCCATTGTCCGGATCAGCTCCAGGTACCAGTGATAGCAGATCCAGGAACCAGGTATCAGATCCTAAGGCTGTATCTGATCATTTTTGCCATTGGACAAACTCCCCTAAGCCTCTCCTTAAATACCTATCTCCTATAATCCAAATTTTGGCTAATGCTAATGTCTAATTCAGAAAATACTGCAGCCAAAAGAAGATAAGATTTGGAGTCAGGCTGCTCTGTCCTCCTCTTGCTGCAGCTTTGCAGCCAATGGGCAAGTCACAGGACTCTCTAGGACTCCCTTCCCTGTCTGTCCTGGGGACAGATGACACCCAGCACCAGGGAGTGCTTGCTGGGATAAGGTCTAGAAAGCATATTCTGATGCCTACCATACGTCAGCACGGGATAGGGACTGAAGTTCCTTTTATCCCCATTTAGTTAAATAATTAAGAGTGCAGGCCAGACACGGTGGCTCACGCCTGTAATCCCAGCACTTTGGGAGGCTGAGGCGAGCAGATCACCTGAGGTCAGGAGTTTGAGACCAGCCTGGCCAACACGGTGAAACCTTGTCTCTACTAAAAATAGAAAAATTAGCCAGGTATGGTGGTGGGCGCCTGTAGCACCAGCTACTTGGGAGGCTGAGGCAGGAGAATCACCTGAACCCAGGAGGTGGAGGTTGCAGTGAGCCAAGATCTCGCTACTGCACTCCAGCCTCGGGGATGACAAGAGCAAAACTCGGTCTCAAAAAAAAAAAGTGCAAATTTGATGATTTCATTAGTTTTATCCAATGTCACTGTTACTTTATTCTGTACCTGTCATTAACCACTGAGAAACAGTATTCTGCAGAAAAATAAAATTACAAAAAAGGAAGGAAGGAAAGAGGGAGAGAAAAAGGAATGAAGGAAGGAAGGGAAGAAGGAAGGGAGGGAGGGAGAAAAGGAAGGAAAGAGAGAAAGAAGGAAGGAAAGGAAGAGAAGGGACTGAAGAGGAAGCAAGGGAAGGGAAGAGAGAAAGAGGGAAGAGGAGGAGAAGAAGAGGAGGAAAGCAGACAGGTAGCTGCCAACAAGTGCTGTCTCCAGCAGCACTGCATTGCTAGAAATGGGTAGGGGGTGAGAGAATCTGGACTGAAATCTTGTTTGCTAACACATGCTACCTTGGCGACCCTGGACAAGTTACTTAACCTCTCTCCAACTTTCTTACCTCTTAAATATGCTTATAATAAGAAAGCCTAGCTCATGAGATTATTTTGAGGATTCAATGTAATCATAGCCCTGAAGGTGTCTAGCATGGTATCTGGCACTTGACAAACACAAAACAAGAAAAAAAGAAAAGAAAATGCTGATTGAATTTACTTGTCAATTCTAAGACATTCACAGAAACCATCCTAGGGAGGGTAACTCAGTTTCCACACCCGAAATAATCAGAACAGCCTTCCAAGCTCAGAGTGTACAGTGTGGTGTGTCCTAGAGGGACAAGAGAACTTCACTGTATAGTTACAATATTAAGTTGTTCTTATTAAAATAAGCTTGCCTGACTGCATGGGGACAGAAAGAAATTCAATCCATCTACAGTGGGGCAAGAAGCAATCATTCTGTTCCTCAGCACACAACAATAAATAATTCAGCGAGAAGGACACACTAGTATCCTTCCAATTTTTCTTCTTCTAGTCATGAATCCTGTTTATGTTTTCTGGAACCATAAATGGAATATAATTTTACAAACTGAGGGAGAAACGAAGCATGCTAGAAATGTAGGGACATTCTGACATATGTTTCCCTATCACCAGTCCTTGGTGACATTTTCCTTGATTTGAACTCCTTTAGCATTGGGTTTACAATCTGTATGACACTGTTAGTGACTGGAGTATCAGACACCTTGGAGGGATTTCTCTTTTCACTTCAAAGTTGTTCTCTCAGCAATAATAAGAGTTAATGTTTATCGTGCACTCACTCTGTGCGAGGCATCATTTTATCATTTAATTTTCACAAAGGTCCTCTATGTTGTCCTTTAAGTAAGTAACGACTGGGGCCCAGAAAGGTTAAGTAGCTTGTCCAGTGTCACACTGTTAATAGGTGGCACAGCTAAGATTTGAACCTGACACATACTCTTCATGAGTCATGGTGCATATTACCAGGATGTAAGTTTCTTGAGGGCCAAGGGCTCATCTTCCTCCAAATTTGCTTTCCCCTACCTCCTAGAAAAACTCCTGAGAATTAGGAGAGGTTTGAACAGATGATTGGTAAACTGAATTCAATAAAGGCATTCACAGGCTTCCACTAGAAGACTTCAGCATCCATCCTTTACCCTTGAAGACCACCACATGCAACCACACTGACCATGCCCTGCACAACCCCAGGGGTACCTTTCACAGAGACTACAATACCAAGGGACTACAATACTAAGCCAGGCCATTTGCCTCTTGCCAACCCAAATCCATATCATTTCCCAAGCCCTTTTCAGTGCACGGCAGCCCAGACTTACTCCATGCCAAATAGAAACAGTCAGACTCCTGGAAATAAGTAAGCAGCCAAGTTGTATATTTCAATGTCCAGTGCCTAGAAGACGTTTAGGGAACATGTGATATAATAGAAAAGGAAAAGGGAAGTACTGTCTATTTCTCATTTTCTACAGTAGAAAATGAGTTTGGAGTGTGATAGGAAATGTTTATAGCCTATGCTTTCTCCTGTCATCAAAAATAAACTCTGTGCTGATCAAGAACACGGGATCATAGATCAACTTTTATTCAGGTCACACTTATCTAAATAGGTCATCATCCTTGGCACCAGTACAAGTGAGAGCTTTAAATGGGGATGGCAACTACACAACCTACATTGGTCTGCAGTGATCTGCCAGCACCATTGCAGCAGAGAGACGTAGGAAAAGTAGGTGCAGTTGGATGAGATCATGTTGCACCTGTGGTCAGAGCCTCCTTGGAATAACACAATTCTGTGGATCAAGATGAACCCAAGAGTGGGACCGTCAGATTGTAGGCAGTACCCACAGATTCATATGGTAGGAAAAGTATCATGTCGGTTTCCTTCTAATCATTCTGATTAAATCAATGAGAGAATCAGCCTTTGCAACCTCTCCACCATTTGCTAATCATCCTTTTTAACAAAAAGAGGGCATGACTCAACATTAGAGCCTTCAGCAAACAAGTGAATCTAGATAGAATTTAATAACACTGTTTGCATGTTTTAATCATTACCTTCCCTGTTGGCCAATGATATTGGTTTTCCATTTACAGTAATCATATAAAGTTTTAAAACAAATGTATTCAAGTTTAAGAAACCAATTAGGTGATCTAAAGAAAAAAACATAACATTGAGTACAGTCTGGATATGGCTATGGCAAAATTTGTGAAAGTGACAAATTAATGAATAAAGATTGGACATCAGCCTGGTGCAGTGGCTCATGCCTGTAATCTCAGCATTGTGGGAGGCTGAGGCGGGTGGATTGCCTGAGCTCAGGAGTTTGAGACCAGTTTGGGCAACATGGCGAAACCCCATCACTACTAAAATAAAAAAGTTAGCCAGGCGTGTTGGTACACACCTGTAATCCCAGCTACTGGGGAGGCTGAGGCACAAGAACTGCTTGAGCCTGGGAGGTAGAGGTTGCAATGAGCCGAGATCGCTCTACTGCACTCTGACCTGGGTGACAGAGCAAGACTCCATCTCCAAAAAATAATAAACAAATAAAGATTGGGCACCACAGCTAATGTGAAGATGGACAGAAGTTAATACAGGTGACCCAAGTTGCTCGAGAGAGTGGAGGAGGAGGTAGTCAGGGAAGCTAGAGAGAAAGCTTAAAGAATTAGTGAAGGAAACAAATATCCTTGTCCTCCCAAAACTAAAATGTGGATGCCTGGGGTCTGAGCTCCTGGCCAAGTGATTGCAGGAGGGAAAAACCACAGAACATGGGTGCTACCTGCAACCCCCACAGGGGGACAGTAGCCTCCAATGCCCAAAGAGATGGCAAGGAAATGGGGGCAAGACGAAATGTCTGGATAAACATAAAAACACCAAGCCTGGCTTTCAGACAAGCACTGTGTGAAGGCAATAAACACATAGAGGAAAAGCCCTGGGGCACTGTGGAGAGAGCACTGAATTGGGAGTCGAGATACCTAGTTTTAGTTCCAACTCTGCTGTCTCTGCATGGCCCAAAACAAAGACTCTTTCTTGCCTTCAATTTCCTCACCTGTAACACACCCTTTCCTGGGACTACATTCTTTGCCTCTATATTCTTTAATAAGTACATTAGCGCAATTTCCAATTTGGTATTATGCGGATACAATTTAAAGGAGACAATATATTTGCTGCAAGAATACCAACCTCCCCCTGATGCAAGTGTGCACACACACATGCACACACACACAAATTGCATTTAGAATTATAATCATTTGACTGTTAATATAATCACCAGCAAATGTTGGTCATAAATATTAAGTGCTAACGGGGTCAGATTCCCTGGTGGATGTTGAGGAATGTGCCTGGTGGGTGGTGGAGGGGAGCTACTTTTCCAGAGAAGTACGAGGGAATTAACCACCAGTCTGTACCTCCGTGGCCTTGCAAACAACACCAACACTCTCTTTCTGTCTAACTCTACAACTGGAATTTGCCCAGCCTTTTGGGAAACGTACTTCGACTTTGAATGTTGGAAATTGTCTGTGGTACAAATCACAGCTCTTCTCTCTTGAGAATTAACAAAGCAAAAAGGCAAAGAGTGGATTTTCGTCTTGGTAAACTGAGGTTCAGAGATTGTTTTTATGGGACTCACCCAGAAAAAGGTCTCCCTCTCTTTATTGCCCACTGAAGGGCTATTGCATAGCCAGAGATGTTGAAATGGCACACTGAAAAGGGAGCAACATAAACATAAAATCAAACTACTGCAAATATCTACTGAGCATCTACTATCATTTGTGCACAGAAGGATAAAACATGGTTCCTGTCTGAAGATGCCTGTGATCTAGCTAGAGTAAAGGCCAATACACATAGAACAAAGAAGGGAGAAGACAGCATACAATTGAGCACAAAAGTAGGTGATTTCCATTTAAGACAACCTTCACTTGCAAGGCTTCACCCAATCCATTCTACACCACAAGTAGAGCCACTTTCCAAGACACAAACCTAATTATGCCACTTGCATGCTTGAAACATTTCAACAGCTTCACCTCCAGATAAAGTCCACATTCCTTACAATGGTGTTAAAGGCCACTTGGGACTGGGCCTCCGCTTACCGCTAGGGTCTCGTGTCTTACCAATCTCCTTCCTCCTGGTCCTCTATGTGTCCTGGGAAGTTTATACCATGTCCTGCAGAACTGAAATGCGTCTTTTCCCAGCATGCCTCTTCCTCTCTCTCATGTCTATTCATGTACTTCCCTCTGCGTGGAATATTTGCACACAGCCTGGCAGGCTGACTACTGCCTATCCTTCAAGTCTTAGCTTAAACATCACCCATCAGGACCTCTCTCCCTGTTCCCACAACTTCCTATCCTCCTATATTATAGCATTTAATATACCATAGTATAAGTATTTATTTAACTGATTGCTGCCACCATTACACTTTAAAATCCATGAGGTTGCCGGGTGCAGTGGCTCACGCCTGTAATCCCAGCACTTTGGGAGGCCAAGGCAGGAGGATTGCTTAAGCCTAGGAGTTCAAGACCAGCCTGGGCAATATGGCGAGACCCCATCTCTACAAAAAATATACAAATTAGCCAGGTGTGCTGGTGCATACCTGTAGTCCCAGCTACTCAGGAGGCTTAAAGGGGAGGATCACTTGAGCCCAGGAGGTCAAGACTGCAGTGAGCTGTGATCATGCCACTGCACTCCAGCAGGGTGAAAGAGCAAGACCCTGTCTCTAAATAACAACAACAATAACAATAATAATAATAATAATAACAATAACATTCATGAGGTCAGGAACTGTGATTGTCTTAATTCACATGATATTCCCCCCTCCAGCACAATGCACATTGTAAGCGTCCCTTCACTATGTTTGGATGAATGAACATATGTCGTGGATAGTTAGAGAAAATGAAGATTGATAAGAACCGGAGTGTAAAAGAAAGGAAGACTGCATGAAGGAGGTGCTCTTGATTGGAACCTTTAAGGGTAAGGACGATTTCACAAAAGGGAAGACGCAGATTAAATTATGCTCAATAGCAGAGGTAAAATACTTTGACTTCCATCCAACACATGGAGGCCATTCAAACAAACGGTAAGTAAATTGGTGAATAAATTAATGAATGAATACAAAATAAATAAGTGAATGGCTTTCTTGATGAAAGGCATAACAAGTAACATGAATGAAAGGCATTTTTTCTGAAAATGTAACTAGCTCCCTTTATCCATAGTCCCAAACACGTGGTCATTGAGTATGCATGGGAGTGGGGTGGGGGAGTTACTGACAGGTCACACGAAACCAGCACATTTCCACATCTCTCGTCATTTCCAGTGTCCTCCAACCCTCCCTTCACCTGGATGTTTTGTTATTATTTTTAAGGTGTCCAGGAATCTAGAAAAACCTTTTCCCAGTTGCTTTCAGCTTTATATATGTTCAGTGAGGTTTTTTTTTCCCCACAGTTCTCATCTGAACACAAAAAGAAAGACACTCTTTCTACTGAAAATATATCCAGAACTGAGTGGACTGACAGGTATTCAAAGCCAATCTCAAAAACATTTTTCAGATGTCATCATTTCTGAGCTTGACCTTCTTTTCAAATGCTCTGGATTATCCTGGAATTTTTTATTTCATTTGCAATTCTCCTGACTAGAAGTCCTGATTAATAGGGGACACGGAGCCCTGTTTGGAAAAATTCAATACATTATGCTCTAGTCTAATATATCCTCAGCAACTCTTGCAAACCCACATTGCAGCATTCACGTTGACTCTCTCCTCAGGGGCTTGAGGGGCCAGGGAGGGGAGAAGTGAAGAGAAAGAAACCAGCTTCTTGGCTGCTTCTCAACAATAGCTCCAGCTTCCTAGCCCCTCAAAAAAAAAAAATCTTTTACATAGTTGTTCTAACCAAGAAAGTATGCATAGCTTCCTGACAGATTGGATAATGTGGAGATTTGAGAAAAGTGTGCAATTTCCCTTATTTTCATTTTACCCCCAAATGCTTTGGGTGCAAGTATAACTTCCACCCACATATAATAGTAGTTTCAATGTCCTAAACTGAAGATTGGGAACAGGGAGCAGTCTTTGAGCAAAGGTATTTACTTAGGCAGGAAAAAACATCAAAATGATACCCAAGCCTGTTTGGGGCTGCCCTTTTGATTGGCGCTCAATTTGATTCCAATCTCTCTCAGCAGAGCACCAGCTGACCCTGATCTTTGCTGAGATTAGATATTAGCAGACAACACAAGGAAACCTTCCAACTTGCAAGTTGGAGAATCCAAAGGAGCCTGAATCCCAGCTCACAGTTGCCAAGAAACTCTATATGATGCAGGTGCAAATCATTTTTTCTTCCTCTTTTAAATGCAGTCTCATTAAAATATGTATTTTGCAAGGGGATTAAATTCAAACATCTGGGAAAGGGGGAAAAAATCCACAACTCCGAAATATTTTTAACTTGGTTTCGGATTTTGATTGTTTCGTTTCTTTTAAGTTGGGGAAAAGAGGCTGCTTGTCGGTGGGATGACAGAAAGGGGCAGGGAGAGAGTTGGAAAATTACTTCGAAGGGCCCCAGACTTCATCAGCAGCCATAATTGTGGGAAAGTAACCTGAAGATGCCAAACAACAGGAAATTATCAGAAGAATCTGTCAGCACAATCAACTGCTATTTTCATTGTTCTTTGGCAAATTTATACACAGTCGGGAACACCTGGGCTGGCCTGAAGCCCAGGTTTGACTAATTGCCAGGGGAGAGGAGTCGTCATTTGTCTTCGGAGGGATTTCCTCCATTCGCTCCTCAAAACATGTGGTTTCACTTTTCCCCTCTCTCCGCAGGAAATGGCAGGACAGTGAGACGCAAAATAAATGAGTTCACTTCCAAGAGGTTGCCTCCTAAGAGGCCACTCCAAAAATAACTGTCTTGTGAGAGGTTGTTAATAACCAAGATTCTATATACTGTCCTCAGAAAACAACGTTTCAAAGGCACAATGATTTCCACCCCCAGCCCCTTCCCTTCCAAGCACAGTGCACATTAAAAATAAAAGCCATGGGAGCCGAGAGAAGTAATCAAGTCCTGTCTTCTGGAGGTAGGGAATGTCACTCCTCTCACTCCTTTGCAAAGCCCCTCTCCTTGGAGTATAACCTTTCCCAAATCCTGTTCCCTGACAAGTGAAAGGTGAAGTTGGAACAGCAAGAGATGTCAGAGCCCAGTCTCCCTGGTTCTTCCTTGCTGCCCATCACCAACTGCCCTGTCTTAAACGCAACATTTAAACTTCCCGATGGGTCAACACTTCTTCTTGGTTGGTGAAAGAAAAAAAAAAAACTTCTCAATAACCAAGGGAGATTCCTTGAAGGCATGGACTGAGTCCTGCTCGTTTTTGTTACCTTGTGCCTGGCACACAGTTGGTGCTGGCTCAGTACTGGTTGAAGGAAGAACACCAAGGACTCTACACAAATCACCTGCTTTGTGGCTTGCTGCCTAGGGGTGGGTGTAGATATTTAGAAATTTCTTGAACTTCGAGAGATCACCTTTTTACAAGAACCACCTGCCAGAATGACAGCCTTCTCCCTTAACCTCTCTTCATATTTTTATAGGTTAACATACCACTACACACACACACACACACACACACACAGCTGCATACCAGTACACACACACACACACACACACACACACACACACAGCTACCCGTCTTGTTATTTAAGCATAGTTCAAGCCAAGATATCCTACTTGGGTAGCAAAGTCATGTTTTATATCCCTTCTTGAAGCCAGTAGAGCTTTCTAACTTAATTGCCTAGTATTTTCAATGTGCTGATTGGGAAATGTCACAGTGACAGTCTGTTTCATATTGAAATGTACATCCGCCTTTGGTATATTTTCACCTGCATTGTGTTCAACCTCTCCAGTGATTTAGGGGTTCTGGCATCGCATCAGCAAAGAATCAACTGCTTTTTCTTTCTCTCCTTTTTTCTCTTTAAAGCATTTAGAGCACGCGGCAGATCATTACTACCCTAGGTGAAGCCAGCAACATTTGGGTTTGATTTGGTTTCAGTCGCAGACCCCTTTCTCAAAGTTGAGCAGTGCTGTAATTCTAAACTGACCCACCTTCCCCTAGCAAAGGTGAAAAAATGTTATGGAGCGTTTTACAACCCACAGCCCATCATTTATGCCGAAACACTGGGAGAGTTCAGACTTGGCTTATTTTCCCTAAATCAGAGATGTTTTGACATGTTTATTTGTTTAATTTGTTTATTTTGACTAGCTCTGATTATAATTGGCAGCAGTGTGTAGAATTAACATTAGACAGTGCCTTAGACTTGTCTGTTACAATAATGCAAAAGGAATGTGAAGAGAAATCTCCCCAAGATATAACAATAGCAAGCAGGCAGGAAAACTATGAGAGGTTTCTTTCACAAAAAGAAATGTAACCCCAATTTTAAATTTTATTGAAAAATGTATGCTGACAATTTTGCAAATTATCCTTAAACATGACTGTTTCTTTTATTCAATAAATCTGCCCCTCTGCTAACATACTTGTGAAATATTTACTAAAAGTGGAACTTTAAAAAATCTTTTTAACCTATGGAATTTGTTTTTAGAGATTTTCTATTGTTCTATGGCCTTTTTAAAAGTAAAGGTGCTATAACTATTCAATAACATTACAGTTATGTTGGAATGATCACATAGTATCTAATGAAATTACACAGTTGAAAATGCACTTTCTGAATTCTTTGTCAACAAATCTCTGAACAGAGATTTACATCCCGAACAGAGAAGTTTGTCTCACTGAGACAATTTCTCCTGCCTTTATTTGCTGTAACAATAGTCCTATCATGTTCACATTCTTCTTTATGTCTGCAAAGCTCTACATAAAGCTTATTTCACAAGGTTGATCCATATTCCACATATAGAAGAATATGCTTTTAGAGAAAAAAAATCTATATTTGTTGTTTAGCCAGATCATACTTGGAAGTCCCTGAATTCATTACGAGGTATTAGTCCTAAACCGGTGAAGGACTTCCTCTTCCCCCAGCCTCATCCCTTGCCCTGGAGTTGAAGGCTATGCTCCAAGACATGTTTGGGAGGGCATCTGGCCATATCTCCTTAAAGAGGAATACAAGAAATCAGTTCATCTACATATTCTACTGCCAATTATGCACAGAGCACAAACATGCTTTGCTCACATTTATTACCCTATAAATATTTTCCCCATGCACAGTATGGTAAATTGCCGCGTGTGATCCTGACTTGGAACACCATATGCGCTCGGAGACAGGGCCAAGTTCAGGTTGCCATATCTATGCCAAGCAACCTAGAGGTCTCTCGCTATGGAGTGTTTACTCTGAGAAGCCTGGAGTCTCTAAACAATGGATCCCGCAGCCTGTATTTCACTTGAGATTAAATCAGACTTCTTTGGGGCAAGAAAACTCATCCTAAGATTACGGGCATAGCCAGTTACACATGTGCCCCCAAGAAGTTCTATGCTAGGCTCTGTTCAAGGGACCAACCAGCTCATGTTGTTGATGGGAACTGGGAAGACAGATAACTCTGAGGGGCATTAGAGGGTTATTTATAGGAGACTGAAAATGTATTATTCCCACCCCCCACCCCGTATTATTCCCACACCCCCACCCCCACATAAAACAACAAACATAGGAATTGTACAACTACATGGCACAGGGAATGAGATCAGGCATCAAGGGCAGGTTTTAAACATACAGTATGGAGAAAGAGTCATGCAGAGTTCTGCCTTTCCTGAACTGCATCCCAAGTTTTCCCAAGAGGAGCACAAAGGGGAGACAGACAAAGGACCAAACGCCCAGATGGACAATGTGCAGTAACCACAGCACTCAGCAACACAATCTCCACACTCTCTGAGCCTCTGCACCATGGTGAATCCTTGTTGACTGAGGCATCACCATGCCAAGACTCTAGAAGAATGGGTTTAGGGGAAGAGAGAAGTAGGGACAGGTAAATGTGAAACACACAGCAGGGATTCTCCCGTATTTGGTGAAAATACAACGCAGGGCTCCACCCAGAGACCAGAACAAGGTCTCCTTCCCATTTCTCATCTTTGATCTATCAGCAGGTCTGACAATGATGAGCTGGTCTGGATAGGGACTGGAACTCAGAGAACCAGAATCACCAACGAGAGATTCAACCTTGGTCTCCAGACATTAAGAAGCATTCAAACAGGAAGGGTTTACTATGGGACATTCATTGACTATTTAATTCAAAGAACTAAAATGCCTCACTCCCTGAGTACTGGGTTAATTGCAACTTTACCATAGATAATGTTCTGTGTTGTTCCATCAACATCTTGGGAGAACTAGCCAGAACACAGAGATAAAAAATGCAGCCTCACATCTGGATGCAGAGGAAGGCCTGGGAGACTCTTCCTTTTAGTCGAGAACAAAAATGAAACTGCACAAGATTTGCCACAAAGAATAAAAGGAAGTCACTTTCCCTTTTCCTCTAATTTACCACTACTTACTTGCAACTAGTGTGAATGGAATACTGACTGGAGTCAAGTCCTGTCTCTGATTTCCAGTGTGCCTGCTTTTTGCTGTGTTGTCTTTTGACCAAAAACTTGCTTGGTCTGTTCCTTAGATTCTTCAGTCATTTCATTGTCCAAATTACTTTGAGCTTCCTGGGAGAGAAATGTGTCATACCAAGTGCTATTATTACTACCTGTCTCCAAAGGGAGCCCTTAAATTTGTTAATATGAAATGGGCTGACTGTCTTTTTGGTTAAACTAAGTAATGAAGCATGGGCCGTAAGTGTTTTTAAGCTCCTTGGATATAGAGGTTATATAAATACAAAGCAATATTATTGAAATGAAACTTCTTTAGGGCGTTTGCCAAGGGACCCGGTGTTAGGAATATTTTACGCGAGAAGATTAAATGAGGGATAGTGTAATGAAGTCTTCCTGCTGAAGGTTCCATTAGGGCCAGTTCTCAATCCCACTGGATATCTGGGTGAGTTAGAATACGAGAACAACCGAAGAGTGGCTAACTTGAAAAATTTAAAAACCATTTTACTGCCTGCCAATGCAGTTCTATGGCTTTGGAGATTTCCCAATCTCATTACGTTAAAAATTATCAAAAGATATTCGAAGAATCCTTCAGGACAATAATACCTTATGAGTGTTCATCTTTAAAAAAATGATTCCTTCTTCTAATCTCCAAGTTAAAAACCTCTAAACCTCTGACTTTTAGACATCAGATTTCATTGCATAAGAAGAAATACTTTTAGTTTGCTGTCTAGTCATTTTAAGATACATAAAAACTATATCTTATGTAGATAAAACAATTGTCATAGAAGGAGAGTGGTAAGTATTGGCCAGGACTATGAAGGTTAAGGGGCTGTGCCAGTACCAAGAAGATGGAATTGGTCTACAGTTTTGCCATGGCCAAACTCCTCCCTAATGTCTTCCCATTCCCTAACCATACCCTGCCACACACAGTCAAGGATGGTCATAGAACATCACAACACTCTCTGATGTCTCATTTTCTGGTCTCACTTTACAGCGTAAAGAGAGTGGAGGACAACTAAGAAACTAAAAAATTGAATTAAAATAAGAAATATTTAATAAAGTATCTTATAAACATTATATTCTTTTTTTTTTCTGTCACCCAGGTGGTGGCATGATTATAGCTCAAATTCCTGGGCTCAAGCCATCCTCCTGTCTCAGCCTTCAAAGTAGCCTGAGATTATAGGTGCATGCCATCACACCTGGCTAATTTTTTTATTTTTTGCAGAGATGGAGTCTTGTTATGTTGCCCAGGATGGGATATTCTGTAAGATATATATATAAATAACTGCAAAACTGAAATGTAAAATAAACACTAGGTTTTGCCTGACTTCTGCCCCACTCCTTTAACACCTTACAGGTGACACTGGATAAGTCACTTGTATTCAGTCTTGTACAAATATATAGTATTATTTTTGCTGAGGGTTGAAGGTTGAAGTAAACAAAAATAATTCAGTGGTTAAGTCAGAAATATCAAATGGTGTGAGAGGCACAGCTCATACCATACCTTGACCTCAATGTTACCAGCCATGAAACATTCAGGAAATCAACAATGCTCTGAACACAATAAATGGGTATGAACTGGCTTTCAAATACAGAAACAGTTTCATATGTACTCCAAAAGCAGAATCAAATTCTGTCATCTCTTGAGAGAATTTCCCTGTCTTGCCTTTCCAATATGCTCTTGGCCAAGAAGGCCCTTCTTTTGTTTTGCTTGTTATATAAGTTTATACAAATATGAAATAGTGATATTTGATTGAATATAAAGTTACATTATATTTATTTATTTATTTATTTATTTATTTATTTATTTATTTATTGAGACAGAGTCTCACACTGTTGCTCAGGCTAGAATGCAATGGTGCGATCTTGGCTAACTACAACCTCCGCCTCCTAGGTTCAAGCAATTCTCCTGCCTCGGCATCCCGAGTAGCTGGGACTACAGGCATGCACCACCACACCTGGCTAATGTTTGTATTTTTAGTAAAGATGAGGTTTCACCATGTTGGCCAGGCT
This sequence comes from Homo sapiens, assembly GCF_000001405.40. NCBI lineage: Eukaryota > Metazoa > Chordata > Mammalia > Primates > Hominidae > Homo > Homo sapiens. Next base: position 25,578,926 of record NC_000008.11, on the reverse strand, counting down.
GGTCTCAAACTCCTGACCCCAGGTGATCCACCCGCCTCAGCCTCCCAAAATGCTGGGAATACAGGCGTGAGCCATCACACCAGGCCCAACATAAGGTTATATTCAATATGATTCAAAAGATGTCCCCAGAGAAGTCTCTTCTTTGATTCTGATTTCTGGACCTCCCCACCTAAGGGCCTCTGAATAAGCATGCTCTGGCACTCCAGCGCACACTCACAGACCGGCCTTTCTCCTTTTCCCTTGTCTACATGCCTCCTCTGACCATGCTGCCTCTCCTGCTGGCCTCAGACCCTTCCTTTGGAGCTCCAGGCTACAGGGACAATCAGTGGCTGACACTGTGGGAGACGGTTTCAGGATCCCAGGGGAAGTTGTACAGTCCGGCTCCAGTTCTCAGCTCAACAGACACTGATTTGGGGTCTTTTCTGGACTCCCACTATGAGTCCCAGGCCAAGGGACAGATTCTTGGGCTGGATATCCATCAGCCACTTGGATCCCTGCAGCCAGCCCATGGCCCTCTTGACTCCCCAGTGGTTGGAATCTGGCTCTTGGTGTGTCCTGCACACAACTTGGGCAGAGAGCCAGGCAAGGCTGCGGACGTGACGTGGAAGGCTCTGGGAGCTCCAGCAAGGACTGTCTTACAAGCATCGGTAGGTGACCTCTATCATGAGAACACTCCATTCTTCTTCTATTCTCTCTCCCTCTCCTTTCTTGTCTTCTCTTTCTTCTTTAATTTTTACCCCTGCTCTCTTTTCCAATGTGATAGTCAAGCCAGTGGCACCTACACGTTACTGACTGCACTCAGAGCCAAAGAGATATGCAGCTATTTCAAACTCACAAGATGGCTACATCAAGAAGTCCCTGCCTTTTCTGTCTCTGTCTTGCTCCAACTCCTCCTCAGCAATTCTTTGTTTCTAGAACAACACCATCAATTAAGTCCCAGGAGAGCAGCAACCCCCACGGGCCTTGGTGTGCGCCATATCACCCAGGCTTTCCCTCTTGAGAGCAGGAAGCCACTCGAGTTTCCTCACTCTTCTCTCAAACTTCCCACAAAACCTCACATTGTCTTCTCGGTGGTCAGACCAGGCCAGGAGGCAATGACCTGCCCAAAGAAGGAGACATTTAGCCTGGAGTCTGACAAAAGACAGGTCTGATTGTCTGTAGGGAGGAGGCAAAAAAAAAACTTCATACGCAGCAAGGTTGGCTACTTAGTTCTCAATTAAAAGAAAAATATTTTTTCAAAGAGTAACATGTGCTGTTGTCTAAAAGGAAAAGAGGAAAATATTCCTTGGCAGTTTGCTAAGGAGGTTAAAACAGTGACCGTCCATATCCACACCTATTTTCCTAATAATGAAAAATAACAAGCGTGGCCACAGGTGGATGTGAAGAGATAGAAAGTGGGCACAGAGCGAGAAGGGGGGCTCTAAACAGTCAAGAATCAAACACCTCTTAAGCAAAATTCTTGGTATTGTTCCATTCAATAAAGAAAAGGGATTTTAAACTTCAGCAACATTGAGGTGAAGTTATTCCAGGAGCCGGGACGCAGGCATAGATGGCTCTCTGTTGCCATCCCGTGGATAAACACTGCATGATCGCGAGATTCTTGGCTGAAAGGTTCCGTGCACAACATTCAGCCCGCATAAAATCACATTATCTCCTCGGAGGAATTGCTAAAGCTTCCAGAATGTCCCTTGTTCCCCCATCCTCCCATCTCCCTCATTAGCTTCCTTTGTTTGTCTTTGAGATAAAGGGATTTTGGCTGGACTCTCCTCGTTGACTGAAAAACTCACTACTCAAAAAGAACAGCTTTTGTGGCACTTGAACCAAATCTGCAGTTCCCTTAATTGGTTTAAAAGATGGGGCGAGGGGTGTGGAGGAAGAATAAATGAGAACCAGGAAGAGGCTGAGAGACCTGGCTCCCATCTGAGTGCCAAATGGTCAATAAGCCCCTTTTATTGACTCATTTGGTCCCAGTGCTACAAAGCCTTCTCTAATTGAGGGAGGAAGCAGACAGAAAGACAGTGGTTGCCTTTAAGTGACACTCGATTCTTCCTGGGGAATGCTCAGGTTTGTGGTTGATCTGGAGAACAGATAAGAGGGATTCGCCCATGGCCCTTTAATTCCATGGGTTAGTGAACCCAGAAGGAAGCCTTTAGCTCAAATCGTCCTGGAATTGTTCTTCCAAGCACATACCTGGCTTTTCCCTCAGTGGGTCTCCCATCCTCCGGTTTATGCTCTGATACATCTGAGATAAGCTCACAAGCCAGGTCCTGCCTGTGTCAACCGCCCGCCAGCCATCCATGGTGTCTGAGCCAGACCAGTTCGAGGGTCAGTTGTCAATGACATGGGAAGTGTGGAGAGCTCTGAGATATATTGCAGGCAGTTTCAAAATGCATACCCCTGAACCCCAGGTTACACAAGGGTTTGACAAATATGTGAATCACATATCTTTAAAAACTAGTTTTACCTTTAAAAAAGTTAAATGCACCATTGAATGTCTTATACGTCACATTTTAACACATTAGGACACCAGTAAATTAGCCTGTGTGTCTGGACTTTTTACAAACCCAGGCCAATGTATGACTCCTCGTGTAACGTTGTACATGCACGTATGTTCTTTTAACATGAACTGACTGTGCTCATGCATATCTGCTCAGAGCATGTGTCTCCCAGCATCTGTCAGTTGTACAGTAACCAGGAAAGAGATGACAAGACTTGCAATAACATCATATTACAAATAGCGCTAGCATTTGTTATACATTTTTGGATGTTTTTTATTTTGTTTTATTTTGTTTATCTCTTAGCGATAAAGAATATTAACAGATGTTAAATATTGGTAGTAATTCAACCCAAGTTTTTTTTTTAAATCCAACTATTTTTCTTTTGGGCTCTGCATCAGTGTATTTGAAGAGTATCCAGAGATTGCAATATGAGCTGTTTATTTTAAACTGTTACTATTTGCAAATGTAGAAATGACAATTTTCCCAATATTGTTCTACCAGAACAAAACAAGTATTACACTAATAAAGCCAGGGGAAAAAATTCCTTTTTATACATTGATGTTTATGAGCAGATTTCATGAACAAACACAACAATGGACTTCTATTGTCTGAAAAAGTGTCTACAGAAGAAAAAAATAAGCTGGAGTCTGTGATGTGTCCCTCCAGTGTTGAAGTTCCAACACTCAGTAATTCAGAATGTGACTATATTTGGAGATAAGGTCTTTAAGGGGTAATTAAGTTAAAATGAGGTTGTTAGGGTGGGCCCTAATCCAATACGACTGGTGTCCTTATGAGAAGAGATTAGGACACAGACACAGAGAGAAGACCATGTGAAGACACAGGGAAGAGAAGGCAGCCGTCTGCAAGCCAAGGAGAGAGGCCTCCAAAGAAACTAAACATGCCAACACCCTGATCTCAGACTTCTAACCTCTAGAACCATGAGAAAATAAATTTCTATTCTTTAAGCCACCCAGACTGTGGCATTTTGTCACGGTAGCCTGAGCAAACTAATACAGAGTCAAAAATAATTAGGTTTGAAATTACCTACTTTACTGCATACTACCTGCATGGTCCAAAAAATAGCTTATTGAGATATAATTTACATATCATAGAATTTATCTGTTTTAAGTGTATAATTTATCTGTTTTAAGTGTGTCATAGAATTTATCTGTTTTAAGTGTATAATGCAATGATTTTTAGTGTATTTACAGAGTTGTGCAACCATCGCAATACCTATATAACCTACATATAATATATAATATATGGAGAAAGACACTTACCCTCTCTGAGCCTTGATTTCTCATTTGTAAAATGGGGTTAACACCTTTTACATGGGTTTGTATTGAGCACTTGATGACATAACATAAAGCATGTGACACGTGTTTATTTCCTTCCTTCTCCCATTGTTCTTACAACTCTAGGCCCTTCCATCCTAACCCTAAGCTGCACCAGAATTCCTGACTCACAAACTGGGAGATAATAAGTGTTTGTTTTAAGCTGCTGAGATTGGGGTTGTCACACAGCTGTAGATAACCAAGATACCCACTTTCCATTACTCTAGAATAAAAAGGATCCAAACGAGGCTGACCACTTCAAAAAAGTCCCTACTCAGCTCATTGCCCAGCGCCCTGTCAGTGGTCAAATAACTAGCAAGTAGCATGAACCCATACTTGGCCTTTGAGAATCTGCTAACATTTCAGCTGCTCACGGTTGCCACTTCTTCCCATGCCTTGCAGAAAGCACAGTAGTTCATGTGTCTCAGGTCTCCTCGGATGGGCTTACTGCCCCAACACTGGAATTCAGTTTGGGTTGCCTTGTGACCTCAGCTCTCCGATGGGCTCAAAAAAAGTTATGATTTTGTAGATTGCCCAGCTTTTGCTCAACGTTAGGGTGGAAGCAATGTTCTCTTGTGGCTTTCTATATCTTAAGTGGAAGCAGAACCCCAGGCTGGGTTTGAATTTTGATCTCTCCCTTCCTTTCCTTCTGACCCAATGCTGTGACACAGGCCCCAGAAAGCCCATGTGACCAGGATAACAAGGCTTGGTTTTACTCTGAGCCTCAGTGTATTAGTCCATTCTCACACTGCTATAACGAACTGCCCAAGACTCGGTAATCTATGAAGAAAAGAGGTTTAATTGACTCACAGTTCCGCATGGCTGGGGAGGCCTCAGGAAACTTACAATCATGGTGGAAGAAGAAGCAGGCACATCTTACATGGCAGCAGGCAAGGGAGGATGCTAAGAAGGAACTGTCAAACACTTATAAAACCATCAGATCTTGTGAGAACTCACTCACTATCATTAGAACAACATGAGGGAAACCGCCCCCATAAGCCAATCACCTCTCACCAGGACCCTCCCTCTACATGTAGGGATTATGGGGATTACAATTCAAGATGAGATCTGGATGGGAATCACAGCCAAACCATATCACCCAGGTCTAAGCTGACTGGTCCCACATATTAATCCTAAAGTGACAGGACACTTCAAGGTGGAGGATTCAGGGCATCTGGGTAAAGCATTCAACTTGACTCTTTTCAACATTTACATGGCTAAAGATTACCAACTACTTCTTAAAAGGCAGAGAAAGAACCAAGGTTTGTAGTCAAACTCTCAGGCAACAGGGTAACCTGGGCATGGTTTATTTCAAACTCTATTTGCTTTGCCTGTGACTGCCAATTGGTAGAACAACCTGGATCCACTGAAATGACCAGAAACCTTTGCTGTCCTTCATTCTGGCAGCCTCTGCTTTTTAAGTGCAATGTGGCTCTAGAGACAGTGTCATTGATTAGATTGTCCTATTACACAAGTCGGCTACACATGTACTCAGAGAAGTGGCATTGTGTTAGAGGGGAAAGCATGGTGTTGGAATAGCATTAGACTGGAGTCAGACACTATACTCTCTCACCCAATCCCCAATATGTGCAAGGGTAAAGGGTGTCACCTCAGATTTGGAGCCATGAAACACTAACAGACCCTATGGGGATACAGCCAAGTGCCTTGGCCTTGGTCTCATTAGTACCAAGCTCCAGCCAGCTCAATCAATCACAGAAACTAACACTTGTCTATGTCACACACGTTTTCCCAGGACACTTAAGGCCGGGATTTAAAGGAAAGTTACATTAACAGTAGTAATCCATATTTTGTTGAGTGTTTCTACCCTACTTGCTGTAATGGAATATCCAGCCCCCTAACCAGTTCCCCAGTGTTATGTCTCAGGGCCTCGGAGGGGGTTTACAATGCACAAGAACAAGCCCCGACAGCCACAGTGTCGTGTCCATCTGCATAATTTTGGTTCCATCGTCTCTTTCACTGCCCCTTTAATGTCACCAAAAAGGATTGCCATTGTGTCCTTCAGCTTCCAGCATTGCACCAACACTACATTCTGTGGAGTAAGGAAAAATCTCCCTCTAAATCCTAACGCCCACCTACAGCAACCACTCAGCCACCAGTACCCTGTGAGTGTACACACATGCATACACACACGTATACACACACAGGCCCCTTAGTGACAAGGTCTCTCACAAGGATGGCCAAAAAAGAGATGTGTTATATCCCAAATCTTAAGGGGATCCTTTGTATAGAGCACATTTTACATTCCCATGTGTAGGGTTCCCTTCTTTTTATTTCCCATAGACCCAGATGTGAACTCTGGTGCTAACAGAGAACCACCTCCATGCCAGCTCCAGCACTGTCCCCATCTTGCTCCACTTCCCACCGCCTAAGCATTCACCTCACCAGCCCTAAGCCCCATCCCTCCTTGTCAGCCAAAACCTCTGTGCTTCCATAACCAATCCATAGGTCATAAGTCTTGGGTTCACTTTGATGTTCAGTTTGCATGCAGATAACATCTATTTTTGTGTAGCATAAAAGATAATACAACAATTGCTACTGAACCCAGTAATGCTGGAGAAGGAAGACTTATTGCTTCAGTTTGCCTTAAAGAAGGGAGTCCCACTACAGTGTGCTTTACGGTACAGTGAGGAAAATGAATATGATAGGAATGATCTTAAAATGACAGATGGGAATTTATTTCTTTTCCTCTGCTTCTTGCCTGCCATCTTATGGAGAGATGTATGAGCCATTGAAATAGAAAGTCTAACAAGAACACAGAAGAAAGAGAGTCACTTTGGGCTCATATAATTCACCAACTAGGGAAGTCAATCTTAAATGGAGAGTGCTCAAAGTTCTTGGACTACTTGGTAACATTTTAGATTCAAATTCAGATCTCCAGTACCAAGGCCCCCTTATCTTTCTAATCCTGTATTAGGAACTTTCTTATACATTATCCCACTTAATCTCCATGATTAAACTGTGACAGCTATAGTATTTGAAACAAAATATATTGCTTTACCTTTTGTGCTCCAAATAATGTATTCACTGTAAAAAAAAATCTGATAAAAAGAAACATTTAAAAACATTTATAATTCCTGCAGCTAGAGGAAAACAATTTTAGCATTTTGATATATGTGATATATATTATCTACCATTTTTTTCTATGCATATGTAATTTATAATATTATCAGTTTGAAGCTACTTTTTTAACAAGACATTAGTGAATATTTTTCCATGATATGAGATATAATTTTTTAATTTTTTTCTACAATATGTTATGATTGCATGAAGTCCCAACATACATCATACACCATGATATATGTAACCTATTGTAAGAGATTTAAGATGTTTCCCATTTTTAGTTATTATAAAAATGCTTTGATCAACATTCTAATAGCAAAATCTTTGCACAAATACATGATTATTCCTCTCAGATTTATTCCCACAAGTAGAATTTCTGGGTCATGGCCCATGTAAAATTTTAAGACTTTTCTTCTGTATTGTCAAATAACCCTCTAGAAAAGTTATAGCAATTTATATGGCCACAAGTGGTATAAAAAAGTAGTAATTTCCTTGCAACACTGTCAGTGATTTTATTTTTATCTTGGCCATTTTTTTGGGAAAAAAGTTAACTTTCAATTGATTAAAATGTGTACTTCTTGACTTTACCAAGGAAGTTAAATATATTGTTCATGGATTTACTGGCCATTTACATTTTTTCTGATGTGAAGGATGTCCATTTCTTTCATCTGTTTTCTATTAAGTTGTTCATCTTTTTCTTGTTGATTTCTAAATGCTTTCTTATTAAATCTTCCATCTGCATTATAAATATCTTTAGGTTAACTCTTCCATAGGCACCAAAAATATGGTCACCTAGTATGCCTTTTAATATTTAGTATTTTATATATACATAAGTTTTCATAATACATTTTTACAGAATGAAATTATCTCTTTTTTTTATGATTTCTGTACTTTTAAGCACAGAAAAGCCTTCCAAGATTACTAAAAAATTACTCAGTTATATTTTAGAATTGTAAAGTTTTATTTTCACATCTAAATCTTCACTTTGGATGTGGTCTGAAGGAGAGATTTTATAAACTCTCTTAATTAAATGGCCGGCCATTATTAAGCAATCTATTCTCCTCCCACTGGAAGTGCCACTGTTATCACACATAACATTCTGTCATATATTGAGTTTATTTCTAGTCTGTTTCCTTGATGTAGCACACAGATCTCATCAGTCCCATGTCTTGCCTTTTCCATGTATTTTGCTCTCCCACTGGGAAACCGATTCCTTTTCTACACAAAGTGATCACTGGTCAGCTGTGTTTAGATCTCCTTGAAAAGCAAAGGATGAAAATAATAATTCACCATGGACACCATTTTAGACTTGGATATTTTTAATTTAAAGAGTGTCATTTCAAAGGAACTCCTTCCTAAAGAAATGGACTTTAGTCCTAGTGTTTTTGTTACTATAAGCCATTAGCAACTTGGCAGGGGCGGGGACGGGAAGAGTCCTGTTGAAACACTTGTCTCTCTCCTTTTTAACCTGTGAGTTACATGAAGACCTAGTTAAAGGAAGGTGGGAGTTGGCCAGAACAGCAATGCTGTACAATTGTATAAAGCAGGGAATCATGACCTACCCACTGGGCCATCTTGTCTGCTGCCGCTCCTTTAACACGGTAGAGTAGGAACCCACTTATGCTCTTGGGTAGTGTAAATAGGCCTTTGACCCTGCACCAAAGACCTCTATCACTCACTGTTTTGAATCTGTTTCTGGTCAACTCAGTTGGCCTGAATGCAGCTCTAATGAGGCTGAGGTCATGGGTTCAATACCAGTGTGGTCTAATTACCAATAAGTCAACTGTTTCGGGGGCCTCACCTTGTACTTCTCAACCAGGCCAGTCATTTTGCATATGCCCAGCTTTGGTCACACAGGGGACAAGGTGAGAGACCAGAGATAAATCAGAACAAATCTCCCACCATACTGGGACATGCACTCAGTGTTCTGCTGTTGTCAGGTCAGTAGCAGGATTTTGGATATGAGCAACAAGACCACATTTTTATCTCGGCACCACGGCCATCAGTAATTGACATATGCTCCTCTCCATCCTGTGGAGAGGCTGCCAAATTCCCATCTCAAAGGGCTTATTATTCTAATTTAGAGGATAGAGGTTTTGAGGGGAGGGGATCTAGTGCTTTAATAGGAATGTTTTCAGTTACCACTGATGTCCAGGATAACTCAATCAGAAAATTAAATGGAGATGTAACACTCCTTTTTAATTTCATTTTTATTAGGATGTAAATAAAAACATGTTAAAGATAATTTGGAGAACAAGGAAAAGAAGAAAACATCCAGTCTCACTAACATATGTACAACTAGACATTTTTTAGATTTATTAAATGTTCATTTTAGCACATTGCACAAATAATATTCAACAAAAGGAATAAACATTTTTAGATGAAATGGAAATCGCCTACCATCTCTAACAAAGGGACTAGTTTAAATTTTCCCCCAGAAACTTCCAGTCCTGACCCACAGAAGCACCACTGCTTGAGTGACTCCTCATAAGTCCACGAAGGTGCTGGCTCACCAACCCGGTAGAAAGCCCACCATCAAACTCCACCAGGAAGCAAAAGACACCTTGGTATTCTCGATACCACTCACACTTCATGCACCAAAGAAGTTTCTAATAGCAAATATTCAGCACAAATATCATTTGGAAAACATCAAGAGGGGAAAAAAATCCTCCCTGCCTGATGTGAATTGGTGCTCCCCTTTGGAACGTACTGTAGTTTCTCATGGAAACACTTTGTGAAAAGCCAGTCGTATATCGTAGCCCCCAAATATGAGACTGCGGGTCCCTCTAACCACACAAAACAGCTGTGCCCTCGGAGGAAAGGTCATCTGCTGCGGTTGTGTTTCTTTTTACTTTTAAAGAAATGTCAGACCATGTTTTATGTGGTCCTTATGACAGGGTGCTGTTTATTGTATCACCAAGCTGCCATAACTTCAGGACAAGGAAACTGCCATTATTTGGAGAGTATATATCTTTCTGACTTACAGGAAAGATGAAAATTAAGAACGGCCCTTTTTCAGAGTGGGTATAAGTATTCCTTGACAGTCTCCTACAATATTTCAAACATCTTCGTCAGACCCATAAAACCTGATGCTTGACTCCCTTAGCCCAGATGAGGCTGTGTTGGAGTGAAGACATTTATCCCAAGCGTGGTGCCAGGCTGCCCTTGGCAGATGTTTTGAACACGGACTTTAAACCAGCTTGTTTGGTGCCCCCCAAGACACCAAGGCGTTCATCAAGAAATCACATGACATGAGGAAATAATCACGAGAGCTAAGGTTGATCATCTGTTAGCTTCTGTGCTAAGCATTGCATGTGCATTATTTCCATTTATCCTCACATCTATGAGGCAGTCACTATTAGTATCTCCATAAGATATCTGCAATTAGATATCCTTATTACAGGTAAGAAAACCAACATATAAAGAAATCAAGTAAGGCCAGGCACAGTGGCCATGCCTGTAATCCTAAAGCTTTGAAGGGCCAAGGCAGGAGGATCACTTGAGGCCAGCAGTTGGAGATCAGCCTGGAGAACATAGTGAGACACCATCTCTATAAAATTAGCTTTAAAAATTAGCTGGGCATGGGGGTGCAGGCTTTTAGTCCTAGCTGCTCAGGAGGCTGAGGCGGGAGGATTGCTTGAGCCCAGGAGTTTGAGGTTGTAGAGAGCTATGATCACGTCACTGCCCTCCAGCCGGGGCAACAGAGTGAGACTCCATCTCTAAAAAATAATAATAATTAATTAAAAATAAAAGAAAATCAAGTAACTTGCTCCAAGTTCACACTGCTGGAGAGTGAGGGTGTTAGGATTCAAGCCCACAGGGCCTCATTCAAGCAACACATGTAATCAACATGTATGAATCACGTGATGTTTCCCAGGCACTGTGGTCCCACAAAATCATAAGTGTCTTCACAGTCTTTCCATGTTGCTATTACTATCTAAATTGTCTTCAAGATGGTAAGTCCCCTCCCCACTGTAACGCAACCATGTGACAGCTTGCGTTTGAAATCAGGTCTGCATGACCTCCAACTCCATACTCCAAGGCCAAAGTTCTTGATCTGGAGAGTTTTCTAGAGATGAGAAGCAAAGGGAATGTGGAACATTTTTTAAAAATCTGCTGCAGTTCTTCATCATCTTGGGTCAGGAGGCAGCAGGGTAGTGGTGGTGGGGACATGATGATCTCACTTGCAAGTTCTGTTTAAAATCCTTATCCAGTTCTGTTTCAGTGTGTTTTCATACTCCAGGGTAGGTGAAATTCTAGAAAGTCCAAGATCTTTCCAAAAACAGTTCGGATCTGGACCATGCTTATGAGGGACCCATGATTACTAAATAAAGGTAACCCATTAGCATGGGTTAATCCAGCAGTATTTTGCCCTGGTTGTGCAGCTAGCTAGTTGTGTCACAGGGCAGTCTCGACCAGGCCTCCAGCCAACTAGAGCACTCTGGCGGGATGGGGAAACCGTGAAGTTCAGATTGAGTAGGTGAGGTGGCTGTAAACTTTCTTCTGCTTGGAGAAAAGCAAGTCACAAGGGAGGCCAACAGCCGACGTGCAAATTTAGTTTTTCTCCTCCCACTTAGTCTGCCATCCGCCCACCCCGCCATTCCCCTCTCATCCTGACCCCTCTCTTCTGTCCCCTCCTCGGCCACCCTGAGAGCCAAGTGGTGGGAGATTACTGGATAGGTGGGCTGGCTTCTAGCCCTCACTCTGACACTCACTAGCTTTGTAACTTTAGACAAATTGTTTAACCTACGTCTTTCGACCTCAATTTCTTCACTTTTTTTTTTCAGCAGATTTGTATTAAATGCCAAACCAAATGCTCATATTTCATCAGTGACATGAAGAAGTTAGGCTAAATGGATGCTTGAGTCCCTTCTAGGTTTGAAATGCCATGACTCCCCCTCTTATATGACAATGTCCGTTTCCTTTTTTTCTTACCTTTCCCCTTCCTTCTCTACTTCCTTCTTCTGTGACTTGTGTTCCAGCACACCTCTAAGTCTCTCTCTGACACGGAAGCAGAGAAAGAAAGACGAAGGGGAAAGAAATTCATGATTGTGTAGAATTTCTCTTTCTCTCTCCCTTTCTTTTTTCTGCTAACCCCATGGAGCTTTCCTTTGGCTTTTTGAGAGCATTTTCAGGGGCTAGAGACTTCTCTTCAATCATTGCTTCATTCAAGCAAGCATTTGGAGCACCCACAAGTGCCAGCATTTTGTTGGGCACGATCATGACAGTGGTTACCAAAGGGATCTGGGAAATACTGGCCCATGTTGGTTTTCAAACAGCAGTTTTTTTGGGAGAATGAAGGATCCTCTACAAAGAGTGCCTAAACCAAACACGAAGACTACCTTAAAAGGGACAGTCTCAGAAGCCCAAAGCAACAAAGCATGAAGGTTGCTGGTGGTTCTGGTTAGGCCCATTTGATTATTATAAAGGAGACTCACTCACATTAGTTTAAGCAAACGATGGAGGCAGCGGTAGAAAGGCTATACTTCTTCTATACAGAAGGCAGGATATTGTAGGTCTCCAAAATCAGGAGCTTAATAAAGTTAGGTTTCACCATGACTAGGTGGTTCTGGAATAAATTAAAACAATTATTTAAAAAACAAAAAAGAACTCCATGTCAGTCATCTATAAAAACTGTATTAGCACTTTTCTGGGTTTTAGCCTAGATAAGTACCACTGATAACCAAGAAGCAGATGGGAGTTTAAAGGTATATCAAGTGCAAGAAGACTAAGGAAGTCTTATGCTTGGGGAAGAGACTGAATATTAATTGATCATAGATGAAAATAGAACTACTCAGCTCCAGTTTATTTTTTTTCTTTCTATCTTATCTCAAGGCAATTGATCTTCATATTAGGAAAGATAATACAAACATTGTAAGAGAAAAGCCAAAGTTGGTTGTTATTGCTCTCAATGAGTTCAGATCTCCATATCTACACCAATTATACCAAAGGCCAGGCTCAGTGGCTCATGCCTGTAATCCCAACACTTGGGGAGGCCAAGACAGGTGGATCACTTGAGCCCAGGAGTTCGAGACCAGCCTGGGCAACATGGTGAAACCCTGTCTCTACAAAAAAATACAAAATAATTAGTTGGGCATGGTGGGGAGTTCCTATAGTCCCAGCTACCAGGAAAGCTGAGGTGGGAGGATCACCTGAGCCTGGGAGGTCAAGGCTGCAGTGAGCCATGATGGCACCACTGTACTCCAGTCTAGGTGACAGAATAAGATCCTGTCTCAAAAATAAATAAATAAATAAATAAATAAACCAATTATACTACCAAGGTCTTGAAGAAATAATGAAAAGTGAAATGCTACAGATACTTTCTGAACAACTGTGGAGAATGAGGGAAGTCTCTGTAGGCTGGAGAGGATTAAATATGTTCCCACTTTTCAAGAAAAGGTGAAAAAAAAAGATTCTATAAACTAAAGAGCAGTGGACTAAAGGAATGGATTGTTGATATATTTTGAAAGGAAAACAGTGATCACCAAGAGTCAGAATGGGTTAACTAAGAATAAATCATGCCAGTCTAACCTCCACTCTGCTTTTGGCACATAGAATTGCAAAACATAATAAGTTACCCCTCGGCAAGGCGTTGGACACTTTCTCATTAGATCCTTCTGGACCAGATTCAGAAATTTGAGCTCAATGCTGGTACCATTAGATACATTAGCAAGCACTTGGATGGCTCTCCTCAAAGAGTTTGATTAATAAATGACTGTCAACCTGAAGGGAGGTTTTTATATCATGCCATAGAACTATCTGTCCTTGGCCTCCTCCGTGAAACATTTGCAGTGACTTACATGAGGACAATGACGATATGTTCATTAAATCAGCGGATGACAGGAAACTAGGAGGGATAGATAACAGATTTCAGGCCTCAAATCTGCTCAAACAATCTGAGATGGGCCAACATTCATAAATTTGCAATGCAAGGATCTGCCCTAGTTCACAATGACAAATACCCCTTCAGCTCCTTGAAAGACCAGATAGGGTGAAGCCAGAAAAAACTCTCCTGAGTGATTAAAAACCAGATTTCCACCATTTTCTGTGATCAGGCCACCAGAAACAATGTGCCTTCCAGTCTCTTCTTGGCCGGTCTTGTTTTGTGGTCAGCATAACATGCACAATGCCTCTTATCTCATCCCTGGGCTCTTGTTAGGACTCGCCCCCAGAATGACTCCTCCATCCCTTGTCTTGGCACCCTGCTCCCCATGAAGAAGCTTCCAAGTCTCAACCCATAGTTACAGCCTGCAGCACTTCGCTCCCCTTCTCAGTGAGGAAGCCACAAGGCCAATTCTTTTGGTTTTGTTTGGTGATGGGGTCTCACTCTGTTGTGAGTGCAGTGGTGTGATAATAGCTCATGTAGCCTCCAACTCTTGGGCTGAAGGGATTCTCACACTTCAGCCTCCTCAGACTACAGGTGTGCACAACCACACCTGGCTAATTTTAAAAAAATTTTTTTTGTAGAGACAGTGTCGCACTAAGTTGCCCAGGCTGGTTTTGCACTCCTGGGCTCAAGCAATCCTCCCGCTTTGGCTTCCCAAAGTGCTGGGACTACAGGTATGAGCCATTGTGCCTGGTGACTGAAACCTTTAGGTGACATCAGAGATCAAGCTGAGCCTGTTGGACAGAGGATATTGCAGATTCCCACGACAAACCCAAGATGGTCACTGAGGACAGAAGCCCTCTTCAGCTCCATCAATATGCAAATTTCAAGAACTGGCCTGGCACTCAGCTTGATCTCTGTGGTCAACTAAAGGTTTCAGCAGCTGGGCATGGTGGCTTATGCCTGTGATCCCAGCTACTCAGAGGCTGAAAGGATTGCTTGAGCTGAGGAGCTGGAGACTGCAGTGAGCCATGAGTGCACCACTGCACTCCAGCCTGTGCCATAGAGCAAGATCCCATCTCTTTAAAAAGTACAACACAATAAAATAATAATAAAAATAAAGGTCTCAGCCAACGGTGCTTTGTGCCTTAAGGCCTTGAGACTAAGGACCCTGTGGTATATGACAAAGTTTGTTGGGTTTGAATACCAGTAATAAAAAAGCAGTGGAACAGTAGTAGCTTGTGCAAAATCCAGTGTGATCTTAAGCTCCCCTATCAGAAATAATGAGTCCATTAACAAATTGAAATTTCCTTGGAGAAGGGTGGCTAGCATAGTTAAGAGGCTTGAAGCCAATTAAATAAAACAAAAGTTGAAAAGTTTACATTTTAACTTTGAAAAGATTATAATAGTTATCCACACATTTTAGGTCTGGCATGTGAGGATGGATTGGCACTATTCTATGAGACAAAGCAAACATCAATAGGTGAAATCTACAGGTAATCAGATTTCTTACAGCAATCTCTAAGAATTAGAACTGTCCAATACCGGCCTGGGCTACTTTAGGACATTCTGAATTCCCTGCTGTTTAGGTGCTCCAAAAGAGAGGGCTATCTGTAACGTTACAGTTGAAATGCATGAACCAGTGTGCGTTAACTAGAGAATCTTCAAGGACCCTTAGACCCTAGAGCTGTGATTTTATAATTATACATCTGATTTAACTTGGGCTATTATTTCCTAATTCTCCTCATCTACCATTCCAAGAATATATTCTGAAGAAGATACATGATGTCTCTTTTTAGGTTTGCAAAGCCAGACAGAGAAAAAACAGCAAAGACCAAGATTAATTCTTCTTTGAAGATACAGCTGGTAAATATCTGCTGGGGGCTCCAAAATTCTCCTCATCGTTTGTAACAACCCTAGTCCCCATCCTAACTCCCTTGAGTTGTCTGAAATATGACCTCAATCCTGTCCTCTTATCAGACTCTGGACAACAGGTCAGTGTCTCTCCCAGGCCTTCCTCTTCGCAGATGGGAACCACTCCAAGACACTGTGGCCAAGTGTGGTGGAGGAGCCTGCTTTACTCAGTCACTGAAACCCACACCAGTGACCCGATTGGCTCTGCTTTGTCACAGGCTAAGGGGAGCAGACAAAGGAGGGAGTGAGGACGTGGATGATATGAAGCAGGCTCATTCATTTCCCTGTGTCAGCCCATGGCCATTCAACTTCTGGGCTTTCGTATGTGGGCCTGTCTCTCTGGCCAAACAGCCTCAAGGTGACTCCCTGCTTCTCCCCTATGACTCTGGGCCATCCTTCCCAAATGACAGGATGTCTGCGTCAGTAGCATCTCTATCCAAAACCACACAGCTCTCACCTGGAAGAGGAAGCTCTGGTTCAGACAACTACCTTCAGACAGGGAAGGGATGCTTATCTTAAGTGTTACTGTTGCTTAT
This sequence comes from Homo sapiens, assembly GCF_000001405.40. NCBI lineage: Eukaryota > Metazoa > Chordata > Mammalia > Primates > Hominidae > Homo > Homo sapiens. Next base: position 25,562,737 of record NC_000008.11, on the reverse strand, counting down.
CTTGATAGCAACAGGGGGCAGCCAAATGCCTAGGCAGTTAGGAGTGGGTACCTGGTGAAACCCCACCTCCAGGTTGAAGACAGTTTAAAGCCTGAAACCCAAGCTGCAAGTTAAATCCTCAGACAGGATTGAGAACTTGTCTTCCCGTTTGGCGTGCTTTCCTCTGATTGATCCTCACCCTTCACCTATTTTACACACACCTACCCTTTCCTAATTGGTTTTCTACACTGCCGTGCCCACCTTTGAGTGGTGTCTTCACTTTAACCTTTCTTGCATACTCACAAACCAATCAGCACACACTCCCCACCCTGTGCCTATAAAGACTCCAGACTCAGTCAGTAGAGGAGGAGATGACCTGACTTAGGACAAGAGACAACCTGACTTTGGGAAAGATGACCTGCTCTTCTCATTCCCTCTCCAGCTCCCCTCTCTGGACCCCAGACCTAGTCAGTAGAGGAGGAGACGACCTGACTTAGGAGAACAGACAACCTGACTTTGGAGAAGATAACCTGCTCTTCCCATTCCCTCTCCAGCTCCCCTCTCTGGACCCCAGACTCAGTCAGTAGCGGAGGAGATGACCTGACTTAGGAGAAGAGACAACCTGACTTTGGAGAAGATGACCTGCCCTTCCCATTCCCTCTCCAGCTCCCCTCTCCACTGAGAGTTGTTTTCATCTCACAATAAAATTATCTGCCCTCACCATCCTTCAATCTTCAGTGTGACCTCATTCTTCTTGGACACCAGACAAGAGCTCAGGACCCACCAACTGTGGGCACCCTGAAAGGCTGTCACACTGGCTCTTTGCCTTTGCCAACGGAGGGCAGCCACCCCCCATGACGAGGCAAGTGGCCAACTGAGCTGCTAACACGCCACAGTCCACTGTCTCATGGTGGAACTAAGAGAGCATTGTAACACCCCCTCTGGGGCTTCAGGGTCACAGGCACCCTCATCTGGGTGCTGCCACATTCCCCTTGAGGCGACACACCTGGTCTGGCCAGGGGCCCACACAGAGCTTGCTTCTGTGTCAGGGGCAGCCAGCTAGGTCTTGCACTTACTCACCCACGTGCTCCCTCCCACAATGGGCTGAGCACGGCAGGCCAAGTAGATGGGGCACTCCTGCTGTGAGTCCAGCAAAGGGGCCAAGAAAAATCCTACATCAATCTCTATTTCCTCAAAACTTACAATTTCAGTACTTGAAGATACTTCCTTTAACAAGCCAGGATAAAGAATATGGAATATTCAGCTAGTCTCAGAGCATGCGCTAGAGAGAGCGTGGTGAAACTATGCTAGGGAGGTGAAACTAGGTGATCCTAAGAGATTCTTTCAAACCTAGATTTTGACACTGTGATTTTTACTTTTTCTAAATGTCAGCACATAGATAATATGGTATAGGCCACAGGATCCGAGACACAATGCAAAAGGAGGTGAGGAAGTAGGGAAGAAATACCCCTAGGCTGGAAAGTCATAGTTCTCATGGACTAGAGCATTTTCTAACTCAGAAATTACTGACCAGGTCAAGTGCAGTGGCTCATGACTGAAACCCCAACATTTTGGGAGGCCAAGGCAGGCGGATTGCTTGAGCCCAAGAGTTCACAACCAGCTTGGGCAACACAGGGAGACCCCGTCTCTACAAAAAATACAAAAAGTAGTTGGGTGTAGTGGTGTGTACCTGTGGTGCATGAGAAGCTGAGGCAGGAGGATCCCTTGAGCTCTGGAAGTCAAGACTGCAGTGAGCTGTGGTGGTGCTACTGCACTCTAGTCTGGGCAACAGAGTAAGACTCAGTCTCAAGAAGAAAAAAAAAAAAGAAAAAAAGAAATTACTGAACCTCAATAGCCACCTCTCCCAGTCTTGGTTTTCTGGATTTTCAGCCAACAATAGATGGAGCGCAGCCCATCTGAAGAGAGGAGGATGTGGCAAGAAGAGATGTTAAAGGAAGACCCAGAGTCTAGAAACATATTGGATAATGATTAAAAGCATATACAAAAGTAATAAAAGTCAACCAGGGGAGGCGATTTAGTGCTGGAGCAAACAGCTCTTTGCAGCTTAATAGGCCCTGAGGGCCCAGAACAATGACTGATGCACGTAATAAGGACAGCACGGCATCATTTTAAGAGTTAAATACCTTCTGTGTTCTTAATGAAAGCAGAAAAGCAAATACTCATTAAATGCTTTAAACGTTTTGTTCTTAAGTTTTGCTGTTTAAAATGGAATTCATTCAGTTGTCTGGAAGATTCTCTGACCCAGAATCCCTCATTTTCTAATGATGTTTGATAAGTGAGTATGCCAGGGAGCCCCAGAATGCTCAAAGTTCTGCCATTTAAACTGCCTCCTTTTGAGGGAGGGAAGTAAACCCCAAGAGGGGTTTTTTCCCTACATGGTTTGCCTTACTGTTGCATGTGTCTTCTCAGTTAAGTAAACCCACATAGGCCACATGGGACCACAGATCAATGCAAACCACAGGCAACCCATTCTGTAGGCATGAGGAGCGCTGGGGTGGACTGGGAGGTAAACGTTGCTCAATGGAAATGCTCTAGGTTGAATGGTAGCAACCTGATCCAACCAAATACTGTCTTTTGGGGAGAGTAAATGCTATGAAATAAATAGAAGGTGGGCTGATCAAGCTTGGCCCCTTGTTCCAAAGCTGCTGTTTATGCTGAATATGTCACTTAGAATGCTTAACAAGCCCACTAGCTCTTTTTAAGGGGACTTCAGCACCCATAGTCGCCAAGTGATGAAAGATGTTTCTTGAGCAAGAGAGTCTTTTATTGGACCAGAAATGCCACCTGATCCAATACTGGCCAATCTATAGGCTGGTCCCCAACCGCTAAGGTGGCATGGCATAAAACATTCTACCCAATAGGTAATTTACTAGGTCAATCTTTCTCTCCCATCAGTATTTGAATAAGGGCCAGGCACCGTGGCTCATACCTCTAATTCCAGCACTTTGGGAGACAGAACTGGGAGGACTGCTTGAGCCCAGGAGTTCGAAACTAGCCTGGGCAACACAGTGAGACCCCCATCTCTACATAAAATAAAAATTTAAACATTAGCTGGGTGTGACTGCATACACTTGTGGTCTCAGCTACTTAGGAGGCTGAGGTGGGAGGGTCACTTGAGCCCAGGAGGTTGAGTCTGCAGTGAGCGATGATCACCCCACTGCACTCTAGCCTGGGTGACAGAGTGAGACACTGTCTCAAAAAAAAAAAAAAAAAAAAAAGAACTAGAGCAAGAAACGATGGAGAGACTGAACCAGTGTGCTTGGGGTACAGTATCAATAAAGAAATACTCCCTGCCTTCATGGACCTTACTGAGGAGTGGTTTTGCAGACAAGTCAATGCTATGACCATAAATGCTGTGAAATGGTGTGAGACATGCTGAGATAAATGAAGAGAGGGTGCCAAGAAATCACAAATCTGGATTTGAATTTGAGAAAGGCTTGCTGGGGGACAATGTCAAAACTGAAACCTAGAACCTAAGTAGAATGATGACAAAAGAGTAGAGAAGACAGAACAAATCGTGAGCAGGTAGGACCAGTGCCAAGAAAAAGCCAATGAGTCAAATGATGTGAGATTAGAGCAGTAGAACATAGAATGAGCGGGGAAAATGAGGAGGCAAGAGAGATGCACAAGGCCTCACAAACACCATTAGGGCTTTGCTGTGAGGGAAGAGAGAAGCCACTAAAGAGTTTTAGGCAGAAGGGACACAATTACACTTGTTTTTAGAAAGACCATTTGAGGCCGGGCGTGGTGGCTCATGTCTGTAATCCCAGCACTTTGCAAGGACAAGGTGGGCAGGTCCCTTGAGCCCAGGAGTTCAAGGCCAGACTGGACAACATAGTGAGGCCCCCATCTCTATGAAAAACATAGCTGGGCATAGTGGTGCACACCTGTGGTCCCTGCTACTTGGAAGGCTGAGGCAGGAGGATTGCTGGAGCCCGGAAGGTCAAGGCCAAGGCTGTAGTGAGCTGTGATCGTACCAGTGCACTCCAGCCTGAGCAATAGAGTGAGACCCTGTCTCAAAAAAAAAAAACAAAAAAAACCAAAAAACCCACTTCAGTTGTAGAATGGAGACTAGATAGGAGAAAAGAAAACAGCAAGTGAGGACGCACAGTGAGAAGACTGGGCAGCGATATGGAAGGGAGATGCTGGCAACTTGAATTAGGGAGATGGCAGCGGAGCCTAAAGAAAAGGGAAAGCTGGGTGGCCTGAATTAGAAGCTGGGTTCAAAGGAAGTGAATCCTTGACTGGATTTGGGGGGCCAGCGAGAAGGAGTCAAGGATCGGGTTTCTAGATTCAGTAATTAGGTGAGCAGTGATCCATTCAATGAGAGGAAGAGCAAGGTGGAGCAGGTTTATGGGAAAAGACAGTAAACTCAGATTTGGCGTGGTTGATTTAAAGCCTGTGGGACAATCCTGAGGAGCTGCCCAGTAAGCAAAGTTACCTGGGTCTCAGACTGAGCAGGGACACATGAGCTGTGGCTGGAGACATGCCTCTCCCCTCTCAGCTGCAGTGCTGCAGTTGCCTCTTAACCATTCTCACAGGATATTTTTTCTTTTTTTTTGAGACAGTTTTTGTTTGTTTGTTTTTGTTTTTTTTTTGAGTCAGAGAGTCTTCAGCTCTGTCGCCCAGGCTGGAGTGCAGTGGCATGATCTCAGCTCACTGCAGCTTTGACCTCCAGGCTCAAGTAATCCTCCTGCCTCAGCCTCCCAAGTAGCTGGGACTACAGGCACCCACCACCACACCTGTCCCATTTTTGTATTTTTTGTAGAGATGGGGTCTTGCTATGTTGCCTAGGCTGGTCTAGAACACCTGAGCTCAAGTGATCCGCCTGCCTCAGCTCCCAAAGTGCTGGGATTACAGGCATGAGCCGCTGCACCAGCCTTTCACCTTTTCTGGTCCTGCTCTGATATAGTCCATTCTCCACTCAACAGCAAATCTGATCTTTCGCAAATCCCAAATTATATCGCTCCCTTGCTTAAAAGCTTCCTATGAGTCCGTAATGCAATAAGAAAAAAAAATCCACCCTTCTTCCTCTGGTCTATAAGCATCTCCAGGATCTGGCCCCTGTATGTCTCTAATCTTCTTTCACACATATTTTCCTTCATTTCCACACTGGTCCCATCAGTTCCTTTACTATACTCAGCTCCTTTTATTCCCAATGCCATCACAGCATGCTCCCCGCGTCTAGGAGGCTCTTCCAAACAATGACCATGTGGCTGCCTTCTTGTCATTCAGGTCTTAGCCTCAGTGCTGTACAGAACCATGGGAGACTGAGGCAAGAAAGAAAAACACGCTCCCCTATATACATCTTTATATGTATCATTTAAATGGTCAGTATTTTTCCAGAACATTAAAGTAGTTGAAAAAATATTGAAAAATTTAAAAAATAAGTATATTAAAACTCACAATGTTATTTTAAGTTTAAAGATTCTATTTACACCAAAATCAGGATTTAATGTAATTTTCCTTTTCTAGTTTCCACAGAAGCCAATTCATCAATAGCATTTTCAAAATCGACTTCTTGGCTTATCTCATTTTCAACTGAGTGGACTGTCATATTTCATATCTCTTGACCAACTGATGATCTTAAATAATTTTTAATTAAATTCATCTTACTAGCACTTTACTTTTAAATTTCGGTATTGCATTCCTAATGTTTTTGGCATTGATTTTGCTTTTTTAAATTATTGCATTAAAAAATTATATTTATTTTGGTTACTGAGATTTTGGCGACCCCTGCAAATCTGTGCTCACTAGCCTCACCTAGGTCCAGCCCTGCTCAGCTTAAAGGCCATCTCCTCAAGGAAACCTTCACTGCCCCTCTATCCAGAGTAGCCTTCCAACCCTGCACCTGCCCAGTTACCTTCTTTTCCATTACCGTGAGTTAGGACTTTTTTTTTTTTTTGACAGTCTTGTTCTGTTGCTCTTTTCCATTACCGTGAGTTAGGACTTTTTTTTTTTTTGACAGTCTTGTTCTGTTGCCCAGACTGGAGTGCAGTGGCATGATCATGGCTCACTAGCCTCGAACTCCTGGGCTCAAGTGATCCTCCTGCCTCACCCTCCTGAGTAGCTGGGACTACAGGTGTGTGCTACCGTACCCAACTAATTTTCTTTATTTTTTGTAGAGATTCTACAAAAGATCCCTATGTTGCCCAGGCTGGTCTTGAACTCCTGACCTCAAGGGATCCTCTCACATCAGCCTTCTAAAGTGTTGGGATTACAGGCATGAGCCATCATGCCCAGCATACCCTGAGCTATTCTTAATAGCACTTATATTATTCTAAATGATCTTATCTACCTTTTAAACTTTTTCTTAGTTTTGCCTTCAGACCCCAAGTAGAAGCTCCATGAGACTATGTCCATCTTATTCACTGCTATATCCACAGCACCTAGTTAGTGGCTGGCACTTATCTGATGAAGTAATGCCCTTGGGAATACTTGTATTATAGATGGCTCTTGAATCCATGGGCTTCAAAGAATGTACGATACAAAAAGACAAAGTAGACTAGGGCAAAACTCTGGGAAATAGCGACATTTAGAGGGCACAAAAAGAGGAGTCTGAAAAGGTAACTTAAGGCTGGGGATGGTGGCTCACACCTGTAATCCCAGCACTTTGGAAGGCCGATGCAGGCAGAACACCTAAAGTCAGGAGTTCAAGACCAGCTTGACCAACGTGGTTGAAACCCCATCTCTACAAAAATACAAAAATTTACCAGGCATGATGGCAGGTGCCTGTAATCCCAGATACTCAGGATGCAGAGGCAGGAGAATCGCTTGAACCTGAGAGGCAGAGGTTGCAGTGAGCTGAGATTGCGCCATTGCAATTTAGGCTGGGCAACAGAGTAAGACTCCGTCTTGAAAAACATAAAAAAAAAAAAAAAAGAAAAAGGTAACTGAGAATGCACAATTAGAGAAGCAGAAGAGAGGCTAGGCATGGTGACTCACACTGTAATCCCAACACTTTGGGACGCCAAGGCAGGAGGATGGCTTGAGGCCAGGAGTTCCAGGATGCAGTGAGTTATGAATGTGCCACTGCTCTCCAGCCTGGGTGACACAGCGAGACCCTGTCTAAAAAGAAAGAATATAAGAAAAAGGATAATTTAATGTTTGATTTTCCTGACTAGGTAGGAGTAGTGGAAACCAAAACCCAGGTGGAGGAATTCACTTGGAAGAGGAAGGGAAGCAAAAGGTAGAATGGGGAGAAGACAGTGGAAAGGCAGAAACACAAGATTAATGGTGCCCTCCCTGATGATTTCTAGTTTCTTTTCTATGAAATTGGAAGTAAAATCATCTGCTGAGATGAAGAGTGAGGCAACTGGATAGGAAGTTTTATTCATCCGATAAATATTTACTGGGTAACCCCCATGCACCAAGCACTATTTTGAGTACACAGAATTCAGTAATGGACAAAGTAGAAAAAGGCCCCTGCCATTGTGGAGCTCGTATCCCAAGGTGGGAAGACAAGTAATCTACAATGAATATAATAAGTAAGTGAATTACATAGAATGCTAGAAGTTTGTGAGTACTTTGAGCGAATAGAGGGTGAAGGGAATGAAGAGCTCTGGTGGGGAGGATGTAGAGGGAAGGCTGCAATGTCAAATGACAAGGTAAAGAGAGGCTTCACGTGTAAGCCAATATTTGAAGATGGTGGAGGAGTCAGCCAGATGGCTATCTGGCGAAAATATTTGAGGAGGAAGGAATAGCCAGCACAAAAATCCTCAGGTGAGAGCGTGTAGGATATTGTGTGAGTTTCCTATTGCTGACGCAGCAAATTACCATCAACTTTGTCCTTGGAAACAACATAAATTTATTCTCCCATAAGTTCTGGAAGCCAAAAGTTCACAAGGTTAAAGTTGAGGTGTCATCCAGGCTGGACTTTTTGTGGAGGCTGCAGGGGACAATCTGTTTCCTTGCCTCTCCCCGCTTGGAGAGGCTGCCTGCAATTCTTGACTCATGGCCGCTCCTTGTACCACTCCAACCTCTTGCTTCCATTCTCACACCTGCTACTTCCTCTTCCATAGTCAAATCTCCCTTCGGAACACTTACATTAGTGCTTATCAGGCCAATCCAGCATAATCTCCCTATCTCAAAACCAGGTCCTTCATTTAATCACATCTGCACAAAGTCCCTTTTGACACATTAGGTAATATTCACAGGCTCCAGGGATTAGGTCCTGAATATATTTGAGAATCACTCTTCAGTCTACCACAGCTCATCTCCTGAACCTTAAAGATTCACAACCATCCAATATGCAAAATATATTCACCTCATCCCAACAGCTCAATCCATTATGGCATCAATTCAAAGACCAAAATTTCATCTAAACTTTATCTGTTAAAAAATCTCAAATCTCATTATCTAAATCAAGGCTGGTAACATTGAGGTCAAGGTATGATATGAGCTGTGTCTCTCAGACCATTTGATATTTCCTGCTTAACAACTGAATTATTTTTGTTTACTTCAACCCTCAGCAAAAATAATACTATATATTTGTACAATACCTAACACAATTTTAAGCATGGTCATACCCATGACCTACTTTGATTCATATAGCATTGTGATATAAGGAGGGTACTATTAATAGTCCTGATTTACCAAGTGCAGGTATTGGCCCAGAAAGAATTGAGTGACTTATACAACGTCACTAGTAAGGTGTTAAAAGAGTGGGGCAGAAGTCAGGTCTCCTGTCTCCTAATCTAGTGTTTGTTTTACATTTTAGTTTTGCAGTTATTTTTATATATTTTACAGAATATCCCATCCTGGGCAACATAACAAAAAAATTAAAAAATTTTTCTCTACAAAAAAATTTTAAAAATTAGCCAGGTGTGGTGGCACGTGCCTATAATCCCAGGCTACTTGGGAGGCTGAGACAGGAGAATAAGCTTGAGCTCAGGAATTTGAGGCTGCAGTGAGCTATGATCACACCACTGCACTCCAGCCTGGGTGACAGAAAAAAAAATAAAGAATATCATGTTTATAAGATACTTTATTAAATATTTAAATCATCTAACTCATGTATAGGTAAGACTCTGGGTATCATCAATCCTTGAGCAAAATTCCTCTCCATCTATGGACCTGTGAAATTAGAAAACAAATTATCTGCTCAGCAAATACAATGATGGAACAGGATGCCAGTTGCAGCTACTCCCATTCAAAGCAGGACAAAATGGAAGGAAAAAATAGCACCGGTCCTAAACAATTTTGAAATCCAGCAAGGCAAACTCCATTAGTTTTCAAGGCCAGTGAATAATTCTCTGTGGCCAGAGGCTCCACCCTCTGGGCCCAAGGTTCTACCTTCTGGGCCATCCTTCTTTTTTCAGAAAAGATTGTATTTGTTTGTGGCTGAGAAGTTTTATCAGCTTGTTCTGCCTGGGAGTCCTACAGCTTTCTTTCATTCAGTCCTCTGTTTCAGCCCTCTCTTTCAATTCAGTGTTTCTGCTGTTATAAATCTCAAAAGCCTTGTAGGTCTACTATGTATATCATGGAAATCCATTCCATTAGACCAAAGACTCCTTCACAGGTTTCACCTGATAATTTCATCATTATTCCTGGCTTCTGCTGAGATGGCTAAGAGAACCTATGAATCATATGCCTAATCTCTTCAGAGTTCTCTTTATGACTGAATATTCTGAATTTTTATCCATTCCAGGCACTAGCAAAAAGCTGTCGAGCCACACCCTTGGCCTTCTTTCCAGAGCACAGCTCTCCTGACAGTGAATCTCATTTTAGCATCTTTTGCAATCTGGATAGGCTGAGGATTTCCCAAATCATGAAGTCCTGTTCCTTTTTGATTAACAGTTCTTAATTACCTGGGCATGGTGGTGCATGCCTGCAGTTCCAGCTACTTGGGAGGCTGAGGCAGAAGAATTGCTTCAACCCAGGAGGTGAAGGTTGCATTGAGCCAAGATCGTGCCATTGCACTCCAGCCTGGGCGAAAAAGTGAGACTCCATCTCAAAACAAACCAAAACAGCAACAACAACAACAACGAAAACAGTTCTTCCCTCCATTGATCTATTTCCTCTCACATTTTACTATAAGCAGCAAGAAGAAACCAGGCTATGCTTTCAACACCCTGCTTGGAAATTTCCTCAGCTAAATATCCAAATACATTGTTTAAAAGTTCTGCTTTCCATATACATGTAGGACACAACTCAACTCAGCTTTTCTGCCACTATATAACAAGGATCTCTTTTCCTCCTGTTTTCAAAAATATAGTCCCCATTTCATTCTGGATCTTCACAGTTAGCACCTTTTTTTTGTTTCTTAATTATTATTTTTCTTTTTAAAAAATTATTCATTTTTACTTTAATCCAAGCCAGTAGGTTAACGTCTTTAATGTCCATACTTCCACAAACCATCTGTTTCTGACAATTTAGGTAACCTCTAAGACAATTTAGGCCTTCTCTCGTATGATCCCCACTTCCTTCTGACCCCTCAGAGAGTCTTTAACATCCATATTTCTCCTAACAGTCTGTAAGACAATTTAGACTTTTTAATTTATTTTTTCTTTTTTAGAGATAGGGTCTCACTCTGTCACCCACGCTGGTGTGTAGTGGTGCAATCATGGCTCATTGCAGCCTTGAACTCCTGGGCTGAAAGAATCCTTCTACCTTAGCCTCCTAACATGTTGGGATCACAGGTGTGAGCCACTGTACCTGGCCCCAATTTAGACTTTTTCAATCACGCTTCTCAGAGTTCTTCCAGTCTCTCTCATTAACTGCCCAATTCTAAAGCCACTTTCACATGTTTAAGTATTTGTTACAGTAGCACTTCACTTTCAGGTCCAAAAATCCATGTTAGGGTTCAATCAGAGAAATAGAACCAGTGGGAGATATATATTAAGACATTTGTTGCAAGGAATTGGCATATGTGACTGTGAAGGCTGCTAAGAAAGTCCAATATTTGTAAGGCAGGCCAACAGGAAGGGCAGGCTAGAATTCTGAGGTATGAGCTGAAGCTCTAGTTTGCAGAAAAGCCTCAGTTCTGCTTGTTAGGCCTTTCAACTTACTGAATCAGGCCTGTTAAGATTATCTGGGGGCTTGGTGTGGTGGCTCATGCCTGTAACCCCAGCACTTTGGGAGGCCGAGGCGGGCAGATCACCTGAGGTCAGGAGCTCCAGACCAGCCTAGCCAACATGGTGAAAACCCATCTCTACTAAAAATAAAAAAATTATTTGTGCGTGGTGGTGTGCACGCCTGTAATCCTAGCTGATTAGGAGGCTGAGGCATGAGAATCACTTGAACCCAGGAGGCAGAGGTTGCAGTGAGCTGAGATCCCGAGATCACGCCACTGTACTCCAGCCTGGGCAACAGAGAGAGACTCTGTCTAAAAAAAAAAAAAAAGAAAAAAAAAAAGAAAGATTATCTGGGATTATCTGCCTTACTTAAAGTCAGCTGATTATGGGTTTTAATTCCATCTAAAAACTACCTTCGTAACAACACCTAGGTTAGTGTTTGATTGAATAACTGGAGACTATAGCATAGTCAAGTTGTCACACAAACTGACCATCACAGATCCATTCCAGATTTAGCAGGGAGGCCAGTGAGGCTGGACAGGTGTGGGCAACTGTGACAGCAGTAGGAGGTGGGGTCAGAGAAACAATGGAGGGCCTGCAATGCAGGGTGTTGTAGGCCATTGAGGAGAATGAAAAAGGTTTGAAATCATTAATTCAGAGAATTCAGCCCTGTTAGGGCTGAAAAAAATATGAATCTAGAGTCTACCAATCTATATGATAATGCTATTTTCTTTAGAAATGCAGTAGTCCAGGTTTAAGCAAGGTGAAGTCAGACACAAACTGACCTATAATCCCAGCGCTTTGGGACGTCAATCCAGGTATTTTAGGGAGGATATAACAACAACAACAAAAAAGGAAATGTGAGCAAAGAAGTTAATTGGCAAGTGTGCTAGTCTATTCTCATGCTGAAAATAAAGACATACCTGAGACTTGGTAATTTATAAAGAAAAAGAGGTTTAATGGATTCAGTTCCACATGGCTGGGGAGGCCTCACAATCATGGTGGAAGGTGAAAGGTACATCTTACATGGCAGCAGGCACGAGACAGAATGAAACCCAAGTGAAAGGGGAAACCCTTTATAAATCTATCAGATCTTGTGAGACTTGTTCACTACCTCGAGAACACTATGGGGGAAACCGCCCCCATGATTCAATTATCTCCCCCCGGGTCCTTCCCACAACACTTGGGAATTATGGGAGCTAATATTCAAGATGAGATTTGGGTGGGGACATAGCCCAATCATATCAGCAAGGGAAATATGGAAACAATGAATCAAAAAGTCTAAGTTGGGTGGAAAATAAGGTGAAGACTGGATAGGGGAAGAGCTGAGCCTCAAGGGATTAAGGGTCAATAACAATAGACCACAGGGTCAAGAAACACATGGGACAGGCGTGAGCCCCTGAGGCAGCTGCAACATTAAGAGGCCCTGGTTGATGGAGGGCATGTCTACACTTATTCTTTTGGGGATGGACAGTTATGTGTTATGATAAAGTACAGGATATGTTTGTGAAAAGGGTTGCTGGGGAACAGCAAGATAATGTCACAGAGATGAGCAGGACTTAAGAGTGGAAGGTAGGAGCCTGAGCCCCATGCCAGTGACTTCCCTAAATGGAGAACATCTTTCAGGCGGACAGTGGGTGGCAGTAACAGGAGGGAGAAACCTGTGGCAAAAACTGGAGGAAAGCAGAGATTTTCTGCCCACCTTCGGGCATGCATGGAGTGAGAAAATGAAAAGGACCCATTTGAGATGGCTCCTGGGGGGAAGCAGTGTCCAGAGGAGCCAGCCCAGTTTCAGCTCAGGCATGGTAATAGAGGAGCCTTCAGTGAAAAGGTTGAGGATGCTGAGACATCTGTTTACTATGGGACAAGTGGAAGGCTTGGAAAGAGAGCAGTGAAGAAGGTGAGTCGGAGAAAAGCAAGCAGAGAGCTAGAACCAGAGAGAAAGCAATAACCAAAGGTAACAGGGAAGGGGAGGCATGATGGACTCGGTGGTGGGGGGTTTTCTAAAGGGCCATGTCACAGCGGCCTCCTGGTGAGTGAGCACAGGGACACTCAGGCCTGGAGTCTTGCAGAGCCTTGATGGATTCCACTGGCAGGAGAGGACTAGTCTGCAGGATAAGTAGATTCTAACCTCACTAGAAGAGAACAGCAATCATCAAAGCTGAAGACAGGGGTCTCAGTGGGCAGCACCATACGGTTCTGCAGTGGTAGAATGTAAGGATATGTGGAACCCCTCATGCCTGTAATCCCAGTATTTTGGGAGGCTGAGGCTGCAGGATCATTTCAGCCAGGAGTTTGAGTCTAGCCTGAGCAACATAGTGAGACCCCATCTCTACAAAAATTTTAAAGATATAGTCAGGCATGATGCTGCATGCCTGTAGTCCCAACTACTTGGGAGGATGGGGCAGGAGGATCACTTGACCCTGGGAGGTCGAGGCTGCAGGGAGCTATGATTGTACCACTGCATTTCAGCCTGGGTGGCAGAGCAAGATGCTGTCTCAAAATAAAATAAGATGTAGAACCCCATATATAAGGCTGACTACTTGGAAATGATATTGTGGGTCCCTCAAGGGTGAAGGTCAATGAAAAAAAACAGTCCCAGTAGATAAACTATGGGACAAAGCCATATTTATAAATACACATGTATATTTTTACACTTCTGTTTGGATGCTATCAATACTAGCATATAAATGAAAGTTGAAGCTATGAATATCAAGGAGGAAAAGTGCCATCCAGGGATGCCATGTAGAATAAGAATAATAATAGCAAGTATGTATTGAGCATTTCCTCCATGACAGTCATTGATCTGGCACTTGACATGTATTAACTCAGTTAATCAAACAATTCTATGAGTAGGTATTGATATTTTGCCCATTCAGATGATGCTGCAAAATTTATAAATGATGGTGCTAGGATTCAAATCCAAAGCCCACATTCTTAATCCCAATCTTATACTACCAAAAAAGGTAAGAAAATTGAGGATATAACCCTGGAAAACATCAATAACTAAGAATACACTGCCGGCCAGATGTGATGGCTCACACCTGTAATCCCAACACTTTGAGAGTCCAAGGTGGGCAGATCCCTCAAGCCCAGGAGTTTGAGATGAGCCTGGGCAACATGGCGAAACTTTGTCTCTACAAAAAAAAAAAAAAAAATTTAGCTGGGCATGGTAGCACACACCCATAATCCCAGCTACTCGGGAGGCTGAAGTGAGAGGATCACCTGAGCCTGGGGAGGTTGAGGCTGCAGTGAAACATGATTCCACCTGTGCACACCAGCCTGGGCAACAGAGTGACACTCTGTCTCAAAAAAAAAAAAAAAAAGAAATACTGCAGACGAAATGTAGGAAGTGTACATGATTGGGCTACATATCTAATGGATCCTAAATATCATATTGAAAGTTCATTTTATGATAAGTTCCTGACAGTATCTTGTTTTCTTGCTTTTTTTCTTTTTGACACAGTCTCGCTCTGTCGCCCAGGCTGGAGTGCAGTGGTGCCACCTCGGCTCACACTACAAGTTCCGCCTCCTGGGTTCACGCCATTCTCCTGCCTCAGCCTCCCGAGTAGCGGGGACTACAGGCGCCCGCCACCACACCTGGCTAATTTTTTGTATTTTTAGTAGAGACAGGGTTTCACCGTGTTAGCCAGGATGGTCTCGATCTCCTGACCTCGTGATCCGCCCGCCTCGGCCTCCCAAAGTGCTGGGATTACAGGCATGAGCCGCTGCATCCGGCCGTTTTCTTGCTTTTGAGTCTTTTTTTTTTCTTTCCTTGAAAACAGAATGCAGAAAAAAAAAAAAAAAAGGGTTCAATTTGGTTGGGTTTCAATTAATGAAAGTTTTGTTTATCTGCTTAATGGGTTAATAAAAGCAACTTTAGCACTGGGAAAATTTCCTCTGGTCTTTCTGCATTCCCACAAGAAATTTTTATTTAAAAAATAATAATCACCATAATAATAATTTTTCTTGTTTTCCAAAGTGGACTCCTCGGACTCTACTGACTAGAGCAGTTACTGATGAAGGATCAGAGGTGAATTTTAGCTCTCCCAGGTTATGAACAGTGACATGGGACTTAAGAAAAACCTTCATCCAATTTTTTTCCAAATTAAATCAAGAGCATTGATAATTAGTTTCTATCAAAGACATCTAGAGGGAAATGAAAGAACTGAAAAAGCCATAAGTTGCCTTTACTTCTTCATTAACATTTGCTCCCAAATGCAGGTCAAATAAACCACACTCCCAGTTTTAAATGAGTTGCTTTAAAGTTGATGAATTATTTTTCTCTTTGGATTTATACCACCCGTTGTGGCTAATTATTCCCACTATATTCTCTTCTTTTACTTGAGGTTTTGGTCAAACAAAGACAACAAAGCTCTGCTCCCTAGAAATTGAACTCCGTTTTGTTTTAAAACTTTCTCTTACCGCATATGCAATTCCACGTGGAATATTGAGATAACTGTTTTCACAATCAGCACTCCTGGCTCTAACAGTCAGTGAGGTCAACTGATTTTATGGCTTTCAGAATCTCCTAAACAGAAAAATGAGTTAGGAGGTTAAAGCCTGTAGGAGCTGCAAATGCACATTCGCCTGTGACCATCACTATGCTAATTTTTCTCAGTTGAGCTTCTTTTTACTCTACTGTGCCCCAGTTTGCTCATCTGTAAGATAAGGATAAGGACACTGTAGCATGGCTGGGTGCGGTGGCTCACACCTGTAATCCCAGCACTTTGGGAGGCCGAGGTAGGCAAATCACTTGAGGTCAGGAGTTCGAGAACAGCCTGGGCAATATGGTGAAACCCCGTCTCTACTAAAAATACAAAAAAATCAGCTGGATGTGGTGGTGCACACCTGTAGTCCCAGCTACTGAGGCAGAAGAATCTCTTGAACTCAGGAGGCAGAGGTTGCAGTGAGCCAAGATTGTGCCACCGCACTCCAGACTGGGGACAGAGCGAGACTCCATCTCAAAACAAAACAAAACAATACAAAAGAACACTGTAGCAGAGACAGCTAGCTGGCCACTAAAATTCATGCTTCCCCTCCTCTAGTGCAGAGTTATTGCTGAGAAGTAACTGTTCAGCCAAGAACATCTCCTCACCCCCATTGTATCCAAGTGGAACCATACAACTAGTTGTCACCAGTAGAAAGTGGATGGAGTTTTGTAGCCCTAACCCTTGAGAGAGCGGGTGTCCACTCCCACCAGCCCAATTGTCCCATAGAACTGATGCTTATGGTTTCTCTTGAACAAACAGAAATTGACCCTTCCAGTCTTAACATTTGAAAAGGTTACATTGATCTTATCTGAGTTCCTTTCATATGAAACCTACCATCAGGCCTCCCAGATAGTAGCAAAGAGTTGAAACTTACCAGATCACTGCCTCTGGACAATGAGACGCTAGATCGTCCTTCATGACTGCCTAAGCAACCACCTGCTTCCTGTTGACTGACTCCTTTTCCTTACCCCTCCCCAATTCTTGTTTTCCTGCGTGTATTATGTTTCCTCCCTGCTATATAAACCCCTGATTTTAGTTGGCCAAGGAGATGGTTTGAGATGGATCTGCCATCTCCTCCTCTGTAGCACCCAATTAAAGCCTTCTTCCCTAGCAATGCTTGTTGTCTCAGTGATTGGATTTCTGTGCAGTGAGCAACATGACCTAGACTGAACTCTACCATTTTGGTAACAGTAACAGAGACTAGATTTACCATCACACATGAACACCAAAACACCAGATTATATATATGAAGTGATGATTCTCAAGAAAACAAAGAGTGGGTGATGCCTGCCTGATAGAAAACAAATGAGATGAGCCTTATGTTAGCCCAAACTTACTGCCTGGAGAAGGTTTCTGATCTTCAGCATGGGGAGGGGGAATCCAGGAAGATCCCTGTCCTCCCCCTGAATTCAGGAAATGGAGCTGGAAGTCTGGGAAAGCCAAAGCAGTTAGAGTTCACGGGGCAGAGTACTAGAGAAGTGAGAGCTGCACAGAGAGTGAACTCTGGAGACCTGCAGGGGGTCCCCATTGAGTATTCAGATGAATATTGTGTGAGTAAACCACCTGAGCTTAGGACATGAGCCACTCAAAAGGATTAGAGGGAACAATACCCAGAGCATACACAAGGCCAGAAATAATGATCTTCTGATATGGCTTGGATCTGTGCCCCCACCCAAATCTTGTGTCGAATTGGAATCCCCAGTGTTGGAGGTGGGGCCTGGTGGGGATGATTAAATCATGAGAGTGGAGTTCTCATGAATGATTTAGCACCAACCTCTTGGTGCTGTTCTCATAATAGTGAGTTATCACATGATCTGGTCATTTTAAAGTGTGTAGCACCTTTCCCCTCACTCTCTTTCTTGCTCCTGCTCCTGCCATGTAAGACTCACCTTCTGCCATGTTTGTAAATTTCCTGAGGCCTCCCCAGAAATCAAGCAATTACCAGCATCATGCTTCATGAGCCAATGCAAACCTCCTTCCATGCAAAACCATGAGCCAATTAAACCTCCTTCCTTTATAAATTACCCAGTCTCAGCTGGGCACAGTGGCTCACACCTGTAATCCCACACTTTGGGAGGCTGAGGCAGGAGGATGGCTTGAGCTCAGGAGTTCAAGACCAGCCTGGCCCACATGGTGAAACCTGTCTCTACAAAGAATACAAAAATAAGCCAGGCATGAGCCTGTAGTCCCAGCTACTAGGGAGATTGAGGAGGGAGGATCCCTTGAGTACAGGAGGCAGAGGCGCCCGGTGTAACACAAAGTAATGTAAAATTCAAAAATGTCTGGCATCCAATAAAAAGTTATAAGGCATGCAAAGTAGAAATATACAACCAATAATGAGGAGAAAAGACTATTAAAACTGACTCATAACTGACATAGATGCTAGCATCAGTAGAGAAGGACATTAATAGTTTTTATAATGGTATTCCATGTATTCAAGATGCTACAGAAAAGGTAGAACAAGCTAATAGAGTCATAGAAGATATTTTTAAAAGAACCAAAGTGAGAAATCTATTAAAACAAATACAAGAAAGATACTAGACTTAATAAATGATTTTGGCAAGGTTTCAGAATGAAAAATTAATACACAAAAATCAATTGTACTTCTAAACAGTAGCAATGAACAATTAGAAATTGAAATGTAAAAGCAATACCACTTACAATAGCAACAAAAATACTGAGGGATAAATCTGACAAAAAAATGTGCAAGACTTAATACATCAATACTAACTCTCAAAATGCATCCTATGACCAAATCACAGTCCAGACAGCGTTTCCCCTAGACACACTCTCTGTCTCTTTCAACTCTTTCATTCCCCCCTGCTATGGTTTGAGTGTTTTTCTTCCAGAATCCATGTGTTGGAGGCTTGATTCCCAATGCAGCAGTCTTGGGAGGTGGGGCCTGGTGGGAGGTCTTGGGATCAGAGCCTTCATGAATGGATGAATGTCATTATCTCGGGAGCAGGTTAATTACCTTGTGAATGGGCTGTTATAGAGCAAGTCTGCCCTTGTGCTCCTGCTCTGTCTCATGTGCTTGCTTCTGCCTTCTGCCATGGGAGGACTCTCACCAGATGCCAGCACCATGCTCTTGGACTTCCCAGCCTCTAGAATCACAGGCTAAATAAACTTCTTTTCTTTATAAATTACCCAGCTTATGATATTTTGTTACAACAGACAATTGACTAGACACTCCCTAATCTGATTAGGCCTTTGCTCTCCCCTAACCCCTACCTCCTGTCCCCAGTCTGAAGCCTGTCCCAAGGTCCCACCACCTTTTAGATTAGATTTAGATTTAGATCTGCCTCTGGCATTGATGTCAGGAAGAAGTCTTCTCTGCATCCGATGCAGAGTATCTGGAACATAATCACCCTTTTATATAGTGAAGATTACCCTCCTGTTATCTTTATCTATTATGTTGGATGATGTATGTCTTCCTTGTAGCCTTGAGGTATAGTACCAAGGGCCTCCTTCCATTCCTTAGATTTCCAGGACTTCAAGAAGGTGGTAGATGAGAAGATGAGGGAAACATATCTTGCCCTAGTGTAACCGCCTAAACTTCATGAGCAGTTGGATAACTCTCCTTAATAAATATTAATAAAAAGTACTTTAAGAATCAATTGAAATAAGAACATACCTTCATCCAGGGAAATAACTCCCTCAGTCATTGGAAGCTAAGCCCAGACAGCATTCAAAACTCAGCCTTGGCCTTGGTTATCTGAAGCAGCACTTTCTCTGTTATTCCTTTGATTAAGAAGGTTCCCTCACTACCTACAGGCATTTGAGGTATACCCTTATCTGGCCAACCTCACCTCCCATTACTTCAAAAGGGAACCCTAATGAAACTGATTCTGTCTCAGATCCCTCAAATATACCAGGCTACTTTCCAACTGTCAAGGTTTTTCTTGAGTTGATCCCCCTGTCTGAAATTTTCATTTTTCTCTCTCTTCCCAAATTCTCTGAATTATTTTTGTTTTGAGAGATGAGTCGTGCTCTGTTACTCAGGCTAGAATGCAGTGGCATGATCATAGCTCACTAAAGCCTCAAACTGCTGGTCTCAAGTGCTGCTCCCATCTCAGCCTCCAGGACTTCAAGAAGGGAGTGGGTGAGAAGAAGGGGGAAACAGTGTTGGGATTATGGGCATGAGCCACTGCACCCAGAACAAATTCCTTAGACTCTTTTTTTTTTCTTTTTTGAGACGGAGTCTCACTCTGTCGCTCAGGCTGGAGTGCAGTGGTGCCATCTCAGCTCACCGCAAGCTCCACCTCTGGGGTTCATGCCATTCTCCTGCCTCAGCCTCGCGAGTACAGGTGCCTGCCACCAAGCCCAGATAATTTTTTTGTATTTTTAGTAGAGACAGGGTTTCACCGTGTTAGCCAGGATGGTCTCCATCTCCTGACCTCGTGATCCGCCCACCTTGGCCTCCCAAAGTGCTGGGATTACAGGCGTGAGCCACCGCGCCCGGCCTCCTTAGTCTCTTAAAAGCCCTAGCTTGTCCACGTCCTCCCTCTAGGCGTTGACTGTTGGCACCACACATTTTACGATTTATTCACATGATCCCACTTGATCATCACCTTATTGAAGAGAAAGACTACAACATCCTCAGTGAATCAGAAGGACTAATTTTTTTTCTTTTTTTTTTTTTAAGATGGAGTTTTGCTCTTGTTGCCCAAGCTGGAGTGCAGTGGCATGATCTCAGCTCATTGCAACCTCTGTCTCCCGGGTTCTAGCAATTCTCCTGCCTCAGCCTCCTGAGTAGCTGGGATTACAGGCATGAGCCATCAAGCTCAGCTAATTTTTTGTATTTTTAGTGGAAATGGGGTTTCACCATGTTAGCCAGGCTGGTCTCGAACTTCTGACCTCAGGTGATCTGCCCTCCTAGGTCTCCCAAAATGCTGACCTGGGCGTGACCACAGCACCCAGCCAGAAGGACTAATTTTTATATCCCCAGTGCTTATCATAATTCCTGTCATATCGTAGTCCTTAATATTTGCTAGTCAAATTATTATTTAACTTTTAAATGGAAAGTGTCTTGGAGGAAAACATAGTGTAGTAAGAACAGACTTGAGTTCTAAACAGTTCTGTTGCAGCCTCGAATTATGAAACTTCCCAAGCCAAGTCAAGCATGGTGGCCTGTGTGTGTAGTCCCAGCTACTTGGGAGGCTGATGGGGGAGGATTGCTTGAGCCCAGGAGTTTGAGGATCCAGGGAGCTGTGATCGCATCACTGCACTCCAGCCTGGGCAACACAGTGAGACCCTATCTCTAAAACAGCTGATAAATCGGCCGGGTGCGGTGGCTCATGCCTATAATCCCAGCACGTTGGGAGGCCGAGGCGGGTGGATCACGAGGTCAGGAGATCGAGACCATCCTGGCCAAAACAGTGAAACCTCGTCTCTACTAAAAAAAAATACAAAAAATTAGCTGGGCGTGGTGGCGGGCACCTGTAGTCCCAGCTACTTGGGAGGTTGAGGCAGGAGAATGGCGTGAACCCAGGAGGCGGAGCTTGCAATGAGTTGAGATTGCGCCACTGCACTCCAGCCTGGGCAACAGAGCAAGACTCTGTTTCAAAAAAAAAAAAAAAAACTGATAAATCAGGCCAGTCACAGTGGCTCACGTCTGAAATTCCAGCACTTTGGGAGGCTGAGGCAGGCAGATCACTTGAGGTCAGGAGCTCAAAACCAGCCTGGACAAAATGGCAAAACCCTGTCTCCACTAAAAATACAAAAATTAGCCAGGTGTGGTGGTGTGCACCTGAAGTCCCAGCTACTTGGGGGGCTGAGGCAGGAGAATCACTTGAACCCAGGAGACAGAGGTTGCAGTGAGCCGAGATTGTGCCACTGCACGCCAGGGGTGACAGAGTGAGACCCTGTCTTGAAAAAACACACACGCACAAAAATGAAACAAAAAATTGATAAATTAATAAAAGGTTTTAAACCTCCCAAACCTCAGTTTCCTCCTGGACAACACAGGCACACTAACCTCACCGTGTATACCACACCCAAACACATACATATTTGTCACCTTTACTATGGAATACCCTTACAAGGGCATGTGACAAGTGCAAAGCAACTCTATATTTTTGCAGAAGAGTTGGTGGACTTGCACTGATACGGCAAAGAGAGAGATGGCCATGGAGGAAAGGGACAGGTTGAAAGGGAGAATCGAGTCTGGGGGAAATGTTTTCATTAACGCGGCAAGGCCTCGTGGAAAAGAACTAGATCAGTTCTGGTGCTCCAGGAGGCAGACGCCTTGATAAAATTAGCAGTTTCCGAGATTTATCCAAGAAATACCATGAAGGGTAAAAGAGACAGGGAGCAGGAGGAGGCAGGGAGAGGCTTCTGACATCTGTGAAAAGAGTGAAGAGGGGAAGGAGGTTTGGATAGGAAGGACCTCAGGCTGCATTGCCGGGGGAAAGACAGCATCAGAGACAGCTTCCTGGGGTACGTGGCATCTAATGCAAGACCTGATGGACAACTTAGAGGCTGGCTGCCGGCAGGGGCAGGGTGTGGCAGCAGGAAGCAGACAGCACAGCAGTGGTCCTGAAGGAAGGAACAGTGTCCCATGGCCAGGTGACAAAAGAGATTGCAGCCAGGAATTGAAAAAAAAGATTAGTAAGGATGAAGTGCAAGCAACTTGGGGTGCAAGAGCCTGCCATGTTCCAGGTACAATCAACATCCTGTGTCAGGTAAAAGATATGTGCAAATGCTAGTTTGGGGAGAGAGGTAGGCAGGAACATGTTATGCTCGGCCCTGTGAGCCATGCTCAGGAGTCTTGACCTCTGGATTGGGGACAAATGGAGCCCCTTTGCAGGCTGTGAGCAGAGCAACAAAGATGACCCAAACATCCCTGGCTTTGGTAGCCTCTCTGACATAGTGGCAGGGTGGAGAGGGTGGCTAGATGATGGGCGTCCTTCCCTAGAGCACAGCTGAGTGACGTGGGACACATCAGCTCCAGTGTTGGTACAAACCTCAGGTACACACCAGGTCTCACTTCTGCTTAGCCCCTACTTAGGCTGCCACTCTCTTAAATGTTGGTGACCTCCAGGAGCTCTGGCACCACTGTCCTCCCTAGAACAGAAGCTGCCATCTCCATGATGGTATTGAAAGTAGAGGAGTAAGGACAGAAAGGTTGCTTTCCCCTGCGATACTTCATCTTCAGTGTGGATAGAGTCTTTTAAGCCTCCAGCTCAGCTAAGACCAGGTGGTGACTGTCATCAAAGCCATGCTTGGCTGGGCGCGGCAGCTCACGCCTGTAATCCCAGCACTTTGGGAGGCCGAGGCGGGCGGATCACTAGGTCAGGAGATCGAAACCATCTTGGTTAACACGATGAAACCCCGTCTCTACTAAAAATACAAACAATTAGCCGGGTGCGGTGGCGGGCGCCTGTAATCCCAGCTACTCAGGAGGCTGAGGCAGGAGAATGGCATGAACCCGGGAGGCGGAGCTTGCAGTGAGCCGAGATAGCGCCACTGCAGTCCGGCCTGGTCGGAAGAGCGAGACTCCGTCTCAAAAAAAAAAAAAAATAGCCATGCTAATGCACTGAGGATAACAGAAGGGCGCTCCGACACAGACGGAGTTAGAACAGGTACTGCAGGTAGCTGCGCTCCAAATCCCCAGGCTGACCTGTCCTCAGTGATCGCTACACGCCCAGCAGCCAGCCGGGCTCACAGTCTGTTGAACTGGGCCGGCCATCTCCTCTCCCACCTGTGGAGCTAAAGGGACCTCTGGCATCCCTCCTTCCCGTGGAGACTCATGTCCTCGATACCCCATCTCCTTTGCCCCCCAGTACCATTCACATCTTCCTTTTTTACCCGTGGATCTGTCCCCTTGCTGGGTGATTGATCATAGGAATTTTCACCCTTAGGGAAAACTCTCCCACACAAGTGTCTCACTCTATTTTTAGTTTCTTTTTATTTTTTATTTTTATTTTTGGCTGGAGTGCAGTGGTGTGATCTTGGCTCACTGCAACCTCTCCCTCCTGGGTTCAAGCAATTCTCCTGCCTCAGCCTCCCGAGTAGCTGGGATTACAGGTACCCGCCACCATGCCCGGCTAATTTTTGTATTTTTAGTAGAGATAGGGTTTCACCATGTTGACCAGGATGCTCTCGAACTCCTGACCTTCAGTGATCTGCTAGCCTTGGCCTCCCAAAGTGCTGGGATTACAGGTGTGAGCCACTGTGCCTGGCCAGGTGTTTCACTCTAATCTCCCCCTGCCTGTAGGAGCCAGGTAATCCACTCCCAGTACACTGCTGATGGGCTGCATCCCTACACCTGGAATAACATTCCTGTGGGGCTTCGAAGGTTGAGTGTTGAGTGCCCAGTCTGGGTCATCTCAGGATCCCCCCGCCATCAGTGTGATCTGGGCTTGCCCCATTTGTGGACTGAGGAATGGCTTTATCAAGAACCACTATCAGTTTTGGCAAGAGGACTATCTAAATCCATATATAAGGAAAAAATTTTCCCTAATAAAAAAAATAATCTCTGGAGATACAACTTTGCCTACAAAGAAGAAAGAACAGCTTATCTTCTTAGAACCTCTAGTTTGTTTGAAAACTATCCTTTCCAAGAAGAAAAGGATTGTTAGATTACATATGCAAAACCAAGTTTCCACTGAGCTGGTCTTCCCACAATCAAGAAATATTTGTCCTGAAGTTCTTTCAAGACTCCACCTTTTAAATTATTTTTTTCATCAAAGTTTCTAAGATCCCAAGACTAATTCTTTGCCAGGGCTCAAGTTCACAGTGTCTATACTTGTCTTTTCCCAACTTACACTGCAGCAGCGCGTGCAAAAAGGAAATATTTCTAAACCAGCAGTCTAAGATGGGAAACTGCCCCCCCACAGCAATCCCGAGGGATCACAGCCTGTATCGTATTATATGATACACACGCGCACACTCTCACACACACACATAGATAATATAATATGATAAACATATATTATACATAATCTACAATATAGCACACTATGAATGGTTATCCCTGACTTATAAACAGTTGAAATATTAACACTCCATGCCTATGAATGGCTGCCTAGCCTATGTCCCTGTTCTCCTAAGACATCACCCCAAAGTCGTTGCTCTTAATAGTAAGATGAGGGTCCCCCTACACAACATTTATAACAGCAGATAAAATAGGAATTTAACAGCTACAAGTGAACCTACACCATTTGAATGAAAGCATCCTTGAACCTATACACATATTAATACTAGAGATATGTAGTAATTATCTGCATTCCACATTGTAAATAGTTTCTGGGGAACATCCATTTTGTGTTCTTTCATTTTATTATTATTATTATTATTTTGAGACAGTCTCACTCTGTCGCCCAGGATGGAGTGCAGTGATGCAATCTCGGCTCACTGCAACCTCTGATTCCCAGGTTCAAGCGATTCTCGTGCCTCAGCCTCCCTAATAGCTGGCATTACAGGCTCCATTTTGTGTTCTAAGTGACTAACTTTGAACACGACCCTTATGTCCTTTAATGTGCTTGTAATATACTGTATCCCGTAACAGTCCAAAAAATGTTTTATCTCTATACTTTCTTGTGACATAAATAGCAGGCAGATTGCTAGCTCCATTTTACAGATGAAAAATGTGGGGCTTAGAGAGCAAATGAAACAAAACAAACTCTCCAGAGGCCCAGGACAGAGTTTTCTTCTGCTAAGCAACACTGTCTCGCCAGCACAAACCAATCTTCCAGATAAATAAATAAGAACCAGAAGAGAGAAAAGGGGAGCAAACCTTGCCCAGAAGACAGCATGTCATCTCCATCGCCCAGCCCTGCAGACCCTGGAGTTTTAACATTTATTCATAAATGTAGAAGCCTGCTTTGGCCAGTTGGTATGGTCAGTGACTGTGCTACGACAGAGGAAGAAAAGAAACACAAAACTCAAAAGGATGTTTTGACTGTGCTATGCTTCTATCAATCAACGAAGAACTCCCTTGCTGGAAATGAAGTATCCAAACTCCTAAATTTTCCCTCCTGTCTCCCAACCCTGCCAGCTCTGGGGAGAGGCTACCATGTGCTTGGGACAATTTGCCTCCTATCTCCTCTTACTGGGCTACACTGAGTTAGAACTCCCTAACTTCTACCCTGCTCCATTCCATTATTTCTTAATAATGCACTCCAGGCTTTCTGTTTCAGGCTAGTATTTACGTGGCTATGCGGGTTAGATCCAGGCCCAGCTATTACCAGTGAACGCGGTGACATTAATATGAGTAAATGCAGGAAAAGGGATGAAATAAAACATATCCTATTGAAGGAAATGAGCGCTCCTTAAGAAAGGAAAACACACATAGGAAAAGACACGGGCATATCAGAATACACATAGGGCCCTTGGGAACAGCGGATTCCACAGGCATGATGTTATTGAAGTATTTGATACTAGAGTAAGCACCTGCAGATATGAATTACATCCTTGTTCAGACCACTAACATTAGAGTACTGACATCTCAGGAAGCGCCTATGTTATATTTCAAATCCCCCTGCCTGCTGCATAAATATCCAATAAATCAATCAGTGATAAAGGATGCTAGCTAAAAGGCTTATAAAGCTGAACAAGCTACCTCTCCCTCCTCAGAGAGACTACCACCTTTAATTTACTGGGGGTTTCCCTAGTCACTCACATCTCCAGCCTTGGGACACAGAGAAGGTGAGATGGGGGATTAACACCTTCAGTGCTGGGTTGGGGGAAGAGCAACAGGTTGGCCATCTGGGGATGTTTCCCCAAAGTGGGCATCAGCTTTGAGGGGCAGACAGAATTTCCTGGTGTCTTTCAGGAATTACGAACACCCACCCTCCTCACCACCTTCTAAACGTGGTTGCCATATTTATGAAATGAAAGAAAAACATTTCTTTCTCCTTGAGGAGAGACAGAATCGTGGGCCGTGTTCATTTTATTTGGTCATAATAACGTGTCTTTTATATATATTCAAGGCAGGTTTTCTAATAATTGTTTCATAAGTGGAAAATCAGAGGCATAATAGAAATCTTCATGACTTTCCCAAGTAAATAAGAAACAACATGAAATCTCTAGTCAAACAGAATGGGTAATTAAAATATTGATCTGTGAATGCACCCCAGCCTGGGCAACAGAACGAGACTCCGTCTCAAAAAAAAAAAAAAAACAAAAAACAAAAAAACAAACATTGATCTGTGACACATCTAAAAAAAGAAACAAGAAAGAAAATGTGCCAACTCTTAATAATGGTTATCTGTGGGTAGCAGAATTGGGGGAGTTTTGACTTCTTTCCTGCATTTCCCATATATTCTACACTAGTGCGTCAGGGGTTAATTTTATGTGTTAACTTCAGTAAGCCCCAGAGTGCCCAGATGTTTGGTTAAACATTATTCTGGGAGTGTCTGTGAAGGTGTTTTTCGATGTGATTAACATGTAAATGGGTAGGCGGAGGAAAGCAGGTTGCCCTCATTCAATCCAGTTGAAGGCCTGAATAGAAGAAAAAGCCTGGGTAAGAAGGGGTCTCTCCACCTCAACATCTTCAAGCTGGGACATCAATCTTCTCCTCCCTTCAGACTCACTTTGGAACGTGCACCATCAGCTCTTATGGGTTTCCACTTGCCAACTACAGATGTTGGAAATTCTCAGTGTCCGTAATCATGTAAGCTAATTCCTTATAATAAATCTCTTCATATGTTCATATCTCCTGTTGTTTCTGTTTCTCTGGAATCCATGACATGCACTTGTGTTCCATGTTCATTTTATTTGCTTATAATAACAGCATATTTTATATATTCAAGGCAGTTTTCTAATAATTGTTTTGTAAGTGGAAAATCAGAGGCATATGGAAATATTTGTGACTTTCCCACAACTAGTTTTGCATTTACCCACTTACTACCGACTTTATTTCTATAATTAGAAAATCATTTTTAGGCTGGGCACAGTAGCTCCACCAGTAACCCTAGCACTTTGGAAAGCTGAGGTGAAGGATTGCTTGAGCCTGGGAGTTTGAGACCAGCCTGGGCAACATAACAAGACCCAGTCTCTACAAAAAACAAACAAAATAGCCAGGTATGGTGGCACATGCCTGTGGTCCCAGGTACTTGGGAGGCTGAGGTGGGAGGATTGCTTGAGCCCGGGAGGTCAAGGCTGCTGTGAGCCATGATCGCACCACTGCACTCCAGCCTGGGTGACAGAGTGAAACCCTGTCTCAAGAAAAGAAAAAGAAAATAATTTTTAAAAATTACCTACACAAATTTAAGAAGAACCATGTACTATGCAAAGAAAATCTGACAGAATTAATCCCACTGCAAACATTCATATTTCATTTCAGGTTTAATTTTGATATTTATTGTTACTGCATAAATCTGAGAGCACCTGGAGAGTATTAACCTAAATATTATTTACAAAACATCACTAAAAGCCTTTACTGGTTTTGAGAGCATATTTTTTGTGTTTAAAAGTTTTGCATTGGATATGAAATCAGTTTTAATTATATACCAACATTATTTTTCTTTAGTGATTTTTAAATCAATAATAACAAAAGTCTTAGCTTTGTTCTTAAAACAGGTGGGTTTCAACAAAAATTTATGCACACTGCATGGTAGTAAGCTGCGTGGACGATAAAAATGACAATAATGAACATCTGTTTTAGGCCTACCAAGTATTGTATTAATTATTATCTTATCAATTATTTAATGATTATCTTATTTAGAGAACCTCTCGTGTCTCAGGTACATCAGCTCCATTTTACAGTGGAGGAAGCGGCAGAAGGCAGAGGTTCCGTGACTAGCTAAAGGTTACCTGGGCTAGCAGGTAGCAGCACTAGGGCTTCAATTCAGGCCTCTACTTCTAAATCTTAAGCTCTCTCCTATGGTGTGTGACTGGTCCCCCTGCCTGAAGAGCTTGCTGTCAAGACGAGATGAATATGCAGGAAACACAGAAGAGTATACGATGAAGCATTAAATCTGAGTGGTATTTTTATCGACTTTCATCAATTATAGCAAGTCTCATCTGACTTGCTCCATTTTGAAAACTCAAGTTCAAAGTTGGGAAATAACTCACCCACGTAGTTAGTGGCAGCTCCAGAAAGAGAATCCTGGACTGATGGCTTATGTTCCAAATGAGGCAGAAACACAGACAGAGCTGCAGCTCAAGAAGCTGTGTTGTGAGCAGGGCCAAGCAAAGGCCGTCCCTGGCTCTGCCCAGATGTTCGGGAACAACAGAATGTAATGATTCAGGGGGGAAAAGCTTTCGTTTGATTGTTGACTTTCATTAAGCCTTTATGAAATCAGTGATTCTCTTCAGAGTCCTCAACACCATTGGGTTTTTTTTTTCTACATAGAATGCCAAGAACCGGATGTTCCTTAATAACTAACCTCTTACTCTGGATCATGCAGAATGGGACTGAGGGAGGGGGAGGGAAGGAGGATGGTGGGAAGAGTGGGGAACGGTCAGGAAGGGAGAGAAAAAGCAGCGAAGAAGGAAAAGAAGAAGAGAAAAAAATATCAGTTTTTTTGCCCAATTCAAATTTGTGTTTATTATAATTAGCCACTTTTCATGAGAATCTCCTAAGGGTCAGGGTCTATCCTAGGTGCTTAACTTACATTATTTAAGTCTCACAATAAAACCTTGAAAGGTAGGTGCTGTTGTTATTTCAGACAATGAATTTTAAATTATCTTGCTCAGGTCACACAGTTAAGTGGTGGAGCTGGGATTCGAATCAGTCTGACCCCAGATCCCAAGTGCTGAACCTCTATAGAGAACTGTTTCCCCATTTCCAGGCTCCATAGGCAGAGGCCCCAAATATTCCCAGGTGCTCTCTCAATTTGGCCAAACAATCCTAACTGGTGGCTTCTAAGTTACTTGTAGTTCTTGTTTTTTTTTTTTTTTTTTTTGACAGAGTCTTGCTCTGTCGCCCAGGCTGGAGTGCAGTGGCACCAGCTTGGCTCACTGCAACCTCTGCCTCCTGGGTTCAAGTGATTCTCCTGCCTCAGCCTCCCGAGTAGCTGTGACTACAGGTGCATGCCACCACGCACGGCGAATTTTTCTATTTTTTTAGTAGAGATGGGGTTTCACCATATTGGCCAGGCTGGCCTCGAACTCCTGTCCACAAATTATCCAGCCGCCTTGGCCTCCCAAAGTGCTGGATTACAGGCGTGAGCCACCACACCTGGCCGTAGTTCTTTAACTATTGAAGTGCATCATCTGTGAATTGAGATTATTTTCCCATTGAATTTTAATGCAACTGATAGCCAAGGCCACTGATTCAAGCACAGGATTTTATTTAAGTAGAATTAATGCTGGTTCTAAAAGGGATCTGCTAGAATTCTTCAGTACTAAAAATCTCTAGGATTTTTTTATATAGATATAAATATATCTAGGAAGGGATAGACATAAAAATATCTAGGAAAGGATCTTTCACCCCAACACATTATGTTGTGTTTGTTGTTCTCTTTGCTTAGGCAGAAGACAATGGAGCCAGGCTACATTTAGCTGGGACATGAGAAAACAAGCTGACATCTCTCAGTTGCTCCTAGAATCTCGGAGCAGAGCCAGACGCTTGAAAACAGATGACATGCCCTGGTTCTAAAGCAAAGTTTAACCACCCAAGCTGTTAACAATATCCTCAGCATTTCCTGGGAAAATAAACCTTCGTTTTAAAAATAAACCTGACTAAAGGTATCTGAAGACAAAAGGCTTGGTTCCCAGCCAGCAGCAAAATGTGCAAAAGGATTACAATTGTTTTGAAATGAAGTTCTGAAGAGCGCTTCAGAATTAGAAAGAACCGTGAAAACCAAACCCCTGCCGCTCAGGCCACAGAAGTACGTGACAGTTTAGTGGCAATGAGCACACACTGACTCAGGGGCCTCAGTAGAGCTGATTCTTGTTTTCCTTAAGTAGTTTTCTCTCTCTCTCTCTCTTTTTTTAATTGAGATGGAGTCTTGCTCTGTCGCCAAGGCTGGAGTGCAGTGGCGCAATCTCAGCTCGCTGCAATCTCTGCTGCCCAGGTTCAAGCGATTCTCCTGCCTCAAGCCTCCTGAGTAGCTGGGATTACAGGCACCCGCCACCACTCCCGGCTAATTTTTGTATTTTTAGTACAGACGGGGCTACTCCATGTAGGCCAGGCTGGTCTCGAACTCCTGACCTCAGGTGATCCGCCCACCTCGGCCTCCCAAAGTGCTGGGATTACGGCATAAGCCACCGCGCCTGGCCAGTTTTCTCATTTTTATAGCAGAATGTGGCTGTCAATCTATTAGGCAAGAAAGGGCACCATTTTTACTAGAGTGAATTGGGTTCAAATCCCAGTTCACCACTTCACTGAAGTCCTTTGGGCAATTTACTAACTTCCTTGAGTCTTAGTTGTTATGTTCTGCAAAGTGGAGTTACTAATCTGCTGCTTCACTGGGCTGTTGAGAAAAGTCAACAGAATATTTTTCAGAGCATCTAGCACTATGCCGGGCACATAATATGCATTCAGTAAACTTAACTTTGATCGTAATGTGAATTTGAGTTAGAGAAACACTGTGGAACTGCTTCAAGTACTTTCACTGTAATAACTGCAATAATTACAATACCTTAAATAAGTAATCAGTTTAAGTAGGTCATCTCTTATTTTTAGGAAATATACACTGAAGTTTTTTTGTTTTGTTTTGAGACTCACTGTGTTGCCCAGGCTGGAGTACAGTGATGGGATCTCAGCTCACTGCAACCTCTGCCTCTGGGTTCAAGTGATTCTTCTGCCTCAGCAAGTAGCTGAGATTACAGGCATGTGCAACCATGTGTGGCTAATTTTTGTAGTTTTAGTAGAGATGGGGTTTCACCATGTTGCCCAGGCTGGTCTTGAACTCCTGACCTCAAGTGATTTGCTTGCCTCAATGTCCCAAAATGCTGGGATTACAGGCTTGACCCACCATGCCCAGCCTGAAATATTTAGGGGTAAAGAGGGATCATGCCTACAACTTTACTTAAATTGCTCAGAAAAATCCATATATCTAGCTAGATATATGGAGAGAAAGAGAGAAAGCAAATAAAGTAAAATGCTAATATTTGGGGAATCTTTTTGTACTATTCCTGTAACTTTTCTTGAAGGATAAAATTATGTCAGACTAAAAGGTAAAAAATTAATGTAACCTTATTGCATTCCCGTCACGTACCAAATACCAAACAAGGAACTTTACATACATTATCACCACATAATTCAACACCTACAATAACTGTAAGAGAAAAATACTACGACTATCCTCATTTTACAGATGTGACAATTGAGGCTCAGGGAAGTTAAATAAATTAGCAAACACCACAGTAACTGAGGCACTGAGATTTACACTTAGGTCTAACCTAAGATCCCACACTCTCAACTCACAGAAGTTCCATTGGTTACTATTTCAAAAGGATTAAGCAGGAAGTCCCAGCCAGAGGAATCAGGCAAGAGAAAGAAATAAAACACATCCAAATAGGAAAAGAAGAGGTCACACTATCTCTCCTCACTGATGATATGATTCTATACCTAGAAAAACTTAAAGACTCCACCAAAAGGCTCTTGGAACTGATAAACAACTTTACTGAAGTTTCTACTGAAGATTTTACTGAAGTAAAATCAGTGGCATTTCTACACACCAAATAATGGTCAAACTCAGAGGCAAATCAAGAACAGAATCCCATTTCCAACAGCCGCACACACAAAATAGAGTCTGTATGAACACATCTAACCAAGTAGGTGAAAGATCTCTACAAGGAGAAAAAACACTGCTGAAAGAAATCATAGATGACACGTACAAATGGAAAAATTCCATGCTTAGGAATTAAAAGAATCAATATCATTAAAGTGGCCATACTACCAAAAACAATCTACAGATTCAACATTATTCCTATTAAACTACCATTGTTATTTTTCACAGAACTAGAAAAGGCTATTCTAAAATTCACATGGAACCAAAAAAGAGCCCAAATAGTCAAAGCAATCCTAAGCAAAAAGAATAAAGTGGGAGACATCAAATTACCCAACTTCAATCTATACTATATATGTTACAGTAACCCAAAAAGCATGGTACTGGTACAAAAACAGACACATAGACCACTGGAACAGAGTAGAGAACCCCGAAATAAAGCTGCATGCCTATGGCCATCTG
This sequence comes from Homo sapiens, assembly GCF_000001405.40. Taxonomy (NCBI): domain Eukaryota; kingdom Metazoa; phylum Chordata; class Mammalia; order Primates; family Hominidae; genus Homo; species Homo sapiens. The sequence goes on along the minus strand of NC_000008.11, from coordinate 25,530,142 downwards.
ATCTTCAACAAAGTTGACAAAAATAAGCAATGGAGAAAGGACTTCCTACTCAATAAATGGTGCTGGGATAGCTGGCCAGCCATAGGCAGAAGAATGAAACTGGAACCCTACTTTTCACTTTATACAAAAATTAACTCAAGATGGATTAAAGATTTAAATGTAAGATCTCGAACTATAAGAATCCTAGAAGAAAACTTACAAAACACCATTCTAGACATCAGCCTTGGCAAAGAATTTATGACAAAGCCCTCAAAAGCAATTACAAAAATGGACAAGTGGGACCTAATCAAACTAAAGAGCTTCTGTACAGCAAAAGAAACTATCAACAGAGTAAACAAACAACCTACAGAATGGGAAAAATATTCACAAACCATGCATCCAACAAAGGTCTCATATACAGAATCTATAAAGAACTTTTATTATACTTTAAGTTCTGGGGTATGTGTGCAGAACATGCAGTTTTGTTACAAAGGTATACATGTGCCATGGTGGTTTGCTGCACCCATCAACCTGTCATCTACATTAGGTATTTCGCCTAATGCTATCCCTCCCCTAGCCCCTCACCCCCCGACAGGCCCCAGTGTGTGATGTTCCCCTCCCTGTGTCCATGTGTTCTCATTGTTCAACTACCACTTATGAGTGAGAACGTGTGGTGTTTGGTTTTCTATTCTTGTGTTAATTTGCTGAGAATGACGGTTTCCAGCTTCATCCATGTCCTGGCAAAGGACATGAACTCATCGTTTTTTATGGCTGTATAGTATTCCATGGTGTATATATGCCACATTTCCTTTATCCAGTCTATCACTGATGGGCATTTGGGTTGGTTCCAAGTCCTTGCTATTGTGAACAGTGCCACAATAAACATACATGTGCATGTGTCTTTATAGTAGAATGATTTATAATCCTTTGGGTGTATAGCCAGTAATGAGATTGCTGGGTCAAATGGTATTTCTAGTTCTAGATCCTTGAGGGGTCGCCACACTATCTTCCACAACGGTTGACCTAATTTACACTCCCACCAAGTGTAAAAGTGTTCCTGTTTCTCCACATCCTCTCCAGCATCTGTTCTTTCCTGACTTTTTAATGATGGCCATTCTAACTGGCATGAGATGGTATCTCACTGTGGTTTTGATTTGCATTTCTCTAATGACCAGTGATGACGAGCTTTTCTTCATATGTTTGTTGGCTGCATAAATGTCTTCTCTTGAGAAGTGCCTGTTCATATCCTTTGCCCACATTTTGATGTGGTTGTTTATTCTTGTAAATTTGTTTAAGTTCCTGTAGATTTTGGATATTAGCCCTTTGTCAGATGGATAGATTGCAAAAATTTTCTCCCCTTCTGTAGGTTGCCTGTTCACTCTGATGATAGTTTCTTTTGCTGTGCAGAAGCTCAGTAGATCCCATTTGTCAATTTTGGCTTTTGTTGACATTGCTTTTGGTGTTTTACTCATGAAGTCTTTGCCCATGCCTACGTCCTGAATGGTATAGCCTAGGTTTTCTTCTAGGGTTTTTATGGTTTTAGGTCTTACATTTAAGTATTTAATACATCTTGAGTTAATTTTTGTATAAGGTGTAAGGAAGGGGTCCAGTTTCAGTTTTCTGCATATGGCTAGCCAGTTTTCCCAACACCATTTATTAAATAGGGAATCCTTTCCCTATTGCTTGTTTTTATCAGGTTTGTCAAAGATCAGCTGGTTGTAGATGAGTGGTGTTATTTCTGAGGCCTCTGTTCTGTTCTATTGGTCTGTATATCTGTTTTGGTTACTGTATGTTACCTGCTGTTTTGGTTACTGTAGCCTTGTAGTATAGTTTGAAGTCAGGTAGCATGATGCGTCCAGCTTTGTTCTTTTTGCTTAGGATTGTGTTGGCTATGAGGGCTGTTTTTTGGTTCCATATGAAATTTAAAGTAGTTTTTTCTAATTCTGTGAAGAAAGTCAATGGTAGCTTGATGGGGATAGCATTGAATCTATCTATGAATTACTTTGGGCAGTATTGCCATTTTCACGATATTGATTCTTCCTATCCATGAGCATGGAATGTTTTTCCATTTGTTTGTGTCCTCTCTTATTTCCTTGAGCAGTGGTTTGTAGTTCTCCTTGAAGAGGTCCTTCACATCCCTTGTAAGTTGTACTCCTAGGTATTTTATTCTCTTTGTAAAAATTGTAAATGGGAGTTCACTCATGATTTGGCTCTCTATTATTGGTGTATAGGAATGCTTGTGATTTTTGCACATTGATTTTGTATCCTGAGACTTTGCTGAAGTTGCTTATCAGCTCAGGAAGATTTTGGGTTGAGACAATGGGGTTTCCTAAATATACAGTCATGTCATCTGCAAACAGAGACAATTTGACTTCCTCTCTTCCTATTTGAATACGCTTTATTTATTTCTCTTGCCTGATTGCCCTGGCCAGAACTTCCAATACTATGTTGAATAGGAGTGGTGAGAGAGGGCATCCTTGTCTTGTGCTGGTTTTCAAAGGGAATGCTTCCAGCTTTTGCCCATTCAGTATGATATTGGCTGTGGGTTCGTCACAAATAGCTCTTTATTATTTTGAGATATGTTCCATCAATACCTAGTTTATTGTGAGCTTTTAGCATGAAGGGGTGTTAAATTTTATCAAAGGCCTTTTCTGCATCTGTTGAGATAATCATGTGATTTTTGTCATTGGTTCTGTTTATGTGATGGATTATGTTTATTGATTTGGATATGTTGAACCAGCCTTGCATCCCAGGGATGAAGCCGATTTGGTGGATAAGCTTTTTGATGTGCTGCTGGATTTGGTTTGCCAGTATTTTATTGAGGATTTTCGCATCGGTGTTCATCAGGAATACTGGCCTGAAATTCTTTTTTTTTTTTTTTTCTTGAGATGGAGTCTTGCTCTGTCGCCCAGGCTGGAGTGCAGTGGCACGATCTCGGCCCACTGTAAGCTCTGCCTCCCGGGTTCACTCCATTCTCCTGCCTCAGCCTCCTGAGTAGCTGGGACTACAGGTGCACGCCACCACGTCCAGCTACTTTTTTGTATTTTTAGTAGAGATAGGGTTTCACTGTGTTAGCCAGGTTGGTCTTGATCTACTGACCTTGTAATCCTCCGGCCTCAGCCTCCCAAAGTGCTGGGATTGCAGGTGTGAGCCATCGCACCTGGCTGCCTGAAATTCTTTTGTTGTTGTGTCTCTGCCAGGTTTTGGTATCAGGATGATGCTGGCCTCATAAAATGAGTTGGGAAGGAGTCTCTCTTTTTCTATTGTTTGGAACAGTTTCAGAAGGAATGGTACCAGCTCCTCTTTGTACCTCTGGTAGAATTCGGCTGGGAATTTGTCTAGTTCTGGGCTTTTTTTTTTTTGGTTGGCAGGCTATTAATTACTGCTTCAATTTCAGAACTTGTTATTGGTCTATTCAGTGATTTGACTTCTTCCTGGTTTGGTCTTGGAAGGTTGTATATGTACAGGAATTTATCCATTTCTTCTAGATTTTCTAGTTTATTTGAGTAGAGGTGTTTATAGTATTCTCTGATGGTAGTTTGTATTTCTGTGGGATCAGTGGTAATACTCCCTTTATCATTTTTTATTGTGTCTATTTGATTCTTCTCTCTTTTCTTCCTCATTAGTCTGGCTAGCGGTCTATTTTGTTAATCTTTTCAAAAAACCAGCTCCTGGATTCATAGATTTTTTTGAAGGTGTTTTTTGGTCTCTATCTCCTTCAGTTCTGCTCTAAGTTATTTCTTGTCTTCTGCTAGCTTTTGAATTTGTTTGCTCTTGCTTCTCTAGTTCTTTTTTTTTTTTTTTTTTTTTTTTTTTTTTTGAGATAGTGTCTTGCTCTTTTGCCCAGGCTGGAGTGCAGTGGTGTGGTCTCGGTTCACTGCAAGCTCCGCCTCCCAGGTTCTCACTATTCTCCTGCCTCAGCCTCCTGAGTAGCTGGGACTACAGGCACCCGCCACCACACTCAGCTAATTTTTTGTATTTTTAGTTGAGATGGGGTTTCACCATGTTAGCCAGGATGGTCTCAGTCTCCTGACCTCATGATCCGCCTGCCTCAGCCTCCCAAAGTGCTGGGATTACAGGTGTGAGCCACTGCACCTGGCCTCCTTCTCTAGTTCTTTCAATTGTGATGTTAGGGTGTCGATTTTAGATCTTTCCTGCCTTCTCCTGTGGGAATTTAGTGCTACTTCTGCCTTAATTTCATTATTTACCCAGTAGTCATTCAGGAGCAGGTTGTTCGGTTTCCATGTAGTTGTACAGTTTTGAGTAAGTTTCTTAATCCTGAGTTCTAATTTGATTGCACTGTGGTCTGAGAGACTGTTTGTTACAATTTCCATTCTTTTGCATTTGCTGAGGAGTGTTTTACTTCAAATTATGTGGTCAATTTTAGAATAAGTGTGAGGTGATGATGAGAAGAATGTATATTCTGTTTTTGGGGGGTGGAGAGTTCTGTAGATGTCTATTAGGTCTGCTTGGTCCAGAGCTGAGTTCAAGTCCTGAATAGCCTTGTTAATTTTCTGTCTCATTGATCTGTCTAATATTGACAGTGGGGTGTTAAAGTCTCCCGCTATTATTGTGTGGGAGTCTAAGTTTCTTTGTAGGTCTCTTAAGAATTTGCTTATGAATCTGGGTGCTCCTATATTGGGTGCATATATATTTAGGATAGTTAGCTCTTCCTGTTGCATTGATCCCTTTACCACTATGTAATGCCCTTCTTTGTCTTTTTTTATCTTTGTTGGTTTAAAGTCTCTTTTATCAGAGACTAGGATTGCAACCCCTGCTTTTTTTTTATTTTTTGCTTTCCATTTCCTTGGTAAATATTCCTCCATCCCTTTATTTTGAGCCTATGTGTGTCTTTTCACATGAGATGGGTCTCCTGAATACAGCACACTGATGGGTCTTGACTCTTTATCCAATTTCCCGGTCTGTGTCTTTTAATTGGGGCATTTAGCCTGTTTACATTTAAGGTTAATATTGTTATGTGTGAATTTGATCTGGTCATTATCATGCTACTTGGTTATTTTGCTCATTAGTTAATGCGGTTTCTTCATAGTATTGATGGACTGTACAATTTGGTATGTTTTTGCAGTGGTTGGTACCAGTTTTTCTTTTCCATATTTAGTGCTTCCTTCAGGAGCTCTTGTAAGGCAGGCCTGGTGGTGACAAAATCTCTCAGCATTTGCTTGTCTGTAAAGGATTTTATTTCTGCTTCACTTATGAAGCTTAGTTTGGCTGGATATGAAATTCTGGGTTGAAAATTCTTTTCTTTATGAATGTTGAATATTGGCCCCCAATCTCTTCTGGCTTGCAGGGTTTCTGCAGGGAGATCCGCTTTTAGTCTGATGGGCTTCCCTTTGTGGGTAACCCGACCTTTCTCTCTGGCTGCCCTTAACATTTTTTCCTTCATTTTGACCTTGGTGAATCTGACGTTTATGTGTCTTGGGATTGCTCTTCTCGAGGAGTATCTTTGTGGTGTTCTCTGTGTTTCCTGAATTTGAATGTTGGCCTGTCTTGCTAGGCTGGGGAAGTTTTCCTGTATAACATCCTGCAGAGTGTTTTCCAACTTGGTTCCATTCTCCCCGTCACTTTCAGGTACAATCAAACATAGGTTTGGTCTTTTCACATAGTCCCATATTTCTTGGAGGCTTTTCTCATTCCCTTTCATTCTTTTTTCTCTAATCTTGTCTTCATGCTTTATTTCATTAAGTTGATCTTTAATCTCTGATATCCTTTCTTCCACTTGATCGATTTGGCTATTGATACTTGTGTATGCTTTGCGAAGTTCTCGTGCTGTGTTTTTCATCTCCATCAGGTCATTTATGTTCCTCTCTAAACTAGCTATTCTAGTTAGCAATTCCTCTAACCTTTTTCAAGGTCCTTAGCTTCCTTGCATTGGGTTAGAACATGCTTCTTTAGTTTGGAGGAGTTTGTTATTAGCCACCTTCTGAAGCCTACTTCTCTCAATTTGTCAAACTCATTCTCCGTCCAATTTTGTTCCCTTGTTGTAGAGGAGCTGTAATTCTTTGGAGGAGAGAGGCATTCTGGTTTTTGGAATTTTCAGCCTTTTTGCGCTGGTTTTTCCTCATTGTCGTGGATTTATCTACTTTTGGTCTTTTATGTTGCTGACCTTCAGACGGGGTTTTTGAGTGGATGTTCTTTTTTGTTGATGTTGATGCTATTCCTTTCTGTTTGTTGGTTTTCCTTCTAACAGTCAGGCCCCTCTGCTGCAGGTCTGCTGGAGTTTGCTTGATATCCACTCCAGACCCTCTTTGCCTGGGTATCACCAGCAGAAGTTGCAGAACAGCAAAGATTGCTGCCTGTTCCTTCCTCTGGAAACTTGGTCCCAGAGGGCCACCTGCCAGATGCCACCTGGAGTGCTCCTCTATGAAGTGCCTGTCGACGCCTGCTGGGAGGTGTCTCCCAGTCAGGATGAATGGGGGTCAGGGACCCACTTGAGAAGGCAGTCTGTCCCTTAGCAGAGCTTGAGTGCCATGCTGGGAGATCTGCTGCTCTCTTCAGAGCTGGCAGGCAGGAACATTTAAGTCTGCTGAAGCTGCACCCACAGCCACCTGTTCCCCCAAGTGCTCTGTCCCAGGGAGATGGGAGTTTTATTTATAAGCCCCTGATGGGGCTGCTGCCTTTCTCTCAGAGATGCCCTGCCCAGAGAGGAGGAATCTACAGAGGCAGTCTGGCTACAGTGGCTTTGCAGCACTGGGGTGGGCTCCACCCAGTTTGAACTTTGAGGCAGCTTTGTTTAAACTGTGAGGGGAAAACCACCTATTCAATCCTCAGTAATGGTGGACGTCCATCCCCCCACCAAGCTACAGCATCCCGGGTTGACTTCGGACTGCTGTGCTGGCAGTGAGAATTTCAAGCCAGTGGATCTTAGCTTGCTGGGCTCTGTAGGGGTGGGGTCCGCTGAGCAAGACCACTTGGCTGCCTGGCTTCAGCGCTCTTTCCAGGGGAGTGAATGGTTCTATCTCGCTGGCATTCCAGGCACTACTGGGATACAAAAAAAAAAAAAAAAAAAAACTCCTGCAGCTAGCTCGGTGTCTGCCCAAATGGCTACCCAGTTTTGTGCTTGAAACACAGGGCCCTGGTGGTATAGGCACCCGAGGGAATCTCCTGGTCTGTGGGTTGCAAAGACCATGGGAAAAGCATAGTATCTGGGCCTGAGTGCACCGTTCCTCATGGCACAGTCCCTCACTGCTTCCTTTGGCTAGGGGAAGGAGGTCCACAACCCCTTGCACTTCCTGGGTGAGGCAACGCCATACCCTGCTTCGGCTCATCCTCCATGGGCTGCACCCACTGTCTAACCAGTCCCAGTGAGATGAACCTCAGCTGGAAATGCAGAAATCACCCACCTTCTGCATTGATCTCGCTCGGAGCTGCAGACTGGAGCTGTTCCTATTCGGCCATCTTGCCAGCCATCAGATCATTTTGTAATGTTATATAATGGTCAAGTACTGCAAATCCCAACTACAAGTACAAAACAAGATATCTTGAAATTTTATAATTTGATGTTTTACTGTCACAGGAACATTTGCAAGTGAAATGGGGTATAACTGAAATAAAAGTTTTTTATTCATTTCTTTTATATGTTTACATTTAATTAATTAATTAATTAATTTATTTATTTATTTTGAGATGGAGTCTTGCTCTGTCACCCAGGCTGGAGTGCAGTGGCGTGATCTCAGCTCACTGCAAGCTCCACCCCCTGGGTTCACGCCATTCTCCTGCGTCAGCCTCCCGAGTAGCTGGGACTACAGGCACCCACCACCACACCCAGCTAATTTTTTGTATTTTTAGTAGAGATGGGGTTTCACCGTGTTAGACACGATGGTCTCAATCTCCTGACCTCGTGATCCGCCCGCCTCGGCCTCCAAAGTGCTGGGGTTACAGGCATGAGCCACCGTGCCCGGCCTATTCATTTATTTATTTATTTAGAGACGGAGTCTCGCTCTGTCACCCAGGCTGGAGTGCAGTGGCGCATCTCGGCTCACTGCAAGTTCCGCCTCCCGGACTCACGCCATTCTGCTGCCTCAGCCTTCCAAGTAGCTGGGACTACAGGTGCCCGCCACTACGCCCAGCTAATTTTTTTGTATTTTTGGTAGAGATGGGGTTTCACTGTGTAAGCCAGGATGGTCTCGATCACTTGACCTTGTGATCCGCCTGCCTCAGCCTCCCAAAGTGCTGGGATTACAGGCGTGAGCCACCGTGCCCGGCCATTGATTTATTTTTATATTGACTGATTAATTGGCAAGGTCTTCTCTGTTGCCCAGGTTGGAGTGTAGTGGTGCAGTCAGCTCACTGCAGCCTTGAACTGCCAGGCTCAAGCCATCTTCCCACCTCAGCCTCCAGAATAGCTACTGGTGCGTGCCACCATGCCCAGCTAATTTTTGTATTTTTTTCATAGAGATAGGGTCTCACTATGTTGTCCAAGCTGGTCTTGAGCTCCTAGGCTCAAGTGATACTCCTGACTTGGCCTCCCAAAGTGTTGGGATTACAGGTGTGAACCACCATGCTCAGCCAAGATACAGTTTTTAAATCATTGATTCTTTGGAAAAGCTATTGGGGAAAGGAGGGTAGCTTTCCCCAGGTTTGGAAATTAACTCCTACAGGAGGGGATTCCCATTCTCTCCCCAAAATTTCTTTGTAGAACTAGAGCAAGGAGCTGGAGAAATCTCTTAACAAGTCTCACAACTTCAGCGTACCAACTACAATTACATTCTACTCACCATCTGGTAATTAGTTATCACTTAATAAAGATTTCTTTTGGCACTTGCTGTCCTAAGCCCCCAACACAGGACCTGTGCCAGTTTCCCCTCCAGACCTCCCAACAGAAATGCCAACAGCTGCCCAGAGTACAGACCTGTCTCTTCCTGGAATTAAGGTGCCCAGGATGGAGGGAGGGCTGTTAAACTCAGATTATCCCTACAACTGTCCTAAGAACAGGGTAAGACTTCCTGACAGAAGCTGTTCTTTTACCAGACTCTAGAGAGAACTTCCTGGCAATCTTCCTGTCATTTGCTGACACACACACCTGACCTCTCCTGCCAAGCCATAGGTAGACACACTTTGGGTGTGAAACTGATTTAATAGTCCCATAGACTAAACATAGAAATTGACCCTTCTGGTCTTATTTTTTGAGATGGAATCTCACTCTGTCACCCAGGCTGCAGCAGTGGCACAATCTCAGCTCACTGCAACCTCCTCCTCCTGAGTTCACGAGATTCTCCTGCCTCAGCTTCCTGAGCACCTGGGATTACAGGTGTGTGCCACCACGCCCAGCTAATTTTTGTACTTTTAGTAGAGACGGGGTTTCACCATGTTGGCCAGGCTGGTCTCGAACTCCTGATGTCAGGAGATCCACCCACCTCAGCTTCCCAAAGTGCTGGCATTACAGGTGTGAGCCACTGAGCCCGGCCAACCCTTCTGGTCTCAAAGCTTAAAACATGTGTTTGTTTTATCCGAGTTCCTTCCTTAGGAAGTGACCTTCAGGTTTCTCAAAAAAGGATCAAAGAAGTGAAACTCATCAGATCACCACATCTACACAATGAGATGCTGGACCCCTCATTCATCCTGATTTTTTCCTTGCCTTTCCCTAGTTCCTGTTTTCTTACATATTGTTTCATTTCTTCCCAGCTATATAAACCCTTAGTTTTAGCTGGTCAGGGAGATGGATTTGAGACTGAGCTCCCATCTCCTTCTCTGTAGCACCCGATTAAAGCCTTCTTCCTTGGCAACAATCATCTCAGTGACTGGCTTTTAGTGCAGTGAGTAGTAGGACCTAGACTCAACCCCTGATGTTTTGGTAACATGGTGAAAAGATACATGGATGGTATTTGATTTCCATGGCTAGGGACAAGCTAGAACAAGGCTATGGATAGGCTGATTTAAATTTTTAGCCAAAAGTAGTGTATTCAATAGAGGATGACACAAAAAATGACCTTGCTAGATCCATATAACCTCCTCACAATGTGATCAAGACAAATCTAAATTAGGAGTAAGGAATGCAGTGGGCTCTGCAGTAGTTGACATGTGTGTACTAATGGGATGGATTCCTTTGGAAGAAATGCAGGATGAGGCTATGGCTTACGGACAGGAGAGTAAGACTGGAAGGGGAAACACATCCCTCCAGTGGAGCCAAGACATGGTCATTGTATCTCCAATCACGTAGTGAGGGCGGCTCTCCATTTCTGAGGACATTGGCAGGTCTTGCACAGAACTCTTATCTTTCTGGATGAGACTCGATTCTCCTCTTTCACAGCCTCCAAATCATTGCCTCTCCAGGTACAGCATTTTCATCAAAGAAGAATCAACTTGAGGGGAAGAGAGACTCCTAATTCCAGCTCAGCCACTGACCAGCTCTGAGACTTTGGGCAGGTCACATGACCTCTTAAAAGTCTCAGCTTCCAGCTGGGTATAGTGACTAATGCCTTTAGTCCCATTTTGGAAGGCTGAGGCAGGAGAATTGTTAGAGGGCAGCAGTTTGAGATCAGCCTGGGCAACATAGCAAGACCCCCATCTCTACCAAAAATTTAAAAAAGCTAGCTGGGTATGGTGGCACATGCCTGTAGTCCTAGTTACCTGAGAGGCTGAGGTAGGAGGAACATTTGAGTCCAGGAGTTTAAGGCTACAGTGAGCTATGATCCTGCCACTGCACTCCAGCCTGGGGAACAGAGTGAGACCCTGTCTCTTAAAAAAACAAGTCTCAGCTCCTTATCAGTAATGTGGGTGTGATAATGAAGTCACATAAAATGAGGGCATGTGGAAGAACACCTGCTGCAGTGACGACACTGCGGATGAACAATACAATGGAATATTTTTCATCTTTTGGTTACCCTGTGATCAAGGGAATAGGTACCCTGTGATCAAGGGAATAGGTGAGCAAGGCATAGGATGCTGGTCTGATGAAAACAAATACAGAATATCTGTGTTATTTTCATAGAGGTCCCATAAAGGAGGCATTACTAATATTCCCATTTTACAGATGAAGTAACTGAGGCTCACACTTTTGTGGTTTTAAGCACATTACTTTTTAAAACTGATTTTGAAATAATGATGGATTCACAGGAAGTTGCAAAAACAGCAGAGGCCCCGTGTACCCTTCATCCAATTTCCTCAATCGTTGCATCTCCCCTGACTAGAGTCCAAGAGGGGCTTTCCATTTCCTCACCTGCACACCTCAGAAAAGGAGCTGGCCTCCCGGAGGCTGACTCAGGGGCCTGGTTGGAGCCACTGCAGGGCTTTTATTAGGACAGAGGAATAGATTTCAGTGAGCTGGGGAGCTGTGCTAATATTCCCATTGGAGATTTATAAGACAAGACAACGCTGAGACTGGCTGACATTGTGAGAATGCTCCTGCCTCCACGAAGGAAATCGGCCCTACCAATTCAACGATCCTGCCAAAGGAGACAGCCAACTCGCCCCCCGGCCCTTCAATCTGTTAGCCAGGCGCTGGACACCGGCAAGCTGCCAGTCACTAGATGGGCATTTAGCGATGAAAGGTTCGTCACTTTCATTGCTTAGTCCCTCCTGCTTCTCAGCTCTTCCCTCCAAGTGACCACTATCTGCCGCCAGCAGACGCAAACAGCCAGTTCTCCTGGGTCTCTTCTCCACTCCAGCTTGTGAACTTGGAAAAGCAAACAGCTCCCACATTTCTTACTGCACTGTTTATTTGATGGGAGTTATTTCATCAGTCATTAACATCTTTCCCTGAGAACCAGTTCCCAAGAAAGACGAACTCGAGCCTCTTCTCCAGCATGGATGCTGCATATGGAGCCATGCTATCTGCAAGACCTTAGTGATCCCTTCCAAACATTTGACAAGTGTTGCCCCTTTCCTGATGGCCATGATGCCCCAGTAGCCCCTTTCCCTTCTCCCTACTCATCTGGGGGTCAGGGGACACCCTTTTGCGGCTGCTGCGTCCCAACCTGCCCCAGGGTCTGGTGTCCTGCCCCGGCTCCTGAAACCAAGGGAGGGTAATGGCAAAAAACAAAGAATACTTGTATTCCTTAAAAAAATAAAGGAGAAATGTTCTCTTTGACCCCCAGTAAAACAAAAACCCTTACAGAAAAAAGCACCCTGCTCAGCTGCAAGAAGGTGAAAGTTTAAATGTGGACAGAGTAGTAATATATAAGCAGTTTCTTAGTTTTCTGATGGGAATACTTAACAACCTAAGTATGTCTCCCCAAGAGGTCATCTATTATATTTTGTCCAATTTCTTCCTCCAAGAACTGAATCAATTCATGATGTAATGCCCAAGGGAGAACAATCTTCTGGAAACAGAGTATCTTTCTGGGGACAAGGTTGAGGAAAACATCTTAATATTGTTACAGCTTTTGGCCCCGTGGAAACAGGCTTTGCTTGTGGATGGTACAGTGAGAGGGAAAGGCAGGAAAAGTCAAAGGGACACACGCCTCACAAGTGCCGGGGATATGGCTAGGATTGTTTTCTTCTCTTGGAGAAATACAGGGTAGAGATCCACCCAGACATTTATAGGGCAGCTCTAGGGCACTGGGCACAAACCTTAGGGACTGAACTCAGAATGTTCCTTAGACAGAGTGCTGACACTGGAAGGCAGACACAGTGCTGACCTAGATTATTCACTTTTTTAGAGACAGCATCTTGCTGTCTTGCCCAGGCTGGAGTGCAGTGGCGCAATCATAGCTCACTGCAGCCTCCAACTCCTGGGCTCAGGGATCCTTCTGCCTCAGCCTCCCAAGTATCTGGAACTACAGGAGCGTGTCCTCACATCTGGCCTATTTTTGTATTTTTAGTGGAGACGAAATTTTGCCATGTTGCCCAGGCTGGTCTCAAACTCCTGGCCTCAAGTGATCCTCCTGCCTCAGCCTCTCAAACCGCTGGGATTAAGACAGGCATGAGCCACTGTGCCTGGCCGACTTCTGCTTTAAACAGTGCTGCTTCTGTCTTCTTCCTGCTCCCAACCCCTCCCCCACCCCAAATATGAAAAGAACATGTAAGTCAACATTCATCATTCAGTTAATTTTAAGAAAATAGATGCAACTTTGGATTATTTGAGATTCTGGATGGCTTCAAAACTCTGTTGTGGGTCACTTTCACTGGATCCCCAACTAAAATCTGAAAGACCAGCCAATAAGAATCCAAATGGCCTGACATCCTCAAGCATGGGAAGGGGAGCCAGCTGCAAGATGGAGGCGGTGGCTGAGGCAGGGAAATAAACCACAAGCTGAGGGTCAGAGGCCTCCAGCCTTTCCCAGCATGGCCGTGGCCCGCTCCTCCAAGCGCTTCCCTCTGGCTGTCTCATTCATAAAAATGGAAGCAATAGCACATCTCCCTCTGTGCTTCCAGAGGCAGGAAGATCTCACAATACCTTAGAAGGATGTTTTATATGTTTACTATAGTGTGAGTTGCACAAAAAAAAAAAAAGGCAGGGGGAGACAAAGTCTAGATTAAGCATTATAAGGGGGGCAGGATATTTATTTAAAGGAAAGCCGGTTGTTTCCCTCTGTCTCTGAGGGGAAAGAAAGCCACAGTGGGACTTGTTTAAGAGTCTCCAATTTGACTGGAGAAGGTAAATTTGACTGGAGAAGGTAAATTGTTTTTAAACCCGAAAATTTTATTTAGGTTTAAAGGGATCCCTTCAGCTGTCACAAGGTTAAAAAATAGTAAGGCAGAACTTGGATAAACCAAAGTGTTCAATTAGTCCTTTTACCCAAAGAAAGAACTCTATGGCCTACCACATTTAAGTTTGAAGACTAAGAACTTAAAGCAACATTTACAAGTTGAAAAGGGACCTGCTTTTCCCCCCAAGACTCTAGTGCCTCCTCCCTCACATTTACATTCGCCTCTTGACAGCCTGAGCCACAGATCTTGGCAATACCCACGTACCCACTCATGACAAACTACAAAACACTCAACACGCACTGCTTGAAACTCTTTATATGCCCAGGATGTGCCAGTCAGGCTGGTTTACAGGAATATCATTGGACCTCTCAGTGCTTGGGAAGAGGTTATCTTTCCACTGCCATGCAGTGCTTCTGAGATGCAAGACGTGGGCCGTTTCATCTGCTGTTTATTAGATGGAAAAGTAGCAGCCAACAGAATTTCCAGTTATTTCCACTCACACAGGTGTCTAATATTGTTCAGCAAAACTTCAATGAAGGCTAGAATTTTATGTTTCAAAGGGATGACCAACGGTGAAGTCTTTGCTACCATTATGCGAGGCAGGCTGCCTGGCTTACAATTTGTTTCCCGTATTTCTTGGTTAAGACACAAACCGAGAGCCAGCTGGTTATAGGCAACCATAAATTCAAAGTTATTATTGTGACCAATAATAAATATATTTTGTCAGGGTCATGAAGCACAATGGCACATTACAAAATGAATCATCTTGATGGTGTAGAATATGTTCTCCCCGCAGATCCAAAGCAGGGAACACTTAACAGCCTAAGTGAGGGGGGTTGGAGTCAGTAAACAATGCTGGGGGTTGCATCAGAAAGGAGCCATTGATGCTTCCTACAGTGGAGGCCTTAGGGACGGTAGAAGGCTACTGTCAAGGGGGTTTTGGTGCATATTCGCTGGGTCTGATATTTCTAGAATTCTCAGATTCTTAGTGGTCTCTAAATGTTTAAATACTTAAATTCAAGCATTTATCACTCTTTGGGGACCTCTGTAGAATTTATTTACATTTGGAGTTACTATTATCAGAGTTCATTTAAAAAATATTTGCAAAAAGTAGTCTATTTAAAAGTATTACCACAAATGCAATTTCTTAAGACAAATCTCCAACTTTTTAGAAAGAATGCCACCTGCAAGCTGTAAATATGTGCATTAATTTTTCCCCATAGTATTTGCTTTGGCTGTGACCTATCCGAATACTCAGTTGAACAAGGGCTAAAAATTGTCAAACCGAATTCTTGCTTGAGAGCTGAACTCTTAACTACAGCCAGTTTGAGAGAAACACATATCCAGGTTTAGGGAATATGTTTTGTTTGTTTTGGCTATGACATAGGGCAGAACAGTTTCCATCCCTTCGAATGCATTCAAGAGAGTCTGAAATATTGCACAATAAAAGCCATTCATTATATCTGTCTCCTTTCCCTTCCAAAAACAAAAATGGCTGCCCGGTTCCAAATCTACACAGGGGGCAGGAAGAAGGGAGGCAGAGGGTCACTGGAAATCACCCAAGACTAACACCAGGTTTTTCAGGTTTGAGTCAGGGAATACTTCTGCAATCTTCATTCCCAGCGTTTACTTAAAAAAGAAAAGACAAGACTGGCTGCTTTATTGATTATTCCTCTGTTGTGAACAATTAGAAAATGGACATACTGTATTTTGTACAAACGTTAGGCAGAAAATCTTACATTTTACTTTCGAGTGATTGGCATCCAAACTAAATGTACTTGAACTGAAAAAATCCCATTTTACTCATCTTCTCTATAACGTTTCAACTGTTTGACCCCCATTTTATACTGAAAAATTATTCCCATGTTTGAATCAGACATAGGGATGAACCTATTTTTGCAAGCACCTGCTACTTAGCAGTTATGTGATGTGAAAAAAGAAGAAATTATTGACATTTACTTCCTTGTTTCAACAAGGACCTGGGATATGAGAACACTGGGAATGCAGTTTGTTTTTCAAAAGCAAAAGAAATGCCAGTATCAGATCACTGTATTTGACATTATAAAATATTATCAAAGTGGAAGAATTTTTAAAGCAAACTTTAAGACAGTGAATAAACCATGAGAATAAATTATTAGATATGGCAAATATATGTACTTTTAAATTCCAAGCTTAAAAATTCACACACATACACTTAAGAATTTGGAACTTCAAAAACTTAAGATAATTTGACATTTCTTCAATTACATCTAAAACCAAAATGTTAGCTGTTTGCATCCCTGAAGGCAACTTATTATCACAGAACATAAATCAAGATAGTCAATTTGTATGCCTAGGATAAATGAGAAAAAGACTTAGTCAGCTTTCCAGGTGGTCACCGGAAATTTTGTGATGAAATCCCAACTTACCCTTTAGAAAATGCAAACCTGTATTCTTCTTTAATGTAAATGCTTATTTATTTTCTCTTTTCATGTAAGAGATATAACGCTTACAAAGTATCAAAAAATTAAAAGCAGTTTCAGAAAATATTTGCTTCTCAATTGCCTAGAAATTTCTAAAAACCTTTCTAATAAATCTTTAAGGTCATATCAAAATCAGGCTAAGTATGATCTTGGTTGAAGATGTGGAACAGAAATATGTATCAGTTGAAAGGCAGTAATTACTTATCTTCTCATTTAAGCTATGTTACTCGCAGTCTGTAACACAATTTCATAAACAGAAAAGCATCAAAGAATATGCAAAAATGAACACACCTGCACAATATTAGACAAACTTGAAACTATTAGGCCATAGTATGTTAGTAATTAACCCATTCTAGAGCTAAATCAAGGCTATGCAATAATCTTCAAATAAATTTAAGACACCCCAAAAGGGGGATGTACAATTATTTGCTGTAATTTAATCCCAATTCCACTCACTTGGTCTAGGACTCCAAACCCACAGTGAAACCCTTTAGACACACTACAAAGACACCCAATAGTATGAGACAGAAATGCCTAAGCAATTGAGAACAGAGCAGGTTTCTTTAAAATTTTAGGTACAATTCACAACTTGTAGTCTAGTTTCAAATCCATGCTTTTCCAGATGTATTTATAGGTTAGAATTTAATGAAAGTTAAAAAATACTTAAAAGAAAAACATGAGATGAAGCCAGCCTGTATCACCTAGTCTCAGTTTAATGAATAATGAAATTATTGAATAATAATCAAAGGAGATTTGGAATGGGATGTGCCTTTTGGGTCCCCATTCCTCTAAAACTCCTATTAGTGAATTTGGCTCAAGCATCACTTATTCTGGAAAGAAACTAAACTTGCGTGATCTGAAGGTTGATACCCCCTGGAGGGCTGACAGGTTGGGGTATCTCTTTTTTATCATACCCTGTATTGTAATTTTGTCCCCTTACAGAAAGAAAACTGAGCATCTTGAAAGCAATTTTATTTAGAAATTAATGCCTGGCACATAGTAGTTGTTGAATAAATGGCTGGCAAATTATTTTATTAATGAGTCCATAATCTGCCTACCTAGAATGAGCTGGTGCAGGAAAATTTTCCTACATTAGGAAACAATCCTCAAATGCTAAGGTTACTGAGTAAGGACAGTGACATTTATTATTTATTTGAGAAAGGGTCTCGCTGTCACTCAGGCTGGAGTGCAGTGGCACGAACATGGCTCACTGTAGCCTCAACTTCCTGGGCTCAAACGATCCTCCCTACCTCAGCCTCCAGAGTAGCTGAAACCAACCATGCCCAGCTAATTTAAATTTTTTTTTTTTTTGTAGAGGAAGGGTCTTATCGTGTTGCCCAGGCTGGTCTCAAACTCCTGGGCTCGAGTAATCCTCCTGCCTTGGCCTCCCAAAGTGCTGGGATTACAAGTGTAAGCCACCATGCCTGGCTAAGTTTTACACTAAATCAAACTATAATACAAACTTCAATTTATGAAAATAAATGAGTCATGCTTATTAGGTAATTTTTTAGCAAATTGAATTTTGAATCTTATTTTAATTCACCTTATTTTCTTACTGCTATACAGAGTAGTGTCCAGAGAGAGAATTACTTCTTGATGACTGAATCTTTTAGTAACTTAGGGTCAAATTTTAAATCATAAACCATAGTAAACTAGTTTCCAGAGGACTAGGCTGAACGCAGAGGCACCCAGAGAAGTTGGTTTCCTTGTTGTGTCTCTGATAGCCTGTCATTGCTGGCTTCACTTCTTGCACCCAAATGGTACTACAAGTCTGGGAATAACTGAAGGCCCCAGACAGATGTGGCTGGTCAACCTTTTGCTTCTTCTGGCCTCCTCTCTACCCTCCAAAAAAACCCCTAAACTATGATTTTAAAAAATCCAAAACTTTCTTATATAGTCACAGTGGTATATTGGTAGAAGAATAGACATACAGATGAACAGAATAATGTCCAGAAATAGATCTACACATATAAGGTCAAATAATTTTAACAGAGGTGCCAATGTAATTCAATGAGAAATGGTTAATCTTTTCAACAAATGGTGTTGAATGATTTCCATTAAAAATAAATAACCCACCTTCATCTCACACAAGAAAATTAATGTGGATCTAACACTTAAGTGAGAGCTAAAACTATAGAACTGGAAGAATACACAGGAGAAAATCTTTGTGCCTTTGAGTTAGACAAAGATTTCTTAGCTAGGACACAAAAAGCATGAACCATTAAAGTAAAAACAAGGTAAACTGGACTTCATCAAAATGAAAATCTGTTCTTCAAAAGACACTGCTAAGCAAATAAAAAGACAAGCCACAGAATGGGAAAAAATATTTTAAGAGACATATCCAATAAAGGATGTGTATCCAAATGTACAGATTCTTTTAACTCAATAACAGTAAGACAATAACAGCAACAACAAACGTGGGCAAGAAATTTGGATAGACATCACAACAAGGAAGATATAAAGATGGCAAATAAGCATAGGAAAGATGTTCAATATCATTAGTCATTAGAGAAATAAATCAAAACCCATGAGAAACTACTGCACACATCCTAGAATGGCTACAATGAAAAAAGGCTAACAATACCAGAGGCTGGTGAAGATGTGGAACAAACAAAACGTGTTGCCAGTGGAAATGCAAAATCATGCAGCCACTATGGAAAAGTTTAGCAGTTTCCTAAAAAGGTAAACATATATTAATACTACCACCATACAGCCCAGGAACCCTACCACTAGATATTTATGCAAGATAAATGAAAACATGTGACTATAAAAAATGATCCATATGTGAATTGTTACAGCAGCTTTATTCACATTAGCCCCAAACCAGAAATAATCGAAATATCCATCAAGTGGTAAACTGATAAACAAGTTTTGGTACATCTATAAAATGGAATAAACAAGTATCAGCAATAAACAAGTATCAACTACTTACAGCATGCAAGCATGGGTGAATCTCAAAAGCATTACGCTAAGCTAAAGACACAAAGGGGTATATATTATATGATCTCATTTGTATGACATTCTGGAGAAGACAGAACTGTAACACTAGAAATCAGATGAGCAGTTGTGAAGACCCGGGGTTGGCAGGTAGAAAATTGACTACAAAGAGGTGGGAGGAATTTTGGGGTGACAGAAATGTCCTATTACTTGATTGTGGCACTGGTTACATGGCTGTATAAATTTGCCAAAATTCTGGATGCTTTAAAAACGCGAACTTCACCGTAGGTTAATTATACCTCAATAAACTTGACTTTGAAAGGTAGCTCTTTCAATCTAAAGCATGAACCAGGTATAATTAATCATTCTCTCCTCCACATACCAGGTCTAAGGCCCACCCTCAATTCTGCAGCTTAAGTGGAAGTAGAGGCAGTAGTGACAGAAGATGGAAGCAAAATGGCATTAAGTAGTAGGAACAGAAAATGAGAGGCAGAAAGAAGGCAAGGATGCCAAAATGTGTGTAAGGGGAATGTGCCAGCTAAGATCCACAGAAGAGAACGTAATCATTTTAATTTCAAGGAATTTATCTTACAGATATTTTCAACAAGCCCAATATGGCTTTGTATTTGCTACATTTACTGCTATAATTGCAAAAGCTGGAGATAACTGACATTCATCCATTAGTAAGGAGATGACCACCTTCATTACAGATGTTCAAGGTATATGAAGGGGTTAAAAAAGACTGAAGTAGCAGCACTAGGGCTGTCCATAAAAAGACTAAAGGATACTCATGGCATTTTGTTGAATTAAAAAAACCAAGTGGTAGAATGGCACATATAGTGATCCTGTTAGAAAACAACAAAACGATGCATGCATGTTTATACAAGAAAGGTCTGGAAGGTGCATGCCAGGTGTTAAGTGCTTGCAGAGAGAGCTGCAGAGAGGAGGGTGTGGCTGGATGACACCTGCGTGGAATGCAAGGAAGATAGATGCCATATTTCCACTTTTAAATTCCGTACAGTTCTGTGTTTTTCAATTGATACATACTACTTATGTAAGAAAAAAGTAAAAATAGGGGGCCACACAGGCAACAGCCATTAGGTTATGCACAGAGAAGGAAAAACTTCAGAGGTTGTGCTGCCATCTTCTGGAACAAACAAGAATCTACAGGAACAGAAACATGATGGAAGAACAAGGGTTAGTTACTGCAACGAAAAAACATGGCAGGAAAAAAAACCATTTTGAAGCCAAGCTTTTGATTTAACCATGAATGAAAACAAATGGGAAAACAACAACAACAAAAAACAAAACAAAACAAAAAACAAGAATGACCAAATACAGAAATTATTAATGTTTTACACATCTTGTACAAATGAGACCTGGTAGATAAAACTGCATCTAACTTGCTTTGATTTTTCAGATTTTTTTTTTTTTTTTTAGGAAAAATGCCTATTTGTTATTGACAAATGTCAACAAAATGTTTATAATGAAACATTTTGAAACTAACGGTGTGTTTACATTTTTAACTGCTGCTAGAAAAAGAGAACATTTCACATTTGAAAAACCATGCCCAAATCACAGATTGGAAATGTTTCCCTCATTCTCATTAGCACTTTTTGAGAAATAAAACAAAGCATGTGTAATTTTAAAAATTGAAATACAATTGTGATCATATATCATCATAGAAAACAGGGAGTGAAATAACAATCAATAGTTAGTTGTTAGTCTTCATATTAGACAAGGTAGAAATGCAAAACAATTTTATTAGGTTTCTGAAAGTTTTCTCTTAAAATCAGCAAAACGAAAAAGCTTCAGAGAAGCTAATTCATTCATTTTTTTGGGGTGGGGGGAGTGGTGAGCTTGTTTTTAGTGGTAGAGATTTGCCAACCACACCAAACTAGAAATGGAAAAAAAAAAAGTCTATAAATAATTTACATGTAAAGATAAAAGAATTTTAAAAACAATCCACCCTTGAGCAGAAGAAATTGGGGATCACTTTGAGTGTTAATGTAAAATACATTAGTCTTTAGCAGCAGGAGTTCCAGACCTGCCGGTGCCAAGAAGGTAACAAATAGTCTCTATGTAAGAAGGGGGAAATGGGTGCCCAGCGGGAGCTTTCTTCCCTGCTGTGTTATTTATAGAGAGCTCTATTTGTTAACATGTTTCTGCTATCATGGAGAGGGGGAGTTTAATGATTTAAAGGATTTCAAAGACAATTGTTTAATGATATAATGATTTATGTGCATTCATAAATTCCAGATATATAGCAATTTAGTTTTTCAAACTGCTATCACCAAAACAGCCATAGGAGATGTTGCAAAAGCTAGAGAAACCAAGTCAAGTGCCAGATATTATTAAAAAAAAAAAAAAAAAAAAAGAACCGCTGGAAAACTCAGTGTTAAAAAATCAGTGACCTACTGCCACACTTCAGGTTAGTAAACTAATTTTATCAGTGAGTTTTTGGTTTTCAAAACTTTTAATGGAAAACCATGAATTAAGTCCCAAACTGCCTGTGACTAATTAGAATAATCTGAGAGCCCAGTCTTTAACTGAGCTATATTTTCACCAAAAATAAAAAATAAAAAATAAAAAATTCCTCCCCCCAACACACAACAAAATATAAAGGAATCTTGTTTAAAGGAATGAATAGTTTCACATCAGAGTTATTTCTAAATTATATATTCATTTATAATGATGAATTTATAAGATTGTGGTTACTGAAATAATTTTCTGAAATTTCTTGTTTAGGATTTAAACTATTAAAATAAAAATCTCATTTGAGACAGATAAAACAAGTCATCAAGTCTTCTCTTAAATTTAACCAAAAGGAAAACAAGTTTTATAATTTCAACTTTTGTTAGTTAAAATTTATAGCCAGGTTTTTTTTTTCTAAAGAAAAATACATATCTTACCCGCTTTAAGTCTTCAAGTTTATATTTCCTTCAATTTTCATAAAGTTCCATTAATTCTATCAATTTATCTTTTGTGGGGAAAAAAAAGAAAAACAAACAAACAAAAAAACAAACCTCTTATCCAGATAAAATCAGCCAATTCTAAAAGATGCTTCTAACAACAGAGTCTAAGACTTCAGTGGTAAATATGTACTTAAAAATATATATGCTAAAAAAAAGTCTAAAAATTGAGAGATGTCTTCTTGTGCCTAAAAATAACCTTTTTAGCAAAGTAGTAATAAAGCATTTACTCTCTGGCGGAAGAAGAATATATTTAATAGAATGTTTTCTATCTGAATGATGAAGAAACTTATTTATTTCTACATAAAAGTAGGTTCAACTCAAATGAGTTTATTTATTAGGAACTTTTGAAACACTGAGGTTGAACAGAGAATGGGAACTAGACAGATCATTTCAGCATAGATGGTTACTTTCCCTCTTGCCACAGACTCTGCAGGAAATGTCAATTACTGCTTTCTTTCTCCATTATGTTCAATCCTTTCCAAGGCAGTCAGAGAGCTCTCTCCCTTCCCATTAAGAGAGGATCTTCTCCGGTAGCCTTTGAACTGGGAAGTGGCTTTAGTATTTGCAAGTGTAGATATACAAAAGCTCTTCCTCCTCTTACCAGGTTCATCGGAAGAACCAGCAGCAGGGCCCTGGCTGTTTTCTGGATCTGAGACGGGAGGTGCCATCTGCGGTTTTTGTCTGGAGGACACAGTTTCTTTTATGGGAGACATACTTTCAAATCCACTGCTGTCAAATGTACATATTGTTCTTCTTTTGGCTTTTTGGGAAGTGGAAGGAAGTGGAAGTGAAATCCATACAAGACCTTCGTTTTCTAAATCCTTCTGTAGCCTCGTGCTACGTCGCACTTTGGTTTCACTATTTCTCCTCTGAAAGGTTTGCTCAATGGCATCAGACAAATCTTTAAACAGTTCAGAATTTTCTAAACTAATTTCTACAGAGCTGCCCACACTGGAGGATGGTGTGTGATTTCCATTTTTTTCCAAATGTAAACTTCGACCATCAGAATAACACATGGAACGTCTTCTATCTTTCCTGTCTCTGCAACTCACAACACTGCTACTTTCCATGGGTTTTCTTCCCAAATCCTCACTCTGGCTTTTAGATTCTTTCGTATTTTCAATTAAGACATCTCCTAAACAATGACAGTCTTTTTGTGAATTAGGCATTAAACGATTGCATTGCAGTTTTCCTTCTGCAGCTCCTAAGAAGTCATCCTTTCTTTCACACTTTATGTTTAAATCTGGTGAAATTTTAAAGAACTGACAAAGGTTTTCTGCATT
The DNA here is from genome assembly GCF_000001405.40 of Homo sapiens. Lineage (NCBI taxonomy): Eukaryota > Metazoa > Chordata > Mammalia > Primates > Hominidae > Homo > Homo sapiens. The sequence goes on along the minus strand of NC_000008.11, from coordinate 25,506,898 downwards.
TTGACCACCAGCAGAAAATTCTTGACCCTGCTGCAGGGTCAGAGCAGGTTTGGGACTATCTGATGCCACACGTTCTTCAGTTACAGAAGCACAAGAAACAGGACTGTCAGTTCCAGCTTTTGGTTCATTTTCACTTTCTGACTTATTTTTTGCTTTTGGAATATTTTTATTTTCATTAATGTTCATTATATTTGTATTTGGATCTTCATCAGAAGTAGCATTGCCAAGCGATGAGGAACTTTTTATATAAGAGCAGAATTCAGAGACATCATATTTATCATAGCCTTGATGCATATGCAAATCTGGGTCATGACGCAAAAGATCCTTTCTTTTCACTGGATTTTTAGGAGTCTTCACTTCTTCCAGTTTGCCATTTGAACTGAAATAACCTATGGGCATGTAAATAGGTTTAAATCTAATTAAAAAGTAACAATGGGAATGAACTTTACATTTATTAAATAATCAGGTGACCTGTTTTGTTTTTGTGTTTTAAGCATTCACAAGACCCACAAATGTTACACTGTGCTTGCCCTTCTGTCATCCTCCTCCTCCTCTTTTAGTTCTCCAACGATCCACAGGTTAAGAAAATAGGTATTCAACGCATGAATTAATAAAGCATATAACCTCAAACCATGAAAATGAGAACAGCATCTGAAACAGCTTCCTCCATTCTAACACCCTTCCCGTGCTACAAGGTCCATGAGTATGAGGCAGTGACATTTCCCATTTCCCTGAAAATGAATGACTGCAAATGGGCAACATTATGCTTCTGAAACTTTCTACCAATGTATCCTCCGAAACAGGGGAGGGAAAATTTGGAATTCTGGGGTATTTGAGGACTTATGAGCTAAAACAGCATGCCTGAAGACACTCAGGTCTCATGCCCTTTGTTAAAAATTACTATAAAGTGCACTGTACTCCGAAACAGAACCAGGTTTGTTTCAATATTATAAAAATCGACCCTTAATTCCTCAGCCTTTGACTAAATATCCTCCAGGAAGACACGTGTGGGTAGGCTTTCATGTATTTCTGGCACATCAGAGGTGGAAAAACCATCATCAGATTGGTAAGTAACACAGCCCACATGAGTTCAGGCTTTATGAGTTCTAAATCTTAGAACTAACTATTAGATGCAATCTTTTTTGATACCTCAGATGATATTTTTAAGTGGCCAGTCAAATGAATAAAGTGTTTTAAATAAAATAAAAACTAAAAAAAGTATAAAACATAAGTTGAGCCAAAAGTCTAAAAAAACAATGTTTCCATTTAAAAATATATCCATGATTAAGGTACTTAAAATCATGTCACTTAAAGCTAGAGATTAAACAGGTCAGTGCCCACTCAGTGCCAACCAATGTTAGTTGGGCTCTTTAGACAGCTTTAAAAATTGATATTTATGGCCGAGCACAGTGGCTCACGCCTGTAATCCCAGCACTTTGGGAGGCCGAGGCAGGTGGATTACCTGAGGTCAGGAGTTTGAGACCAGCCTGGCCAACATGGTGAAACCCCGTCTCTACTAAAAATACAAAATTAGCCAGGCATGGTGGCGCGTGCTTGTAGTCCCAGCTACCTGGGAGGCTGAAGCAGGAGAATTGCTGGTACCCAGGAGGTGGAGGTTGCAGTGAGCCAAGATTGAGCCACTGCACTCCAGGCTGGGCGACAGAGTGAGACTCCATCTCAAAAAACAAACAAACAAACAAAAAGATATGTATTTCGCATAAAATCCAACATACTAGAGAAGGAAGGTAAAGAAGATATAGGGAGAGAGGAAAGGAAAAAGAGAAAGAGATAGAGAAGATAAAGGAAGCAAGGAGCTGAATTGCTTTAAACCCATGTAGCAGGTGATACCACTGGTTACAGACAAAAAATGCTTTAGGTATTTTAAAAAATAAATTCTCTAATACGATACAACATGGAAAATTTTACTACAGTCACTGTTTAATCATCTTTTGAAAAACTGTTAAGAACTAGAGATGTAATGAAAATAAGACTTAGTTTCCACTCTCAAGGAGACTGAAGTTTTAGGGAGCAGGGGAACATAGAAAATAGATCATCATAAAACTAGGTGATGGAAGTATGTTGCAGAGTATTCCTGGAAAAACAGACAATACAGCAAAATCTTGGAAGATAAGCAACATTAGGTCAGATTAAAGGTAGAGTGGTGGATGCCCTGTCACAACACAGCCTGTGAGAAAGCATGGCAGGAGAAGAGTGTGAGCCAGGGCGTATGCGACAGAGGGGTGGCTGTTTATTTAAACTCCTGTGCTATCCTAATGTTAAGCAGGACGCAGAAGCCAGGAGTCAATGGTGGCATGTACCTCATTCATCCTCAAGTCTATTATTAATCTTGTATGGTATACCGCAAATAGGAGGTAGGCTATAAATATCTGATGATTGACAAAGGTAGCCATTTGAAAAATGATTCTATACAAATCAACACACCAAATGGACACACATTATCATTTTCAGGCAAGACAGCGTGGCTCTTGCCTGTAATATCAGTAGTTTGGGAGGCTGAGGCAGGAAGATTGTTTGAGCCCAAGAGTTTGAGACCAGCCTGGGCAACTCAGGGACACCCATCTCTACTAAAAATTAAAAAAAAAAAAAAAAATCATTATTATTTTCAGCAAGATTCAGTCCATTTAAAATTTGGGCATTAGAAACCAGAAACAATTCCAGTCCATTTTTTATCTACCCCATATATCAACTGACTTGATAATAAAATAACTTTCAAGGTAATCAAGCTCAATTTATATGTATTATTTTTAGAAAACAGTAGTGCCAACTCTAACAAAACATCATTGTCCTTAACTCATATAAGGTATACATATTACTGAATCATCACCTCATTGACTTTTTTTGTTCCTTTTTTTTTTAAGAGATGGGGTCTTGCTATGTTGCCCAGGCTGGCCTCAAACTCCTGAACTCAAGCAATCCTTCCGCCTTAGGCTCCCAAATGGTTGGGATCACAGGCAGGTGCCCCAGCTCTCGTTCACTTTCAACGATGGACTACACCACCAAATGGAATTTATTTTCACAAAATGCTTTAAAAAACAAAAGGAAACAGGATGCACAGAAATTATTACTGATATTATATGCAAAATCTTGTGTCTCGGTTTTCCTGGGGAAAGGATCCAGTTTCCATCAGATTCTGAAAAGGATCTAAGTCACCTACAAGTTACACGTGACTGTTTCCTCCATTTGAAATCCTCATGGTAATGTGAGGAAACATTGCTTTTTAAAATTTACGTACTCTTTACATAGTGAATGGGAAAAAAGTGAAAAAAGTAAAATAGCAACAAAGAGGGTGAAGAGAAAAGATAAAATATAACTACCAGGAAAATGTCAGGATACCTGAACCCAGTCTTCGGATGCTCGGAATGGAAGGTGTCATCTCAGGGACTTCAGGCAGCTCGGGAATAGGACTGAGGAGGGGCTTCTTAGAAGCAATGTCTCTTTCCCCATATAAAGATTTCTGAACACTTTTCTTTCCCTTTCCTTTCTTCTTTCTGCAACTTTTTAAAACCTGAGAAAATGCATTAAAACATTGCAATTGAGAAAGATGTAGCACCATGTAAAATTTTGACCCTTTAACTAGTTATTTTTATTTATTTTTGAGACAGGGTCTCACTTTGTCATCCAGGCTGGAGTGCAGTGGCACAATCTCAGCTCACTGCAACTTCTGCCCCTGGGCTCAAGCAAGCCTCCCATCTCAGCCTCCCAAGTAGCTGGGACCACAGGTACATACCACCACGACTGGCTTTTTATTTTGTATTTTTGGTGGAGATGGGATCTCACCACGTTGCCCAGGCTTGTCACAAATTCCTGAGCTCAAGAGATCCTCCTGCCTTGGCCTCCCAAAGTGCTGGGATTACAAGTGTGAGCCACAATGCCCAGTCTGACCCTTCAACTTCTATAATATCTCTAATTATTGTTCATACAGTGCTTTATTGCATAGATAACTTTTATATTTCATTTAAAGTTGTAAGCATCTAAATCGAGGGTAGGAAGTCAGGTAACTTCCACAAAGTCAAATAAACTACAAAGCAGGATTCAGTTTATAAATTGTATGGTAGCTTTCTACATTTCCACAAGGCACTTGCCAAAACTAGGGCTGGATAAATGAAAAAATATATAAGATGCTTTAGAACTGCACAGATATAATGTCATGAGATATCTGTAAGACGCACAGTTGTGATGACTCAGGATTAACCTAGTGTGAATTACATACTGCAAGCTATGGGAGACTGCTTTATGCTCCCAGGTCCGGATGAAGAAACAGGAGGTGTGTATGTAAAATATGAAGAAAACACAAAGCTAGCTGAACCTGCAGATTCAAACAACAGATGACTTAATCAAGATTCAGTCAAACAAAATGGATTTTAACAAGCACAAGCAGAAGATGGAAGACAAAGGTCTGACATTAATTGACTGAAAATGTAGGTTTCCATAAAAATTAAAAGTCGCTTAATAATATCCGGAATGGGGTATTACATTCAATTCTGAGTAACGTATCAGCAACCAAGAAATAATGTTTTATGTTTTTAAAAAAGTTTCATATGGAAAAGACCTTGGGGAAATGCTGTACTGAAATACTAGAAAGACAGACTGTTATGGGCGAAAGGAATGAAATATATTCAATGTGACAATGTTGAAGAGAACCAGAATTTAGGGCCAACATAAAACATATTAACAATTAACACAGGCCAGGCGTGGTGGCTTACGCCTGTAATCCCAGCACTTTGGGAGGCCGAGGTGGGCAGATCACAAGGTCAGGAGATCGAGACCATCCTGGCCAACATGGTGAAAGCCGTCTCTACTAAAAATACAAAAATTAACTGGGCGTGGTGGTGCGCACCTGTAGTCCCAGCTACTCAGGAGACTGAGGCAGGAGAATTGCATGAACCAGGGAGGCAGAGGTTGCAGTGAGCCGAGATCGCGCCACTGCACTCCAGCCTGGCGACAGTGAGACTCCGTCTCAAAAAAACAAAACAAAACAAAACAAAAACAAAAACAAACATCTGGAAAGTGGAATTCATTCACACATTTATTGAGACTGCTGTGTGCCAGGTAATAACTTGCCAGGTGTGGGATCTGGAAGCAAAGAGGATGTATTCTTCAAGGAGCTGCTGGTGTAAAGTAAAGGAGTGACCATACACACGCACCATGACTGGCTGTGTGAACTGTGAAGGTGGGCACCTGGCCTGTAGGAGGTGTTCAAGATCGGCTCCACGGAAAATGTAATGTCTAAGTCAAATCTCAAACAAGCAAGGGCTGTTTTGGCCTACTATGGGGGCGATGCAGAAAGGCTCTTCAAAGAGAAGGGAATGCCATGTGCATGAACTCAAAGTGAGACAGCACAGCACAGGTGCAGGGCTGCATGCAGCAAGACATGGCCCGGCCCGTGGATCCATGCAGGAGTGGCAGGAGCAGAGCCCTTGCCAGTGACTTGAATGAAAGCAATGAAGGCTCACTGCATGGTGACTTCGAGAGTGTCAACGTTTGATCTTAAATTTAAGAAAGGTCATTTGGGTGACAGCACAGAATATATAGGTGAAACTAATGGTGAGATTCAAGAGTACAGAAATGGCACAAAACTATGTGCTCCTTGAGAAATCTATAGATATCCTGTGAAAACAAAACATTCCACGGAAAAATAATTTTAGAACTGTACAAGATGAATGTTCCTCCTGGTGATTTACAGTGTACATTTAACATGAAATTCTATGAGAAGTCCACAGTATAAATAATCTCTATACACATTAGGAAAATGCTGGGTTAAATATTTTTCCAGTAAATATTTTTTTCATGGAACATCTGTTGACATTCCGTGGAACAGTTGGGGAAATGCTGGCTTGGTCAATGAACCTGAAAGCCAAGAGAAAAGAAAAATCTTAACTTGGGGCTCACAGATAAGTTGCAAAAAATAAATAAATAAAAAAAATGGCCTCTGGTGGCAGATACTTTGGGTTAAAGTCTTGACTCTGTTACTTAACTGTTTTATAACCCTGGGCAAGTCAACTTTCTGTACCTCATTCTCCTCTGCAAAACAGAAATCACAACAGCACACTCCACATAAAGCTGTGGGGAATATTAAATGAGTTGACATGTGATAGAGCTGGTTAATGTAGGGCCTGACCCATGGTAAAAGCTATCTTGTTCTTTCAAATTCTTTTCCATTACTTGAGAGTTAATATGAGGAAAAACATGACAACTTTATTTTTTTTAGCCAGGCATGGTGGCACACACATGTAGTCCTAGCTCCTCAGGAGGCTGAGGCAGGAGGACTGCTTGAACACAGGAGGTTGAGGCGGCGGTGAGTTATGATTGCACCATTGCACTCCAGCCTGGGCAACAGAGTGACCCTTTTTAAAAGATAGAAAAAAAAGTTTTAATTGACAAAAATTGAATATACGTATGGCATACAACACCATATTTTGATATATGTATGCACTGTGGAATGATTAAATCAAGCTAATGAACATATCCATTACTTCATATACTTTTAATTTTTAATATTAAATTATGTTATTAGTATTATTGTAGGGCATAGACCCAGTGTGGTCAGTTAATACACTGTGGGCAATGCCACCAGATTATAATCGCCAGAATAGCTTCTGATATATGGGGAAAAAAAAAAAAAAAAAGATCCCCTCTTCACATGATTTTGGAAGTTATGTCCCTGGATCTACAACAGTGCCAAGCACACAGTGGCTACTCCACAAATACGAATGAATGAATGAATGAATGGTCAAAGAAGTACAGTTAAGCTTACATAAAATTTGCTCAACATGATTGAAAGACTAAATTTCTGTTTTTTCATGGTCATGGGCCAAGAGAAGTATATTACCACCCCACCTCTCCCAAAAAAGAACAATTAAAGCACCTCAGGTTTGTCTGTCTGTCCTGAAAATACATCTGGCAGAGCTGATCTTAGTCATGAGAAGATTTCATCAGCAAAGGCCACAAACTTATCAAAATCTGAATTCACCACAGTACAAAAGCCTTGCTGATAGTGTAATAACAGAAGAAGTTGTATATGCTTGGAACCCCCGGGGGAAGCCATTTGATCAATAAATGGTTAGGGTGGATTATGGCTTAGAATCGCCAAAGAACAACTGAAGGGATTGTCCCTAAAGCAATTTCGTTTACTCCAAAATCACTGATTCCTCTTCTCACACAGTGAAGGAGGTCAGGAGGCAGAAGTAAATGTTTATCTTTTGTCTTATTTGCATAATTAAGACTTCTTTAAATTATTTTCAGAGAATAGCTTTAAAATTTTTAAAAACTAATTCAGGCCAGCACGGTGGCTCATGCCCTTAATCCCAACACTTTGGGAGGCCGAGGTGGGTGGGTTGCTTGAGCTCAGGAATTCGAGACAAGCCTGGGCAACATGACGAAACCCCGTCTCTACCAAAAATACAAAAATTAGCTGGGTGTGGTGGTAAGCCATGTACTCCCAGCTACTAGGGAAGCCTGAGGCAGGAGAATCACTTGAGCCTGGGAGGCGGAGGCTGCAGTGAGCTGAGATCGAGCCACTGCACTCCACCTGGGTGACAGAGAGAGACTCTGTCTCAAAAAAAAAAAAAAAAAAAAAAAAAAAATTCATGGACATGGCAACAAATCACACCATATAGGAGAGGTTACGGTGATCAAGCACACACTTGCCTGCCCCTGGTGCTTACTTATCTGCTGGCTCCACTTTTAGCTCTTGCAGTTAGCTCCCTCTCTCTGATAAAGGGCTCATACTGCTATATTTTTAACTTTTGATTATGGAAAATTTCAAACACCCAAAAAGTACAGAACCCCATGTACCCATCAGCTACTTCAACAATTACTAGCACATAGAAATCATGATTCATCTATACTCCCCTAACCCCAGATTATTTTAAAGCAAATCCCAGACGTTACACATCATTTCATCTGAAAATCCTGCAGTGTCTTGAAGAGTTAAAGGTTCTTTTTCTATTAGAGACAATTACAAATATGGTTCAACAATAAAAAGAACTACTGATACACATAACAACCTGGACAAATCTCCAGAGAATTATGCTGAGTGAAAAAGCCAGTCCCCGAGTTACACAGTACATGACTCCATTTGGGTAACCTTTTCGAAATGACAAAACTGTAGGAATGAAGAAAGATTAGTGGTTGCCAGGGGATGAGGCGGGGTTATGGGTAGGAAGTGGATGTAGCTACAAAGGGCCATGGGAAAGCTGTCTGGATCTCGGCTGTATCAATATCTTGGCTGCGACCCTGAACTATGGTTTCGCAAGATGTCACAATTGGGGGAAACTAGGTAAAGGGTACTTGGGATCTTTCTGCATTACTTCTTAGAAGAGTGTGTGTATCCAAAATGATCACAAAACTTAAAATGTACACCAGGGATAGAGGCTCATATCTGTAATCCCAGCACTTTGGGAGGCCTGGGGGGCGGGGGGGGGGTGCAGATTACCTGAGGACAGGGGTTTGAGACCAGCCAGGCCAACATAGTGAAACCCCGTCTCTACTAAAAATACAAAAATTAGCTGAGCATGGTGGTGCACACCTGTAGTCCCAGCTACTGGGGAGGCTGAGGCAGGAGAATCACTTGAACCGGGGAGGAGGAGGTTGCAGTGAGCCGAGATCGTGCCACTGAACTCCAGCCTGGGCGACAGAGCGAGACTCCATTCCAACAAAACAAAACAAAACAAAATGTAATTCAACAAAACACAAAAACCATGATGGCAATTTTCCCTAGTATCTCCTCAAAGTTCAAATTTCTCCCTTGGCCCATAATTTCTTTTTCTAAAACAACTGTTCTAATCAGGACCCCAATAAGATCTCCACACATACCATTTGATTCATGTCTTTTAGTCTCTTTTATTCTATGGCTCCTTTTTTACTTCCCTTGACATTTATTTGGTGAGTAAATTGAGGCATTTTTCCTATAGAATTAGCCAAGTCCTAGATTTGGCTCACTACAGTAGGTGAGTCTATGTTCCTCCATGTCCTATAAATTGGTAATTAGATCTAGAAGCTTGATTAGATTCAGTTTTGATGGGCAAATTTGAATACAATTGTATAACCAACAAATTAAAAATTGCATATAGCATGGTGGATGAGAGGTTTTGACATATGTACACATTGGGAAATGATTAAACTAACATATCCACCACTTCACATAATTATTTTATGGCAAGAACACTTACAATGTCATCTCTTAGCAATTTTCCCATATACATTATTATTTCCTAGTCACCATGCTGTACAACAGATCTCCAGAACTTACTCATCCTAACTGAAACTTTGTACCCTTGAACCAACATCTCCTCATCCCCCACCACTCAAGCCACTAGCCCCCCTGACAACCACCATTCTATTCTCAGCTTCTGTGAGTTTTTTTTTTTTTTATTTTTTATTTTTTAAAGATTCCACATGTAAGTAAGATCTTCTTGTCTCTCTGTGCCTGGACTATTTTACTTAACGTAATGCCCTTAAGGTCCTTCTATGCTGTCAAAATGACAGGATTTCTTTAAGGCTGAATAGCATTTTGTTGTGTGTGTACACACATATTTTTTCTTTATCCATTCACCTGTTGATGGATACTCAGCTTGAGTCTGTAACTTGGTTATCGCTCTTTGATATACTGATTTCCTTTGGATACATACCCAGAAGTGGGATTTGCTGGATCATATGGTAGTTCTATTTTTAATTTTTTGAGGAACCCCCGTAATGTTTCCCACAATGGCTTGTGAAAATGGATTATTTGGAGTCACTGTGTCATAAACAACTAGAGTCCAGAGACCAGGGGAAAAAAAGCACTTGGGACTGTAAGACTAAATTTAACTACCACCATCACTCACCAGAGTTTACCAGCTCCCCAAAATTTTGCTTAGGGCCAGTGAGTTTTTTTTCTAAATAATATGTAACATTTCTTTTTCTACTAAAAACCCCAACTTTCTACGTTCTTAGGACATATCAAAGACCACCTCGGTCTGTGTGTTTGCCCCAAACTGCAATTACGTTTTCCCAAATAAAACATTTTGTTTAGAGATTCAGTTCTATATTTTTAGTTGACTTTGCCAATCAAAACAGGCTGTAGCAATTTACATTCCTATTGATAGTGTACAAAGGATTCCCTTTTCTCCATATCCTCTCCAACACTTGTAATCTTTCATCTGCTTGATAATAGCCAGTGATATCTCATTGTGGTTTTAATTTGCATTTCCCTGATGATTAGTGATGTTAGCCATTTGCATGTCTTTTGAGAACTGTCTATTCTGGACCTTTGACCATTTTTAAATTGGTGTGTTCTTGCTAATGAGCTGTTTGAGTTTCTTATACATTTTGGCTATTAACCCCTTATCAGATGTATGGTTTGTAGTTACAGTATCTTCTCCCATTCTATACGGTGTTTCTTTCCTCTGTTGATTGTTACTATGTCACATCAGCCTTTTATCAAACGTTTTAAGCAGCTTTGTTGAGCATTTCTTTTATTACCTGAAATTCTTCTATAAACAACTTTTCCCTCATCAACTATTTGTTTACCTGAAATAGAGCTCAAATTTTATTTTCCTGTTATCAGAAAAATGAGTGGGTATCCTAGCAAGCTTCTAAAGTGTCCATTAATTAAAAAAAAGTAATAAACTTATGTGTTATTTCATGATTGTACTTCAATGCTTTGCAATGCTGATGATCATATCTGGTCAGTGTAAGTCCCTTGAAGATGGATTTGTGTCTGTTAACATGACACCAGTAGTTTTTTTTAGCATCCTTCCTTGTACTCTGGTACAGACCCAACCAGGCTCACTTATTAAATTTGTTGTTGTAAATCTGAAAGCAGCCATTTCACCAAGGGACCCTAACCCCTTTTAACTGGTATGTCTAATGATAATCTATGCACCAGGGATGCTCATGAATTTTAAGCTTTATCAATGGATAGAGCTGGACAATTCTTTTAAATGGAAAATAAAATGAGTTTCTACTCTTATTTCCAATTCAAATTTAGTCTTCCAAAGTTTTAAATTTGTTGGATTTAAAAATATATCTTTTGTCTCTGAGTGCACATCTTGATTCTTAATGATGGGAAAAATTGCTTATTTGCTTTATTCTAAATTCAGTGCTTCTATTGAGTGTTTCATACTGTTTATAATTTCTTTGCAGTTATTTTTGTCCTTAAGATTTATCCCCCTTATAGGGCCAGGCGCAGTGGCTCACGCCTGTAATCCCAGCACTTTGGGAGGCCGAGGTGGGCGGATCACGAGGTCAGCAGATCGAGACCATCCTGGCTAACATGGTGAAACCCAGTCTCTACTAAAAAATAAAAAATAAAAAATTAGCCGGGCGTGGTGGCAGGTGCCTGTATTCCTAGCTACTCGGGAGGCCGAGGCAGGAGAATGGCATGAACCCGGGAGGCGGAGCTTGCAGTGAGCCGAGCTCACGCCACTGCACTCTAGCCTGGGTGACAGAGCAAGACTCCATCTCAAAAAAAAAAAGATTTATCCCACTTATATTCAAATTTCTAGGTTTGAAAAAATTCTTAATGAAGTTAAGCCACCAACTTGACATAGTAAGAATTTGTCAAATTTTGCTTTCGCTTATTAGAGATTGTTCTCTTTCTACTAGTTTTAGTTTTGTTTCATAGTCAGGTAAAACATTTAAATGGTCCCACAATCAAAACTGAAAAACAGTACACACTTAACGAAGTCTAGCTTGCATTCACATTCTCTCCTGTCTCCTCCCTTCTCCCTATAGCCAGTTTTTTATTTCTCTTTGGTTTATTCTTCAACTGAAAAATCAAAACTATATGTGTACTCTACTTTCTTAGACAAAGGGTAATGTATTAGTTTGTAAGGCTACTGTAATAAAATGTCACAAACTAGGTAGTTCAAACAACAGAAACTAATTTTCTCCCAGTTCTGGAGGCTAGCAGTGCAAGATCAGGGTGTTGGCAGGGCTGGTGTCTCTTGGGGCCTCTCTCCTTGGCCTTCAGATGGCCACCTTCTTGCTGTGTCCTCACATGGTTATTTCTCAATGCACACTCGTCCCTGGTGTCCTTATGTGGGTCCGAATTTCCTCCTCTTATAAGAACACCAGTCAGAGTGGATTAGGACCCACCCTATGGATCTCATTTTAAATTAATAACTATTTTAAAGACCAAATCTCCAAATACAGTCACATTCTGAGATCCTGGGAGTTAGGACTTCAATATATAAATTTGGGAAGGGACACAATTCAGTCCATAACCAGTAGTTGACCACATATATTGTTTTATAACATGCTTTTTTCATTTTAACAGTAAACACAGTCATCCCTCAGTATCTGTAGGGAAATTGGTTCCAGGACCTCCTGTGGATACCAAAAATCTGCAGATACTCAAGTCCCCGACATAAAATGGCACAGTATTTGCATAGAGCATATGTAAACTTCCTTTTACAGCATTATACTGTAAAAATACAGCATAATAACTATGCTTTAAAGCATCTCTAGATGACTTAACACCAAGTACAATATAAATGCTACATAGTTAATATGCTGTATTTTAAAATTTTTATTTTTTTAATTGTTGTATTGTTATTGGGTTTTTCTGAATTTTTTTTTTTAAGTAATATATTAAGAAAATACAGATGGGGTTGTGCTATGTTGACCAGGCTGGTCTCGCACTACTGGCCTCAAGCAATCCTCCAATATCAGCCTCCCAAAGTGCTGAGATTACAGGTGTGAGCCACCTCACCCAGCCCTGAGTGTTTTTGATTCAACCAACCACAGATGCTGGACAACAGTATATAGAGGGCCATCTGTGTCCCCTTGGCATCACTGTATAGAAGTGTATGGAAGTTCTCTTCACAACTTTCTACAGCTGCCTAATACTCGCTTTGTGGAAACACCATAGTTTTTTCAACAAGTCTCATATTGATGAGCATATGGTTTGCTTTTAGTCTTTTGCTTTACAAAGAATGCTGCAATAAATAAACATATATTTTTGTATTTTGATCAGTGGATCTTTGAGATGGATTCCTAGAAATAGGCCTGTTGGGTCAAAGGACAAATGAGTATTTAATTTGGCCAGATACTGCCAAATACTCCTCCACAGAGGTCTGCTTTAGCAGAAAATGTATGAGTGTGCCTGTTTGCCCCATAGCCTTACCACGTGAGTATGCTGTCAACTTTCAGATTTTTGGTAATCTAAAAGGTGAGAAACGGCATCTCAATGCACGTTACAGCTGCAATTCTCTTATGATGAGGAAGTCTGAACATTTTCTTCCTGTGCTGAAGGTCATTTTCATTTCAGTTTTGTAAATGTTTTGTTATCTTTTGAAGACTGTTCCTTTCTAAGTAATTTAGAAGCTCTTCAAATATTAGTGACATTAATCCTTGGTGTCTGATATGAGTTGCAAATACTTTTCCCAAGCTTGTTCTTTGTCTTTTAAATTTTCTTATGGGGATTTTTTTCCTTACGCATGCTCCATGCTGTATGGTTCAAAAGATATCAAATTCACCAATCCTTTGCCCTCACTGTTTCTGGTTTTTGAGTCACACTTTGGGAACTTTCTCCATTTCTGGTTTATAAAGGAATTTACTCTTGAGGATTCTAATGCTACTTCTGGTTGAGAAGTGGCATTTAATCTAATTTTAGTTATCTGTCAACATCTTGCTATGAAAGATGAAAAAACTGCTCATTTAAAACCAAACCTGCCTCTTTTCTATGTTAATTGTGGCTCTTCAGTTGGTAAACATTGAACTTTTATATTTCTATTTCTTTTCATTAAATTTTAAAATATATATCTTGAATGTCTCATGATAATGATGATAATGACCACAAAGCTTACTATGGCCAGGCACTGTTCTAAGAGTTGAGCATGCATGAATTCATTAAGATTCAGAAGCTTCTAACATCCATTTCCACCACTGTTTTACAAACAAACAAACACACAAACAAAACAGAGTCCAGAATTTTACCCAGCATTGCACTGGAGGCAGGAATGAACCCAGGATTTAAACCCAGGGGTCTGGTCCAGAGTCTGCACTCTTACCAGCACACCATTAGCCCCCTTGTTTCTACCTTAACTCACTTTTCACCTTCTGCTATTAACTACATTTTCCTATCATTAGATTGTTAATACTCACATTGTCCTGCACAACAACCAAGTTGTTAAAAGCTTCGTCCTTAGTTGAAAACAAATAGCATCTGTATTATTATGACTGCAAACATTTTTCACGGCTCTGCCAAGTACAGCTTTCATACTCTTTTCTTCTCCTCCGGGCCCCTTGAGGGAGATGATTCCTAGCACTATAAAATCTACTTTTCCTTATACTGCATTATTGCTTGAAATCACAGTAATGTTTCCTTCATATTTACTCTAAAACTTTTATATAGACTTTTATTTGAAATGGTATATAATTACCGTTTTTTTCTTATGTGACATACCTTTCATACCATTCATTCTTTCAATCACAGGTCTTTTCCGTTTTTTAGCTCCAGCTCCTTCTCCCTGCTCAAATTTGGACTGGTTGCTCTTCTAGGCTGGCTGAACAGCTACAACCAGCGATTTCCCTTTGATTGCGCTCTTGTATTGTTAGATCCGTTGTGTCCTGAATTCTTAAGCTTAGTTCCTCATTTTGCTAGAGTTCCTCCTCCAGTAGCATCCAAAGAAAAATAACTTTCTGGCTGGGCATGTTGGCTCAAGCCTGTAATCCCAGCACTTTGGGAAGCTGGGGTGAGAGAAGTGATTGAGCCCAGGAAGAGTCTGAGACCAGCCTGGGCAACAAGGTGAGACCCCCCAACCCCCCGCTGCTTCAAGAAAGTAAAAAAAAATTAGCCAGCCAGGCGTGGTGGCTCACGCCTGTAATCCCAGCACTTTGGGAGGCCGAGGAAGGCAGATCATGAGGTCAGGAGTTTGAGACCAGCCTGGCTAACATAGTGAAACCCCGTCTTTACTAAAAATACAAAAATTAGCCGAGCATGGTGGTGCGTTCCTGTAGTCCCAGCTAACTGGGAGGCTGAGGCAGGAGAATTGCTTGAACCCAGGAGGTGGAGGTTGTGGTGAGCCAAGATCATGCATCACTGCACTCCAGCCTGGGCAACAGAGCAAGAGTTCATCTCAAAAGAAAAACAAAAAACAAACAAAAAACACTAGCCAAGCGTGGTGGCGTGCACCTGTAGTCCCAGCTACTCAAGAGGCTGAGGTGGGAGGATCACTTGAGCCAGGGAGGTCAAGCATGCAGTAAGCAGTGACCACAGCACTACACTCCAGCCTGGGTGAGAGTGAGACCTTCTCTCAAAATAAAAAGAAAAGAAAAAAAGAAACACTCAAATGTCTTTTATTTTTTCCTTCACACTTAATTGAGACTGGCTGGGTGTAGAATACTCGGTTGAAATTTTCTTCTAAGCTTTAAATGAACTCTTGTATGATTTTGTAGCTTTCCGGCTATTGCTAGTCTTGATGCCACTCTGGTTCTTATTTCTCTGTAGGAAAAGCCCACTTTCCTCATTATCCTTATTGTTCAGTTTCACAGTTACAGGCCTACCCCCTGGCCCTTCTTCATTGTACCAGTTATTCAGTGGGCGCTTTTAACTTGAAGACTCCTTTCTTCAGTTCTAGGAAATCCTCTTATTTGAATAATTTCTTCCATTCTATTTTTGGGAAATCCTCTTCTTTTATTTGGATGACTTCTCCCATTCTATTTTCTCCTTCTTTTTCCTAAGAGTCCTATGGTGTCTCCTAGATTCTCGTTTCCAGTCTTTCTTTTGCTCTATCTTCTGGGAGACTTTCCTTAACTTTAATTCTTTTGTCCAACTACTAAATTTTATGTTTTTGCAATTCCTTTTTCATAGTATCTCCTTACTTTTATGCAGATGATATTTTCTTAAATTGGAGTGGAGTATTTATGTATGTAAAATTTCCTTCTATTCCTTGAATAACCTATTTCTCTGAAGTCAGTTTTTAACCTTATTAACATTGGTCTTTTCACTTTCATGCTATTTGTTCTATTCAATTGCCTTGTTTCTTATTTAAGATTGGGTAAGTTGGTATATAGGTTTCCTCTGCTTTCCAGCTCAGTCTCTTTCCTGCGTGGAAATCCTACCTAGGGTGGGGCAGAATACTGGAGGGTCAACTGTCAGGATTTGCATTAGGGCAAGAGCTGGCTGTCAAGACTGTGGGACTTTCCAAATGCCAGAATGAGGGCTTTAATCTAGATGACAACATCTGTTCTGAGCATCAGGGTGGGAGGAGGCTGGTGTGCCAACTGGTGCAAACTGTCCCACGTATAGGACTTCAATTCATTTCTCTGTTTTTCAGTACCACCTCTCACTCTCACCATCCATCGTACCTGCCAATTCTGGGCCAGGGTCTCCTGGGATTCCCATGAACAGGCCGGCTCCCAGCTCCTCTCTAGCTCCCTCCTAGCACATTCTGAACTGTAAATCTTTCCACCTTTTTTTATCTGTCAACATGCTCCCATCTGCTTGGTCTTCTAGAAATTCATTGAAGGCTGTCGTCGGCTTCTCAATACCCCTCCTCATCCCTTTCCTCCTCTCATTGCTATTCTAAGTGTATTCCTTTTAGTACCTAAATGGTATTAATTCAGCAAGGTCCTGGGAGGGATTGCAGTGACTTAATGCTCAATCCTTTTTGTACTTTCTGGCCGTAATTTTATATGAATAGGTGTATATTCTTTGTAAGAGTGCTTTAAAATATATATACACACACACACGAAGGAAATCAATTTCTAATGTAATAAGTTGTATGTATATTTTTGAATTAATGGTATTTTTTCAGCAAGATAATCTTTCATCATTTTATCAAGAGTGTGTGACCTAAAAAGGAACTAAAGCAGGAAAACACCTAGTTCCTTCCGGATTTAATGACTTAAGGATATCTGTGCTACTCAACCAAGAAAAGCAGTCATTTTTATTTCATAGAGGGGGAAGGAAGTTTACGGAATGTTTTGGGTGGGTGTATAGGTTGATAAGTTTAGTTTTAGAAATGCTGATTTTGACATAGCATGGTTAAAGACAGATGTCTAGTACGTAGTTGAACACAGATTTACAGATCAGGAAGTTCTGGTCTTCATATATGGTCATTAACCATGCTGTGTATGAAATTACCCAGAAGATAAACAATTTACAAGGGCAAAGAAGAGAATTCTGGAAAACACAAACATTTAACAATGGGGGACAGAAAACAAACCTTAGAGACTGTACAGGAGTGTTCCATCATGTCAAATGCTAAGATGTCCATTAAGAACAGAACTGAAAAGTATGCACTGGCTTTAGTATTAAAAATGAAGTGAAGCGGCAAAGTGGTGAAGAAGAAGGCCAGATGTCAGTGAATGTGTAGTAGTACTATCCCCAACTCCTGTGTGAGTGTCTCTAGGGGCTATGTCAGATGGAAGAGAGGATAACTCAGTCAGACTGGAAATTTTGCTGGATGGATGAGGTGGAAGGAAAAGGATCCGGAATTGAGATTCCTGACAAGAGTTGGAAACAGTTCACTCAGTTCAGGATGAAGAGGGAAACATGAACTTCAGGTGTATCTGAAAGCTTAGCAGTACAGAAGGAACTGCAGAGTAAGAGAGTGAATAGGCTGGATGGACAGGAAGTTGGGGGTCAGAGAATGAGCACTGCTACACGGGCAGTAACAAGTTGTAAGAATGGCAGCAAGAGTGAGTAGGTGGCTTTGGAGTGTGGAGTCCAGATCACTGAGCTGGAGAAGGAAAAGGAACTGGGTTAAGGTGTTAAATTGGCTAACCACATGGACTGTAAGGGTATCTGAGACGACCAGAAGTGTTAAGAAAGACTGAGAGCTAGTTTCTAAACTTTCCCTTAAATTTAGGGAAAAATTTGATTCAGCAACTGGAAGAAGAGAATCTAAGAAGTAGCAAGCGGCACACTCATCCCTGCCTAAAAAAATCAGGATTCCCAATAGGGTAATATGTTGGGGTAGATTCAAAGATGAGAATGAGAATTTCAGGTTTGAGTGCCTATTAATTTACTGTGCAGGAAGTACGCAACACAAGAAGATGAAGAAGACGCAAAAGTGTTCCTTAGGCAATTCAGAGTTAAGTACATAACCCCCCCACCCCATTCTACTCCACGGTAAGATTGCATTAATAATCTTGGTCCAAAGTCAACTGGAAAAAAATGTGTTTCTATATTTTCCTAATTATACAATAAGGAAACACACCACTTCTACTCTTTATTATATCTTTAAACACATGCTTACCTGACTCTTCTTAGGAAGTGCTCTCTTTGTACACTTTGTTTCTTGAGACTTCCTCCTATTAATTTTCTTTTCTTTACAAGGCTGAACTTCTGTATTCAATAAGTTGCAAACACTCTCTTCTACAACACTGACCAATTGCTATAAAGAAAGTGTAAAGTAGGATACCGTAAAGCACAAGCAATTACATGTTAATGTGCTGCTCTCACTCTTGTTGTGCTTCCCAGGATGCTTCTACCACTTTAGATCCCATTTATTCTTAATTCACAAACCTTATTAAAAGCACTTTGATGAAAATTGGTGGAAATGGTAATTACCAATTTCTGAACTATCAAATGCAGACCCAGAAGTATACATATATTACCCAATTATATTAGGGAAGAAAGAAAAAACAGCTTAAGAATTCGTTAATTTATTCACTCATCAACTACTCATTAAGAACCTACAATTTAGCACCTAACTACTGGGTTATGGGGAAAAAAATCATGAATTTTTAGATTATCTAGGTTTGAATCCTGGGTTTAATATCCAACCCTATAAGCTAAATACCCCATAACAGTATATGTTTATACTTTATGATGTTATAAACAAAAATCCAAATTTTATCTAATTTAACGAAATAGCAAAAGACATGCATTCAATGGGAGTTATGCTTATATATAACTCCCAGTTGAAACCCAGTGTTAAAAAACAGACTGAAGCACAATTTAAAAAAGATTATACTTATATTATTTTCTGGTTCTGTTAATTACATGCTGATCTTCTCCATTTTCACCTCAACGAAATTCATAAAATCATATAGATCCCAAACAAATTTTGTTAACTTCCATGTTAACACAGCTCTGAAAGCATCTTTCTAGATTTTTCTTCTAATAGAATTAAAATCAAATCAGAAACACACTATCACCTTATAGGTTACATGCTAGGTAGGATAAAGTATTAGTTTTTTTTTTGAGACGGAGTCTCACTCCGCCCAGGCTGGAGTGCAGTGGCGCCATCTCGGCTCCCGGCAAGCTCCGCCTCCTGAGTTCATGCCATTCTCCTGCCTCAGCCTCCCTAGTAGCTGGGACTACAGGCGTCCACCACCACGTCCGGCTAATTTTTTTGGTATTTCTAGTAGAGATGGGATTTTACCGTGTTAGCCAGAATGGTCTCAATCTCCTGACCTCATGATCCGCCTGCCTCGGCCTCCCAAAGCATTGGGATTACAGGCGTGAACCACGGTGCCTGGCCAAAGTATTAATTCTTAATGACACTGATTAAACTAAGATTTCACCCATTATCATTTGGCCATGAAAACAGAAAAGTATATTGCACGATTTAAAAACAAATACGTTGTGCCAAACACAAACACTTACATTTCTTCTGTTAGAAGTCCTTGTTATTCTACCAACTTTAGGAGAGGATATTTTCTCATGGTTATTTGAAGAACTAAAGGTATCAGTGCCTGATAAACAAGACAAAAGCTAAATCAGGGTAGGAAACCAAAAACTATAACATACATCTTCCTTTGGAAACACTGTGTTTAGGATATCCACCTTTAATACCATATCTAAACAAAAAAAAGAGGAGCCAAGCAGCAGAAATTTTGAAATCCAATTTTTTTTTTTTGTTTTAAAAAATTTTAAGTTTACTGGATACTCAGAAACTTTCGCCACTTTCCATGGTGACTGCTTAACATATTACCAAGCTAAGATAGCAGAATAAATCACATTACAATAAATGCATGTATTTTCATGAACACCCATTTATTCCACGATACATTTTGTATAATGAAATCGCAATAAAGGACATTAAGATAACCATGAAAATACTTTGTTTTAAATTTTATTTAAAGTGTAGGATAGGAAAATTTTATTTTGACCACTTGTTTTTTTTGAGATGGAGTCTCACTCTGTCACCCAGGCTGGAGTGCAGTGGTGCAATCTCAGCTCACTGCAACCTCCGTCTCCCCGGTTCAAGTGATTCTTCTGCCTCAGCCTCCTGAGTAGCTGAGATTATAGGCACCCGCTACCATGCCTGGCTAATTTTTTTTTTTTTTTTTGTATTTTCAGTAGAGACCAGGTTTCACCAAGTTGACCAGGCTGGTCTTGAACTCCTGACCTCAAGTGATCTGCCTGCCTTAGCCTCCCAAAGTAAAGGGATTACAGGCATGAGCCACCGCACCTGGCAGACTTTTAATGATATAAATGAAAGGTGGTATAATATGTTTAAGGGTATGGCCTTTGGAATGTGATAGACTGTGATTCAAATTTTAGCTCTAACTTAGTAACACATGGCTTGGAGTCTACTAGGTTTGGTTTGTGTCAACAAGAAGCCATTAAGGGGTTTCCGCCAGGGAAGACACCTGAATAAAGGTGCCTGGCCCATGACACCTGCCAGCTAAGTCCTGGTTTGTCAGAAAAGCTGGGAGCAATCTGTTGCTTTGTCATAATCATAAAAAATCCAGAGACCTTGGAAAGCACATGTGCTAAAAACGCCACAATGAATGTTGAGGAAAAAGTCTGGATATTTAAGAATGATCCTTACAATCCAGATGTCAATTCTGTAAACTGTGAATAGCAGTTTGTCATTGATACTTAAGAGTTGAGAGGCTAACTCCATTGCTTCTAGCAACTAACAAAATGGGGATTCCATCTGAGGAAGTAAATTCTGGGTGATTATGAAGTATGAGGCTTGGAATGGAAAAGGGATGGATGAATAGCTTCATGTCAGCTTCCCAATACTATTAGGTGTTTTTAAACCAAGTATATGTTGTGGTAACAAATATGAAATTTTTAAAAGAAAACAAAAATAATCAACATATACACATATAAAAAATGACATTTATGATTTTAAGATAAACAAGTTACTACCTGAAAGGGTCTCAGAGATTGATGATTTATTAGGAGAACTGAGAACGGCAAATGATACTTGAAGTGGTTCTATGTTTTCCTAAACAAAGGAAAAGACAGAAGTTAGATATCTTTAAATGCAGTGAATACATAATGTGCCCAAAAGAAGAGTAAGAATTTATTTTGGTAGGAGAAACTATAATAAGCATAAAGATGGGTAATCAATAAAAGATTCTAAAATTCAAAGCAAAACAAAGATATTGAATAGAAAAATATATGTATACCATTTACCAATCATGTTTGCAATGAAATGCTTACTAACTGCAATCCATCAAACTACTAAGAAAATTTATAAGCGAAAGTACACATAATGATCTACTGCTAAATTTCTAACTCCTATAAAGAAAATTTAAAAATTCATTCATAAACACAATCTAACGTTATAATGTTATTCAGGGAACTCCAGAGTAAGATGGCAATATAAATACAGATAGCAAATCTTTTCCACATAATTGTTGGTAAGACATTAACTGTTGGTTTTGCATAGACATTAGTCAATTTGAAGAAATTCTTTTATTACCATTTTGCTCAGAGGTTTTATTTTTTAAATGAGAAGTGGATACTATATTTTGTTAAATGCTTTTTCTTTATTATTATTATTATTATTATTATTATTATACTTTAAGTTTTAGGGTGCATGTGCACAACATGCAGGTTTGTTATGTATACACGTGCCATGTTGGTGTGCTGCTTTTTCTGCAACTACTCAGATGATCGTATTTCTGTCTTAGTCTTTTAACAAGGCAGATTACACTGATTGTTTTTCAAACATTAAATGGCTTTGCAGCCCAAGGCTAAATCTCACATGGTTATGATGTATTATCTTTTTATATATTGCTATGTTTACAAGGATACTGAACTGTAGTTTTCTTCTCTTATAATGCCTGTCTGATTTTGCACCAGGTTAATGCTGAAATCACAATGCTGACATCAATTAACCTACCCCTTCAATTTGTGGAAACACTTGTGTAGAATTAGTATTTTAACTTGCTCAAGTGTTTGGTAGTATTCATCAGTAAAATCATCAAAAACTAGCCAGGCATGGTGATGTGTGCCCATGTCCCAGCTACTCGGGAGGCTAAGACGGGAGGATATGGGAGGATAGCTTGAGCCTGGGAGGTTGAGGCTGCAGTGAGCCATGACCGCACCACTGCACTCCAGCTTGGGTGACAGAGTAAGACCCTATCTCAAAAAAAAAAAAAAAAAAAATCATCTATACCTAGAGTTTTCTCTGTGGGAAGGTTTTAACTAAAATTTAAATATCTTAAGTTGATATAGGGATAATGAGGTAATTTATTTCACCTTTAGTGAGTTTTGGTAATTTGTGTCTTCTAAGGAATGTATCCAGTTTACCTAAGTTGTTAAATTCATTGGCATAAATCTGTTCAATATGTACAAGGAGTCAGGGAAGTATTATTTGTAATGGGCAAAAACTCATAAAAACCTACATACAAAATAGATTAATTTAAACCATGGCATATCATTTAGTCTATCTCATTATTTCAAAGCATAGTTATTGCTCATGCAAAGCAGGTGAAGCCTGATGAAAATACATATGGCAAGCTTGTTCCACGCTTTTCATACTTACAAGATTCTCCCCCTTGTCATCAAAATCTGGTTGAGGTAATGGCTCAGGAACAGGTGACTGCTCAAGCAGCAGGGAACTGAGACCACTGAAGTCTTTTTTACAAACAGGTGTTCCTCCTTTACGCAATGGAGTATTTGCTGGCAAAGATTCATCAAACACTTCCGGGCTTAAGTCCTCTCCAAAAGTAACTCTCTTCCTCTTCCTCATATTTAGAAAGGCAGGTGCTTCAAAATTTTCTTCATCTTCTATAATTAGACAATAAATGAGAGTAACTTAAAAATTAAGCTATATTTCTTATCTAAAAGGCATATACTAGAATCTTTTAATGTGATAATATTCAGCTATTATTTGTATAATAGCTAGTAAAGCAAAGCTATAAAATAATTGTTGGTAGAGCAAATTCAAAATGGAGAAGATAAGCACATTTCCAATTAAAATATGGCAACAGATTTCCAAGTAAAAATTTGCATATTAAACGTTAATAAAATTGAAATATAAATTTTCTTTACAAATACCACCACTAAGTAAAAATGGATCCATGAAATGGACAGACCAATTCTGAGGCTCTCCAAGGAGATTCTAACCTTCTCAACTGTTCTTCATTCACGTGTTATTTCAGAAGCACTAAGGCATTATAGATCATTGAAAATTTCATATATTATACTAGGTTTTACTAACATGAAAATGATATCCTCAAGCTTAAAAACAAGTATGAATTTCTTACCTGCTTCTTTCTCTTTGCAACAGTTTGGGAGATTTGAGATTAAGCTCGGATGAGTCCCATCATCATCATAGAGGTTGTTACAGTGTTCCTAAACAGAATAAACATTAATGAATAATTTTACATATAGAAATACATAGACGTCATCATTAAGAACAGCAGTTTTGAAATTCTCTGTCAACTGCAGATAGATATTCCAGTATTAAAGATTACCTTTATTTTCAATAATTGTTCTGGCTCAAAACCATGATATCAGGCACAAATCATAACTATGTCCCCTAGATACTACTTTAGAAAACAGAATTTTAGGGCAAAATTAAAGCATAGAAATCAATAAACATGGGTCAAATTCATTCAATGTTTGATCTAGCAAATAAAGCTAAGGAAAACGTGAGTAGCTAGAATAATAGCATATGGTCATTGCTCAATATCTATGGGAGATTAGTTTTAGGGCCCCCGAAGATACCAAAATCCACGGATGCTCAAGTCCCTTTTATATAATGGCATACTATTTACATACAACCTGAGTACATCCTCCCGTATACTTTAAATAATACTTATAATACCTAATACAATGTAAATGTCATGTAAAAGCATACTTTTTATTTATTTATTTATTTTTGAGACAAGGTCTGGCTCTATCACCCAGGCTGGAGTGCAGCAGTGCAATCTCAGGTCACTGCAACCTGTCACCCAGGTTCAAGCCATTCTCCTACCTCAGCCTCCTGAGTAACTGGGACTACAGGTGCGCACTACCACACCCAGCTAATTTTTGTATTTTTTTGTAGAGACGAGGTTTCGCCATGTTGCCCAGGCAGGTCTTGAACCCATGAGCTCAAGCAATCCGTGTGCCTCGGCCTCCCAAAGTGCTGGGATTACAGCTGGGAGCCACTGAGCCCAACCTAAAAGAATACTTTTAAATGGCATTGTTACATGGTATTGTTAATATGTATGGTATGATGCTGTTATATGTTATTGTTTTTATGTGTTTTGTGACTTTTTTCCCTGATAATTTTTGATCTGTGGTTGGTTCAATCCATGGATGCAGAACCAACAGATTTGAAGGTTACAAGTACCATATATGGTGTCAGATGAGGAAAACTATGTAAATGATCCCAGATAGAAGAACTGCATTAAAACAAGAAAAAAAGCCAACAGTTAAATGGTATAACATCGTGTTCTGTCTTTTAAACATGGGAACCACACCTATTCTTAGTATTTGAATCTTTTTACATTACTATATTCTTGAGGAAGAAACAAGGAAAGAAGGTAGCAGTTGTCCCTGTGTGTTTCTGCAAATAAAGAATACAGTGTAGGCAAGTTAGGAAAGAAGGGATATTGTAAGCCCTGTATAAAAAGACAGAACGAGTCTAAACACAGGGCCCCTGGAGCTCAGCAGGAGACAGCCAGGGCTGCAGACTGGATCAAAGTTCCCTCTTAATCACCACCTACTCATCCGGCCTCAACCTAAACCTCTGACCAGTCCTTGTTATCAAGAATTCCTCATTTTCTCCTGTACATCCAATTCTAAGAACATTACCTGCTCTAAGAAATAGTCCTGCCCCAAACAAATCTCCTTCATCTGTCTCTCAAGTCAGTTCATTTTTCTGACCAGGAAAATGTACATACCAATATTGCAAAATAAGTTAACTTATACAACAAAGCTCATGTTTACTTTTAGATTTATTTTTAACTAAATCAGAAAAGTCAGCAAACAACTCACATTTTATATGCCTCCTAATTTTTGCCATCTTAGTATAAAGATCATTAGTTGTAAATGTTTTCTTTTCTTTTTTTTTGGAGATGGAGTCTCGCTCTGTTGCCCAGGCTGGAGTGCAGGGGCACAATCTCGGCTCACTGAAAGCTCTGCCCCCTGGGTTCACGCCATTCTCCTGCCCCAGCCTCCCGAGTAGCTGGGACTACAGGTGCCCGCCACTACGCCCGGCTAATTTTTTGTATTTTTAGTAGAGATGGGGTTTCACTGTGTCAGCCAGGACGGTCTCTATCTCCTGACCTTGTGATCCACCTGCCTCGGCCTCCCAAAGTGCTGGGATTACAGGCATAAGCCACCACGCCCGGCCAGTTGTAAATGTTTTCACATGATTCTAATGACAAGACTTAATATTTGCTGTGTCATATTGTTAGAAAGTAAGAGTTCCATGGATCGTTCAGATGTTAAGTCTTTTTGAGGAGAAGATATGAACAAACAGTGCTGTGTGTATTACAGACCCAAATCAGCTTTTTTTTTTTTTTTTTGTCCCAGACTGGTCTCAAACTCCTGGGCTCAAGCGATCCTTCAGTGTTGGCCTTCCAAAGTCAGGGGATTACAGGTGTGAGCTATTGTACCTGGCCCCAAATCAGCTCTTTGAACAAAATTGTTAAAGCTTTACAAATAGCAATTGACCATCAATGATCCATGTAAATAGAAGGTAATTTAGTTCCTTTTGGCTTCAGAACAAATCAGAACAGGCTTGTAGGCATACTTGTATGTTAAAATGCTTATGGTTTGAAAAAAAGATTTGTATTTCTGAAGTGCCAGACACTCGTGGTGATTTTATATTATCCCATTTAATGCTCAAATTACTCTAAAAGTAGTTACCAACTTTACATTTTTATAGATAAGGAAACCAGGCAGAGAAAGGTCAAATAATTTGCTCAGTGATTACATTTCCAAGTCAAGATCTGAAACTTGGCATTTTGACTCCTGAGGCTAGGCTCTCAACCTCTCATGGACTGACAGCCTGTCATGGATTTTAACAGCAGACTTATCTGGGTTCACTTAACAACCTACAAGCCTAAGTGTATGTCAAACAGGTCCTATACCTTTCTCGGAGCACTACTGTTATATATATATGCCAGAACTGTCAACAGAAACTACTCAATAAATGCCAGCTAGTTCCCATCAACTTTCTCTTTCCTCATATTGACTGAGCTTCGAGAAAAAAGGATGGCTATAAGAGGTACTTTTAAGACTAAATATTTTGGGTGGAATGATCAGTTTAACAGATTGACACATTAATTATGATTAAGTAATTAATATCACTTATATAATTATATAAAATGAATCAATAACATATAATTATGTTAGTGCAATAAGATTATGTAAGATTATGACCCTTTATAAACTACAGTCTACTTACATTAAATTCTGCATGCTATATACGATACTTAATTTTTTAAAAATAAGAACAAAAAGAAACTACACCCAGTGTTGTTAATAAGAAAAGATGAGGAAAAAAATTTACGGTAAGACGAGTAAGACATTTCCTTTTAAACTAGCATGATATATGACATTTCAAGGGTATTACTTTGAAGCAAAATGCATTTTTATTCATTTGCTTTAGGAAATTTAACTCTCTTCTTACCTGTAAGCTCTCTAGACACATCTTAACAGAGGGTTTCTTCAGTACAGAACGAAGTACAAAGGTCTTGGGGGTGGGAAGGTCCCTCCTGCAGGCTGGAGTAGCTGGTGACCTGACATCAGGGACTGCGTCTGAGCTCACTTCTGCTGTGAACGTGTCAGGCGAAACGGCATCACTTGATCCTTTGCCCACTACACAGTCAGCAACCTTTAGTGCTTCAAGATAAACATGTAAACTTGAGAGGCAGAAGATCTCTTAAATCTGTTTGTTCTAGACCAAAAATATAGTATTTGCAAAGATAATAACATGCTATGAAGAAATTCAAACCTAATATAACCTGATTGGGCAGTAACGTCTGGGATTTCATTTGGAAACAGAAAAGGAGGTAAAGAAGCAGCATCGGTCAGTTTTTACCTCAAATCGGACTACGAAGGGTAAAGTGGGTATGGGGATTTGGCTCCCCAGGAAATCTCTGAGTCAGAGGTTGAAAGAAGGTATCATGAATCAGCTATAAGCTATTAGCGTGCCTCTACTCATGACACCCACTACTTGGACCATAAAAACTAATCTGAGCCAAGCATTGACTAATAAGCAATTTTACCGCTAGAGTCACAGGCATTTCAACATCCGAGGGTGGCAGGAATGAGAAAAGAAAGATCATCACACCAAACTATAAACACACTGTATGTGCCCCAAACAGGCGTGGCTTTTCTTCCCAAATTCTTCCCACAGGAGAGCGTTGCCTTATGATTAAGTGATCCATTGAACAAATACATGATGTGACAGGCACTCCTCTGGGTGCTGAAGAAGTAAAGATGAGCAAACCCCCAAAACCAGCACGGAATAAGCAGGGATTATAAAATCTCACAGCAGGGAGGAGGGAGAGGGAAAGAGTGATGGCTATGAAGGGTAACATGAGGATCCTCAGGACAGAACCATGCTGTGGCTTGGCTGTACTGTGCTCACATGAATCCACATGTGATAAAACCACACGGACTAAACATACACAAAAAGTATGTGCATGTAAAACTGGTGAAATCTGAAAACAAGTTGGTGGATTGTAGCAATGTCAATTTCCTGGTTGTGATATTAATATATCGTAGCTATGCAACATGTCACTACTGCGGGAAACTAGGTGAAGGGAATACTGGATTTCTTTATATTATTTCTTACAACTAGATAGCAAATTTATAGTTATTTCAAGTAAAAAGTTAATATATATATATATATATATATATACACACACACAACAAGTAGTTAATATATGCTATTAAGGAAAATAATGTAGCAAGAGAGGAATACAGTATGATAAGCTGGAAGGAAGTGCTACTGCTTTGGGTAAACAGAGAGTTCCTGAGCAGACACCTGAAAAGAACAAGGCGAACCACACATAGATCTAGGGATGGACATTATGCACACAAAGCCAAGTGCAAAGACCTGAGGTAAAGATGTACCTGGCATAGCAGAGGCCCAGCAAGGCTGCTGTGGCTGGAACAGTGGGCATGGACAAGAGAGCTGAGAAATAAGCTCAGAGCAAAGGTTAAGAACCAGGCCAGGGAAGGCCTAGTAGAAATAATATGGTCTTTGGCTACTTCTCTAAGTATAACAGGAAGTCGATGAAAGATTTTGAGGAGGGCAGTGAGATACTGTGACTTACATTTTAAAACCAGTGCTCTGGCTACTGTGTGAAAAACTGTAACAGGGGATTGGGGAAAGAGGGGAAGCAGGAAAACCACTTCAGAGGATACATAAAAAAATCCAGGCAGGAGATGGTGATGGCCTGGACCACACTGATAGGAATGCAAAAGGTGAGAAGTGGGTGGACATTTGACATATTTTGAAGACCTAGTAGCATTTGTCAATGCGATTACAAGTTTCATTTGAAAAAGGGAGGTATCACTTGGGTGCAGTGGCTCACATCTGTAATCCCAGCACTTTGAGAGACCAAGGTGGAATGGAAGGATTGCTTGAGCCCAGGAGTTGGAGACCAGCCTGGGCAACATAGTAGGATCCTGTACCTACCAAAAAAAAAAATTAGCTGGGCATGGTAGTGAGCACCTGTGGTCCCAGCTACTTGGAAGGCTGAGGTAGGAGGACTCCTAGAGCTCAGGAGGTTGAGGCTGCAGTGAGCCAAGATCACACCACTGCACTCCAGCCTGGGTGACAGCGAGACTCTAACTTAAGAAAAAAAAAAAAAAGGAAAAGAAAAAGAAAGGTATCAAGTTAAGTCCAATATTTGAGATACAGCAATGAGGTGAATGAGAGTGTCATTTACTAAGATGAGGAAAACAGAGATGAGCAGGTTGGTGAAGGAAAAAATCATCAAGACCTATTTGACTATGTTCAGTTTGAGATGTTTATTAGGCATTCAAGTGAAGGTCATGAAAGGGAGCTGGATACTTAATTCAAGAGTTCCGGGAAAAGGCCACGGGCAACTATTTTAATTTGAAGTCAACAGCATGTGATAATGTTTGAAGTCACCTAGAAAGAGTTCACATTGGGTATCCTTTATCCAAAATGCTTGGGATCAGAAGTGTTTCAGATTACAAATTTTTTTCAGATTTTGAAATATTTGCATTCTACTTACCAGTCAAGCATCTCTAACCTGAAAATCCAGAAATGCTCCAATAACCATCTCCTTTGAGTGTCATGTTTGCACTCAAAAAGTTACAGAATTTGGATTTTTGGCTTACAGATGCTCAACCTGTATATAGAGACAAAAGGTCCAAGCACCGAACATGAAGGTCGAGGGGGGGCATTCAAATATTTGAAGGTCAGGATGAAAGAAGAGGAGCAAAGAAAATACACAAAGAGGAAATGGTCAGTGATGCAAGGGAAAATGAGAATGACATCCTGAAACCCAGGTGAGGAAAAGGCTTCTCACAGGAGGGCCTGGTTGTAGATGTCTATATCCGTCCATAGTGCTGCTAAGACATCAAGGAAAGGAATGTGTTGAGTCTGACTACCACTGGGTTGGCAGCCAGGAGATGGCTGGTCAACAAGGCCTATTTGGAGCTGGATCAAGAAAGAATGGGAGGCAAGGAGACAGAGTGTGGCCTTCTCTTAAAAGTTTTGCCTAAAGTAGAGTAAAGAAATGGTGTTCTGGCTAGAAGGCAATCCTGGGGCAAAGGGAAGTTTAAGATGGGATATTTTACAGCATCTTGTAGCTGAATAAGAAAAGTTAACAATTCAGAAAAGAGAGGAGACAACTCAGACACAAGGTCCTTAGAAGGAGAAGGAGCAATGGGAATCAGTCCCTAAAAAAGAGGGTAGAGGCCAGGCGTGGTGGCTCATGCCTGTAATTCCAGCACTTTGGGAGGCCTAGGTGGGCAGATCACCAGAGGTTAGGAGTTTGAGAGCAGCCCGGCCAACATGGTGAGACAGCATCTCTACTAAAAATACAAAAATTAGCTGGGTGTGGTGGCGGGCACCTGTAGTCCCAGCTACTCAGGAGGGCTGGGTTAGGAGAATCACCTGAACCCAGGAGGCAGAGGTTGCAGTGAGCTGGGGCCGCACCATTGCACTACAGCCTGGGCGGCAGAGTGAGACTCCATCTCAAAAAAAAAAAAGAAAAAAAAGAGGCTGGCCCTAGGTAAGAACATTGAGACCCTTTTGAAAGAGGAGCAAAGGTAGATACACACATACAGAGATGCAGGAGGGCTTAGGGGTGAGAGGACCAAGACCTTTGCTCCCAAAATCTCTTATTTTCTCAATGGTACAGGAAGCAAGGAACTGCAAAAGGCTACCAGGGAACTTTCTCTCAGATCACTCATGAGTAGAGCTGCCAGGTTTGGCAAATAAAGATGCAGGGGCCCAGTTAAATCTGAATTATATCTAATTCCTTACGTATGTGTACTTTGATATAAAACAAAAACACTGGAGTGATGTGGGGGAGATAGTGGAGTAAGAGTTCTGTGGCTTCATTCCCTGTTCCCAGAGAAATCCAATGAGCAACTATCTGCAGGCAAAAATAACATTCTGAATATCCCAGAATTTGGGAGTGAGGTTGACACACCTCCTTGGACCCCAGAATGGAGAAAAGCCACAAACAAGTGGTAAGAAACTTTTCTGTTTGACTGTGCTGCCCTTCTCCCAACTGGCACAGTGCCACACACAGAGAATTCCCCTGGACCCACAGTTTCTACAGTGGGAAGAGTGAGTGGGAAGCAGACGTTTGGCTTCCCCACCATTCTGGGATACTTCGCAGGAGCTGCACTCCTGTCTTGTCCCCCAGGAAACACTGGGAGTACTGGCAAGGCTGGGCCACTGGGGGGCAGATAAAAACAAAGAACGTGGGATGGGGATCACAGCCACCAGAGAGCGAATTCTGGTGGCTTCCTGCATTCCAGCTAACAGAGATGCCACACCAGAGAAACCAGCCAGCAGTATTAAACTGCAGGAAACATGGTTAGTGGGTCTTCCAGGTTAAAATCCCTGTCCAGCTTCCCCACACAGCCTGGGTGCTCCCATCAGGTCTTCGCCAGGTCGAGAAGCAACTGTAGGTCAGTGATTGCCCACAGAGGAAATATCTGGCCCCATCTAACCCTAGCTGTAAAGATGTGAGCCAACTAAGTTCTGGTGGTTGCATTAAATATTCGCATTCCTTTGTTTGAGATGGAGTCTCGCTGTCGCCCAGGCTCCAGTGCAGTGGTGCAATCTCGGCTCACTGCAACCTCCGCCTCCTGGGTTCAAGCAATTCTCCTGCCTCAGCCTCCTGAGTAGCTGGGATTACAGGCAGGTGCCACCACGCCTGGCTAATTTTTGTATTTTTAGTAGAGCCGGGATTTCACCATATTGGTCAGGCTGGTCTAGAACTCCTGACCTTGTGATCTGCCTGCCTCGGCCTCCTGAAGTGCTGGGATTACAGGCGTGAGCCACTACACCCAGCCCAAATATTTGCATTCTACTTACTAGTCAAGCGTCTCTAACCTGAAAATCCAGAAATGCTCCAATAACCATCTCCTTTGAGCATCATGTTGGCACTCAAAAATTTTCAGAGTTTGGATTTTGGCTTAGGGGGAGCAACTGTAGGTCAGCAATTACCCATGAAAGGTACATCTGGGCCTACCCAATCCTAGCAGTGGAAAGGTGATCAAACTAAGCCCTTGTGCTGTCACTAAGTCTTCCCTAAGCCAGGCTGTGTCAGTGATTACCTGTGGAAGGAGCATCTGTCCCTGCTCGACCCCAGCTGCAGAGAAGTGACTCTACCAAATCTCAGTGCTCTGCTTAACCCTACCCTGGGCTGGGAGGCAAGCCCGAATCCACACACATCTGTGGAGTACAGCCTCAGGCCCTGCCCACCCTATGGGGCCAAGCAACAACCTCAAGCAGACTCAGAGCCCATCACATGGTTCTGCCCAACTACAGATTCCAAACAATAGTACTGACCAGCCAAGGAAGACAACCTGCAACTCTGCCAAATCAGAGACAATCACAGAACCCAGAGAGCAGCTCTACCTGACTGAAGGCAGAGTCCAGCCAGTGATCTTACTAGACCATGGAGGACAGCTAGCAATATCATTTGACTTCAGAGCACAGGAAGCAACCAGAGAACCTGACACCAAAATACAAAGGATCACAAGCAACTACTATGAATAATTAAATGCCAAGAAATTGGATAAAAGAAATGGATCATGAACCAATAGAAAATCTCAAAAGACCAATAATGAGTGAGAAGACGACTGAATTAGTAATAAAAATGTCCCACCAAAAGAAAAGCCCAGGACCAGATGGCTTTATTGCTGACTTCCATCAAACATTTAAAGAACTGACAAGTTTTCTCAAACACTTTCAAAACAAATAAAAGTAGAGAAAATACTTCCAAATACTTCCTTGTCATTTTACAAGGTTAGCACTACCCTGCTACATATAAGAAAATTATACACCAATATCCCTGGTGAACAAAGATGCAAAAATCCTCCACAAAATATTAGCAAACCTAATTCAGGAACACATTAAAAGAATCATTCACCATGATCAAATTAGATTTATCCCTGGGATTCAAGGATGGTTCAACATATGCAAATCTATGTGATACATGACATAAAGAAGATGAAAAATAGAAACCATATCATCACCATTTTCTGTGTGTTTTCTTAACCAGATCATTGTGAAATTATTCATAATTATTCTTTGGCCCTCTGCCCAGAAACCTTTTTTTGTATCTGACAATTGCTGAGATTTGGGGAAAGGAGCAAGTCAGAATAGAAATTAGTACTGCCCTCCTTGAATTAGGATTATAGTCTCAAAGAAGCTACTGTAAGGCATTCATGGTGCTCTGAGCAGTGTTTTGTGTGTGTGTTTTAAACTGGTAGGAAACTGGATGCATATTTACAAAAATAAAAACCGGAAGAAATGAAAAAAATATGTATCAGAAATAGTCTGGCTTCAAATTTTAACCATGCACAAATTCTGTCTCTGGATTATATTATGAAGCTCTTATGTGAAACATGTTTCTCTGTAATGAAAACCACGTTGGAGATGTTTAGTAATCATATTCTGTTATGGTCCCAAGACTACTAATGAAATGCCTTTCTACTTTAGGGAAGTACTTTGGTCATTTTAATTATATAGATAGAAAAACTGAGATGCAGCCCCTCTCCTGGAAGGGCTGATTTTGAATAAATGCTCATATGATGCACATGTACTGATTACTGCCTATTTTAATAAACGCTCTTGAAAAATGAAAAAAGATGAAAAATAAAAACCATATGATCACCTCAATAGATGGAGAAAAAGCATTTGATAAAATTAACACAATATCACAGTAAAAATTCTCAGACTAGGAACAGAATGTTCTTCAACGCAATAAAGGACATACATGACAAACCTGTCGCTAACATCATTCTCATCAATGAAAAAGCATCCATTAATGGGTGAATGGATAAAGAAAACGTGGTATATATACACACAGCAGAATACTATTTAACCCTAAAAGCGAGGAGACTCTCATTTGCAACAACATGGATGAATCTGGAAGAGATTTTGCTAAGTGAAATAAGCCAGGCACAAAAGACAAAAACCACATGATTTCACCTACATGAGGAATCTAACAAAGTTGAATTTATTGAAGTAAAGAGTTGAATAGTGGTTACCAGAGGCTGTAGAAGTGGTGAGGAAGGAAATGGGGAATTGTTGATCAAAGAATACAAGGTTTCAGATAGATAAGTGGAATCAGTTTTGAGATCTATTGCACAACAGTGTCTATAGTCAATATTAGTGTATTACATATTTCAAAATAACTAAGAGAGTAATTTTCAAACGTCTCACCATAAAAAAAAATGACAGGTAAGTGAAGTGAGGGACATGTTAATTAGCCTGATTTAATAATGCCACATTGTATAAATATATCAAAATATCATATTGTTCCCCATAAATATATACAGTTATGGTTTGTCATTCAAAAATAATAGTAATAAATTTAAGAAAAACAAAACAATTACATGACACACTATAAAATTATCTGTTGAAAACATAAATTATATGTATCTAAATTTTAAAAAGAAATAAAGGAAGGAGCGTTGGATATTTTAAGAGAAAAATAAGGTGTGAAAGTGTGTGGATTAAGAAACAGCACAGTCCAGGTGTGGTGGCTCATGCCTGTAATCCCAGCACTTTGGGAGGCCAAGGCAGGTGGGTCACCTGAGGTCAGGAGTTCAAGATCAGCCTGGCCAACATGGTGAAACTCCGTCTCTACAAAAATACAAAAATCAGCCAGGCATGGTGGCGGGTACCTGTAATCCCAGCTACTCGGGAGGCTGAGGTGGGAGAATGGCTTGAACCTGGGAAGCAGAGGTTGCAGTGAGTTGAGATCGCGCCATGGCACTCCAGCCTGGGTGACACAGCAAGACTCCGTCTCAAAAAAAAAAAATAAATAAAAAATAAAAAAGAAACAGCACAGAACCATTTGAGGTAAAAAAAAAAAATTGAGGCTATCAGCATACCAAATATTAGCAGCTCTGGGGCAGGTGCAGAGAAGGCAGGGAGATTCGCTGAGTTGGATGTTGGATTTCCGGCTACATAGGTAAAACAGAGGAAGCAGAGGGGGTAAAGGAGATCAGAGGTGTCATGCAGGTCCCCCTAAGCTCCCCCTTAACAAAGAGACATTTGATTCCATCTCGGAACATCTTTTTATTCTTCCTGAAGGTGCACTGTCTGGGGTGCCACCAAAAAACAACGCAGTTTAAAATACAGAAATCAACACCAGACTCCTTTCATCAAGGCCCCATCTACTATGGTAGATCTATTCTTCCCTGTTTAATTACACTGTTTCTGAGTACGGCCTCATGGCATGCCTAAATAAAATTTTGGCCTGTGTGATTTCAACATTTCACATTGTAGAGTGAGGTGTTTAGTATGATGACAACTGTGAATCGCTACACTTCATACAATCTATAATCACTGTCACAGAGAATCTGTCACTCCTACGCAAAGTCCCATAAGAGCAAAGCAAAAAGAATTGTTAAGAAACTGTTGGGCCGGGCACGGTGGCAAATCCCAGCACTTTGGGAGGCTGAGATGGGTGGATCATGAGGTCAGGAGTTCAAGACCAGCCTGGCCAAGATGGTGAAACCCTGTTTCAACTGAAAATACAAAAAACTCAGCTGGGCTTGGTGGCAGGCACCTGTAATTCTAGCTACTTGGGAGGCCGAGGCAGATAATTGCTTGAATCCAGGAGGCAGAGGTTGCAGTAAGCTGAGATTGTGCCACTGCACTCCAGCCTGGTCAACAGAGCGAGACTCTGTCTCAAAAATAAGAAGAAGAAGAAGAAAGAAAACATTGAAGGCAAGAACACCTTATTCCATTGTGGTAACAAACTCACAACCTTGCCCTGTGCAGGGGGACCATGCAGGCGGACATCCACCCATTTATCTTATGATTAAAATTAAAAGTCAGAGCAAATGCTCACTACAAAAATGCTAAAGAAGTTCTTTTTCAGGTTGAAGGAAAATAAGACAGAGAAACTCAGATCTTTAGGAAAAAACAACATAAGAAATGGTACATCTGGGTAAATATAAAAGACTATTTTTCCCCTCTTAACCTATTTAAAGCACATATAACTGTTTTGGCTGGGCACAGTGGCTCATGCCTGTAATCCCAGGACTTTAGGAGGCCAAGATGGGTGGATTGCTAAAGGCAAGGAGTTGAAGCCCAGCCTGGCCAATGTGGCAAAATCCCATCTCTACTAAAAACATAAAAATTAGCTGGGCATGGTGGTGCACGCCTGTAATCCCAGCTACTCAGGAGGCTGAAACACAAGAATGGCTTGAACCTGGGAGAGGGAGGTTGCAGTGAGCTGAGATCACACCACTGCACTCCAGCCTGGGCAAGAGAGTAAGAAACTGCCTTAAAAAAAAAAAAAGAAAAACAAAGCACATACAGCTGTTTAATCCAAAAACAACATCTTGTGAGGCTTATAATGAAGTAAGTGTGTATCTGTAAAGGATCATAAAAGCCATGGCTGGAAAGGAGAGGAAATTGATCTGTAGAGTTTGTAGTTTCTGTATTTTATGTGAAATTGTATAATATCAACTAACCAGACTATGAAAGATTACAGAGCAATAATCAGGAATAGAAAACATATGATAAAATGACAGATGTGAATAAAACCATGTTAAGTAATTACCTAAAAAGTTAATAGGCGAAATATTCCAATTACAATAAATTATCAGAATGGATTAATAAAACACAAGATCCAATTATATGCCCATAAGAGTTTTAAAGACCCAAGTAGAAAAAAAGTCAATCTAAACCCTTGCTAGTAATGTTCACCCAGTACAAGCATACTGATTTTGAGAAAGAATAATTTTTACATCCTGGTAAGACTCTTTTTACATGCTTAAAAACAAATAAAAATATTACAAGTAGTGTTCCTATAACAAAGAATACTTGTTAATATGTTCATAGGTGCTACCTCTTTATACTAAATTCCATGAGCTTGAAAATACTTCACTAATTCTTATTGATCGTAGCTTAAAAAAGAGAGTATCTCTCATATAACAAGAATTCAGAAGCATTTCTACTAGGCCATGAGCTCCTAAAAAGTAGGAAACAATTTCAGTTCCCCCAAATTTTAGCAAATAGGTACACTAATCATAAATGTCTATGAATCGGGCAACTGGCCATGTACTAAGAAAAGATTACTTACCATTTGAAGTCTCTGTGAGCTCTGAAAGGGGAAGAGACTCTTCAACTAAAAATCCAGACTGTGTTGAACCAAGTTTAGATGATATCTTGGGGAAAAATTGAAAGAGTATTACATTTTATTAATTAGAGTACTACTAATGCCTTTTTGAAGATTTGAGTAAACATTATGGATTGCCTGGAAATCTGATGTTCAATCAGTCACCTTCATTATCTCATAAAGTGTACAGGAGATACTTTATCCTGAGAAAAGTGTACACTTTATCTCATAAAGTGTATCTCAAAGTGTACAGGAATCTAACATGAACTATTCATATTAACTGCATCCTAAACATCCCACAAATCAACTTTTAATTCCCCAGGAAAAGTTTAAAGGATATATTTTTGTTGTTATAGCCTAGATAGCTGTATCATCTGTAATTCTTTAGAGAAAATTCTCAAAATAAAGTTTATATAATTATTAATCAAACGCCAAACGATATCAATAACTAGGATATGAAAAACATTAAAGGCTAGGATAGAAAACACATTCACACTAATTCAGAAATAATATCTGAATCATGATGTATGTTCAAACAATTAATCAAAGTTCTGATAACAAACAATTATTCTTGCTTCTGTCCAGTGGGGATTTCACATCAACCTGAAAAGGGCGGAGGCAGCCGAGATTACAGGCGACTGAAATACA
Organism: Homo sapiens; assembly: GCF_000001405.40. NCBI lineage: Eukaryota > Metazoa > Chordata > Mammalia > Primates > Hominidae > Homo > Homo sapiens. The sequence continues at coordinate 25,469,296 of NC_000008.11, read as the reverse complement.
AAGGAAACCCACTGGAGCCTGAAGAATGTCTAATAACTATCAAATCTTTGTTCTGCCAGTCCACATAAAACGAATAGGACGAGCACTGGATCTAAGTGACAGAGAAAGTGCAGAAAGGGTTCCAACTGTAACGGTGTTAGGTGTCTCCTCTCACAAAGGCCATGAGGAGCTACTGTGTCAAACCAGAACTAGAAGCATGAAGTAAGAAAAGTCCGTCACGAGAGACCAGCTCTCCATTCACGCGTGCGCGCAGGTCAACTGATCTTCAGTAGTATTATTTTTCTAATATCGCCTTTTGATCGTCTTGACAGGGTTTAGGTAGTTATAAGCCACAAAAATCCCTAGAGCTACTTGAAAGAAGTGAGCAAAGGAGAAATTGCTGAATGGCACCCTGATTTCCATCAGAAGGAAAGCAGTCAGGGGCAGGTATAAGTGCAAGACTCCCAAGCCTGTGGAGTACACCCCACACAGAATCTCCACCTGATCCACCAGCTCCACTGAAGCCATCTGCTTATACCCTGCTCCCCAGTAGAAAAAATACTGCCTAAGGGCAAGACTGTAACTTCCTCCCTTCTTGGAGCATCACCCTCTAGAATACCTCATACGTAGAAGACCCCAGGGCTTACTCTCTTTGTAAGGTTAGTAGTCAAAAGTGAGATCATTATCCAAACTGTTTCTAATAAGTGATAAATACCAGCAACCATAAAATTAACAGGTAGGAAACACACACACACACACGCACACACACACACACACACACACACCCCAGGAACCACAGGGCAGAACAAGGTACTAAAATTGAAGAACGGCACTGACAGCCTTAAAACTGCCTATGCAGAAAACCAACAACTTCATTTTCCTATGCGTAAAGTAAGTGAATTACCTCAGAAAGATCTACAGAAGTTTCAACTGCACATGCTCTGTCTGTATCAATATTGAATATCTGGAGACCAATTACTTTTCCTTCAGCATCCGTCAGATTTTCATCAGAGTCTCTCTGATAGGATATTCTCCGACGTTTGGAGGACAACACTGCAGGGAACCCAGACTGCTGGCAAGCGCTGAGACCTTCCTTTCTGGCTATAAACACAAAATAAAAACAAAACGACACAGGCATAAATGTTTTCATATATATTATATATATTTTTTTTCTTTTCTTTTTTTTTTTTTTTTTTTTTGAGACGGAGTTTCACTCTTGTCGCCCAGGCTTGAGTACAATGGTGCGATTTCAGCTCACTGCAACCTCCACCTTCTGGGCTCAAGTGATACTCCTGCCTCAGCCTCTCAAATAGCTGAGATTACAGGCTCATGCCACCATGCCTGGCTAATCTTCGTATATTTAGTAGAGATGGGGTTTCACCACGTTGGTCAGGCTGGTCTGAACTCCTGACCTCAGGTGATCCACCCACCTCAGCCTCCCAAAGTGCTGGGATTACAGGCATGAGCCACCACGCCCGGCTATTGTGCATCGTAATTTTAGTAAAATCTAGTGCTTAAGTCTAAATTATCAATGAAAAGAAAAATCTACCACACTTTTTTATTCCAAAAAAAATTAAATCTAACTGAAAGGAATGAAAACATGTCTATTGAAAAGATAATACATTCATATTATTAGAATTAAGTTTTTTCAGGCCTTAAAAGGTACAAAGATATACTAAAATACTTTTGCATGTCTAATATGGTACCTCACGCTTTTTAAATGATGACACCTGTTATTTTGAAAGATGTGGTTATGCTCTAATACTCTGTATGACTTTATGAAAAAGACAACCACAACGTACCTGTTTTTTTCTAGCTAAAAAAAAGGAACTGTCTGCAGAATTATAATGATGTAAATAAATTTTAAAACCCAGGAAAAAACTGAAACAATAAGTGAGTCACAAACTACAAATATAAATCGGTACATCTGAATGGGTCACGCACTCTAGAGGTAGATGAGGGGGACTTGTCTTGGGCTAACAGAGCAATCCTCATGGGAGGTGCTGAAATGCACTTAAAGATGGTTCAAGAATTCAAAACAGAATCATTTGAAACCTTAGTGTGTAAAGTACCAGAGAATGGTTATAATGATTACAGTAAGACCAAGATTTTGTCACATTCTGGTATCTGAAATGCTTCGTGATTGGGGGGGAAAAAAAAAAGACTGAAAAAACAACCAAATGAATTACAATCTAAGAGTTAAAGAATATAGCAGATTATCAGATTGGATATATTTGTGTGTGTGTGTGTGTTTTTTTTTTTTTTTTTTTTTTTTTGAAAGGGACTCTCACTTCTTCGCCCAGGCTGGAGTGCAATAGCACGATCTGGGATCACTGCAACCTCCACCTCCCAGGTTCAAGTGATTCTCCTGCCTCAGCCTCCCCAGTAGCTGGAGTTACAGGCATGTGTCACCACGCCTGGCTAATTTTGTATTTTTAGTAGAGACAGGGTTTCACCATGTTGGCCAGGCTGGTCTTGAACTCCTGACCTCAAGTGATCCTCCCGTCTCAGCCTCCCAAAGTGCTGGAATTACAGGCATGAGCCACCGCGCCTGGCTGAATATATTTGTTTTTAACATCAGGGTTGGGTGTTTGGTACTCATATAAAATTTATATGAATTTATTTCATTTACTAAATGCTTGCCGAGCTTAATAATAATCCTGTAAAAATCAAGATTTGTAAACTCAAATTTGCCACAAGCTCTATGGTAAAGGTGAAATGAGCTAATTATCTCTGGCATTTTAAAACTTAAAATTTAATTGCAACCATGCGGAAATGTAGGATTAGGAATGCCTGATAACAGGTTTTTTTTTCTAAGAGAAACCAGAAATCCTTATTTTTGTGTGAAATGTCCCAAATTTTTAATGTTAGTCTCACTTTATAAATATACCTGTGTTCTGAAAAGATTGGCTTCACACTAAATCATTTCATAACTCAGAAGCTTGTCTTTATAAATATTGAAGTCAAAACTGAACGAATTATTTCTACTCACTCAAGTCTGTCATCTCGGACTCTTTTCCTGCCTCTGAGAATTCCAGACAGCCGGTCATTTTCTCGTTTTCCTTTATGGAGTGAAAAGCTGACTGGAAGGCTGATATTCGTTCTCTTAAAGTGTTAACATTTCGATACAGTGCAGGGCTGCCCTGTGAAAGTGCAAAATATACAAGGAGTATTATAATCAATTCATACTTTCTATATTCTAGGCCTACAGCCATTGAATCCAAAATTAAATACAGTACACATATGCTTTTTGAAGATCAGCGGTAAGGAGTTAGTGTGGCAGAGCTTCTTCACCCTGGAATTACCCATTTTCAGTTTGAATAAGGAAGTTTAACACAAAAATGTTGAGAGGCCAGCCTAAGATTATATGGAAGGTGCCAAAAAAACATTGCGCTCTGGGATGGTGCAACAAAAAAGGGACAGGAGGAACCTGTCTATTTGCAATTTTTACCAAATGTTGTGCTGGATGTATCCATAGGAAGCCATCTGCATGGTGCTTGTGTCACAGGTAAGTCTCAGCATACCTCCTTCAGTCCAAGCTGTTTCTACTCAGCACGGGTCTACACATGCCCTCCAGCCCAGGGGCCAGAACGAGACACAGAAGTTCCATACATGCTCAGATACTACACTTGCACTGCTCTCCTTTTTGGCTCTTCCCAGCTAATTTTCCTGATTGTATGGGACCTGGAGGATATTTCCTTCTTAGGGTTGAAAGCCAGCCATTCTCTTAAAATACAAAGTTTGATGGTATAAGCACAGAAGCTCTCTGGAAACCCCGTTAACAGGGTTCCAACCAAAGACTGATAAAATGAAATTTATATTAGCAGGGATAGAAGTGCCAGTTAAAGACAAGTAATATAAAAATTGAGAGTTCCCTTTACATAAAAATTAAATTACAAATGAAGTTCTCTATCTAGATTTTTTTTTATTACTTGGACTACTAACATTTCCACTGATATGAAGTTTGTGGCAATGTTTAAAAATTATACCAATGGGCAAAAAGTGAAGTAAAAATTACCTCCGTTTAAGATATCATACAGAGTAGGCTGGGCACAGTGGCTCATGCATGTAATCCCAGCATTTTGGGAGGCCAAGGTGGGAGGATCACTTGAGGTCAGGAGTTTGAGACCAGCCTGGCTAACATGGTGAAACCATGTCTCTACGAAAAACACAAAAATTAACCAGGCGTGGTGGTGCATGCCTGTAATCCCAGCTATGTGGGAGGCTGAGGTGGGAGAATCGCTTGAACCTGGGAGGTAGAGGTTGCAATGGGCCGAGATCATGCCACTGTACTTCAGGCTGCGTAACAGAGCAAGGCTTGGTCTCAGAAAAAATATATATATATCACAGGGAGAAAAAGCAGTTCATATCGTGAAGCCATGTTTGATGGTGATCTGTTCACACATTTGATTCTCTTCCCAGTTAAATATAAAGCAAATTCTCTATTACATAATGAGAACATTTTACATTGAAATATCCTTGATGACACAAACGTTCACGACATAAACAGCAATAATATTCAAAAAAGGCTTATGTCAATTCATCTAACAGAACGACAGGGAAAAGATGATCTCAAATTCATACAATTTACTTTGAATGTGCTTTTTTTGCACACATATTTGAACATGGTAGGGGCAGATTTAATATCCTAGGAACATGCAGCACTTTGAAATGCTGCTTAAAAAAATTTTAAGTTTCTCTAGTCAAAATTGTTTTTTCTCTATTTTCTACTGGAGAAGGAGAACAATGTTTACATACAAAGCAAATGAAACATTCAAAATGTACTGCTTTTTTGATGTTTTTGTTTTAGGAATTGTGTCGGTCAGTCAACAACCTTCCTTCCATGCACCACAAACTGTTTGAGGGGCTCAGGATCTAGGGAAAATTACTTTATTTTTATTTGAGACAAGGTCTTGCTCTATCAGCCAGGCTGGAGTGCAGTGGCACAATCACAGCTCACTGCAGCCTCGATATCTTGGGCTCAAACGATCCTCCAACTTCAGCCTCTCAAATAGCTTGGACTACAGGCATGTGCCACCACACCCAGATAATTTTTAAAATTTTTCTGTAGAGATGGAGTTTTGTCATGTTGCCCAGGCTGGTCTCAAACTCCTGGCTTCGAACGATCCTCCCTCCTTTGCTTCTCAAAGTTCTGGGATTACAGTGTGAGCCACCATACCCAGCCAGGGAAATTACCGTTTAGAGTGAAATTCTGAAAACATATAAACGTAGTTACAGGTAAAAGAGGTGCTATTGAGAAGAAATATCAGGAATGTGGCTGAGTCCCTAAAAGTGCTGGCTTAGCTAGAATCAGGACAGACCTCTATCTTTAGTAAAATCTGAGTTGAAGCCAAAACAATGAGAAAGAGGTCTAAGGGAAGATGTCACAGGAGGGAGGTACTCTCCAAGAACAAGGGCCAAGGCCTTGAGTGGAAACAGGATGGGGCAGAAAAGCCAGTGTGCCCTGTGAGTGGAAGGAGATGGGGAGAGACTAGAGTGGGCGTACGAAGGCATCAGGAAGGGGTGTAGGTTTAATTCAAGGGATCGCAGGAAGCCATGGGAAGATTCTGAGCAGCCGGGTGAATGATTCGATTTCTACTTTAAATGAATGCCTCTCCTTGACTGCTCTGTGGGATAGCCAATGGATTAGGGAGAACGTAGGAGGCTGCTGCCAGCACAACACACGTACAACATTAAGGTCCTTTTTTTTTTTAATCAGTAGAAGGAGTACACTTTAAATTCATGATACAAAGTCTATAGTAAATGTATAAACCAGGAACAGTCATTCATTATGACTATCAAGTATTATGTATTGTAGGTAACCTTTTGTGCTAGATTTTAATACAAGTGGCAGCACCGTAGAACTGTTTGCACCAGCCTCACCACAAATGCATGAGCAATGCATTGTTTTATGATGTTATATGAGCTACATCACCAGGCCTTAGAAATTTTTCGGCTCCATTATTATGAGACCACCATTGTATATTTAGTCCATCACTGAACAAAATGTCATTATGTAGCACAAGACTGTATCTGACTTTTTAGGGGGATGTATAAAAATTTGAAAAAACAGCTAAATATATCCCCATCAGCAGATAAATAATCTACTCCTCTCCACAAGGTTGTCCCAAATACATTTTGTCCAGGAGACCCTTGCCCCTATACATCAACACACAGTAGTCATGAAAAAATCAGTAACTTAGAGATAAGCTCTTAAAAAGGTAGTAGTGCCTCACCTCATAGAAAAGTAGATCTTAACTAGAAAAAAAAATTGAGAAATAAAATAAAAAGCTCCTCTAGAAAGCTATTTCTATCCAGGGTCTCATAACTCTAAAAATACCCTCGTTTGGGTTGAGCACTGTGGCACACACCTGTAACCCCAGCACTTTGATAGGGATTGCTTAGGGTCAGGAGTTCAAAATAAGCCTGGGCAACATAGTGAGGCCCCATCTCTACAAAAAAAAATTTTTATAATTAGCCCATTGCTGTGGCACATGCCTATAGTTCCAGCTACTTGGAAAGCTAAGGTGGGAGGATTCCTTGAGCCCAGGAGTTCATTGCTGCGGTGGGCTATGATTGCACCAGTGCATTCCAGCCTGGGCAACTGAGATCCTGTCTCTAAAACAAAGCAAACAAAGAAAAATCACCCATGGTCAACATCATCATTTAGGCTAACTGCATTTTTTTTTTTTTTGAGACAGTCTCACTCTGTCGCCCAGACTGGAACATAGTGGCATGATCTTGACTCAATGCAACCTCTGCCTCCCAGGTTCAAGCAATTCTCGTGCCTCAGCCTCCAAGTAGCTGGAATTTCGGGAACCTGCCACCACACCCAGCTAATTTTCGTATTTTTAGTAGAGATGGGGTTTCACCATGTTGGCCAGGCTGGTCTCGAACTCCTGACCTCAAATGATCTGCCTGCCTCAGCCTCCCAGAGTACTGGGATTATAGGCGTGAGCCACCGCGCCCGGCCGCTAACTGCATGTTCTCTAAAACACAGAGAAAATCTCCCTCCAGATTTGAAACAGAGCAGATGCACTAGAAGGTGTAAAGAAAGCACAAAAGCTTCATTAACGGAATTCACGACAGAACTTAGAAGAAAATCATACCTGGGAAGGAGAATCTTGTGCCAAAGGAGATTTCCTAGCATTCTTTATATTTTGCTGCCGAGCAATGAAACGAATCAGATGGTTTGTTTCAGGAGAGCCCCGAGCACCGACTGCAGAACGTCGTCTACATTTTTTAAGGTAGGATGATGACTTTCCTGTAATGAAACTCTCTTATAAATTGGAACAAAACAAGGCAATCATCAGTAACCACATCCAATACTCGTGATGTACCAGCCTGAGAGAGAAAACATGATAAACATGTGCTACAAAAAACTCAGTGGAGAGTTACTGGCACAGTCATTCATATACAATCAGTGGAAGAGGAATCTTTTTGTCTGCTGACTTAGTCTATGCTCCTAGAACAGTGCCTGGTACATAGAACAGTTATTAAAAGTTGTTGAATAAATACATGAACACATTTTAAGTTTTCATTTTTGTTTCTTATTTCCTACACACAGATGGCTTTTGCTTTTGACTCAGTATTTTTCTTTTTCTAAATAAGTCAGTTTTATCCCCAGCAACTGAAAGGTAAGATCTCCACCTAGGTACATGCAGTCTCAGGTTCTTAATTCTTCAAGATGATTGTTTCTTTCTGATACCTACCATCAGCACTACCCTGAATTTTGGACATATGCCTAAGCACACAAAATGAATCCAGCCTTTTAAAGGTCTAAGAGTGATGTTTTTGAGAATGAAAGTTAGGGTGGCGTGCCACTTTCGCCTTGTCTTATGTATTACCTGGTCTAGTGCCCTGTGATATTCAAGACTTCCATTATCCTCCAATTCTAAATGCTATTCTCTGATCCAATTCCATTCTCATATAGTATTTCCTTCTTTTCCATCTAAGTCAGACTTCACAAGTAAACTTCATTTCTACTGCTCGAAGGACATTAGCCAGAATCAATCTTCTGTTTGTGTTTTTTTTTTTTTTTTTTTTTTTGGAGACAGAGTTTCACTCTTGTTGCCCAGGCTGGAATGCAATGGTGCGATTTCGACTCACGGTAACCTCTGCCTCCCAGGTTCAAGCGATTCTCCTGCCTCAAACTCCTGAGTAGCTGGGATTACAGGCATGCACCACCATGCCCGGCTAATTTTGTATTTTTAGTAGAGACGAGGTTTCTCTATGTTGGTCAGGCTGGTCTCGAACTCCTGACCTCCGGTGATCTGCCTGCCTCGGCCTCCCAAAGCGCTGGGATTACGGGCTTGAGCCACTGAGCCCAACCCTGTTTGTGATTGTTAAAGGAGGTACATCCTGCTCTTTCAGTATTATATTTTCTTAATTGCTCTTAAACTTTCTCTTATTTTTGCCATAAATGAAAACAAAATGCATTATTACTATTCATATCATACACCCTCCTGTATCCTAGGTGACAGGTCAAAAAGTGACTCACACACACATTATTTTCTAGTATTGGCATCAAGCACGACTCTGACTTGGGAACATTATCATGCTGGGTGCCCTGCGATTCCGTGATCCCTGCTATGCTAAATGAACTGTGCATGTGCAAAGAAGTCTCTCTGAAGAAGCAAGTTTGCAGAGTAGGCAATTTAGGTACCTAAAATATGACAGTACGTATAAACAAATAAAGCTGAGTTATATTAAAGTTATTTTTAAACTTGAAAAGCATTACAACAGAATGACAACTTTTCTTACCTGCAGAGTTCCTAACAAAGCTTTCAGGTGTAATTCCCAATTGCTCTACGGTTACTGTGGAAAAGTTCAAAGGTGATTTAAAAGTATCTGGTGTGCAAGGATTAGGAGGTAATTCGGCATGCTTCTGAGGAGTCACAATCTTCCCAGTTCCCAAAATGAAAGAGGCATTTCCTGAAACGGACGACATATTGTAGGGGTGAGGACAACTCTCTGTCTAAACCTTCAACTTCACAAGGAGGCAGATCATCACATACCAGCATTATTCATTGCAGACTCCTTGGTTTCAGGGGGCTTGTCTTTTGAATTGGCATCCATCTAAGAGGTGAAGAAAAACAATGAAAAATAACCCCACCAGCAAGATGAACGTGATTCGATCACGTACCTTATTCAGGACTGAATTGTAATACAGTCCATACTGGCATAGAAACACACGTCACAGGTTTCATTTTTTATTTTAATTTCTGTGGGTATACAGTAGATGTATAATTTATGGGGTACATGAAATATTTTGATACAGGCATGCAATTCGTAATAATCAAATCAAAGTAAATGAGGTAGCCATTATCTCAAATATTTATCCTTTTTGTTATAAACAATCCAATTATACTTCGTTATGTTTAAATGCACAATTAAATTATGGACCGCCACCCTGTTGTGCTAGCAAATACTAGATCTTATTCATTCTTTGTTTTTCTACCTATTAACCATCTCCACTTCCTTCCCATCCATCCCCAATACACTTCCCACCCTGTGCTAACCATTCTTTTACTCTAAGCGCGTACTTTTAAAGCCAAATTAAACAGAAAGAAATGGAGAAAACTGCTGTTCAGGCACCAAAGCAGACCCCAAAGGATAAGCCATGGCTTTTCAACCGTAGCGAAAACCTGAATCATAAGGGTACCCCTCTCAAGACGCAGCTCTATCCATTTCCAGAAATTCTCTCAACAGGTCCGGATGCACTCCTGGTCACCCAGAGCAGCTCCTGACAGGAGTACTAATTCTGTGCTGCAGGGTAAGCCGAACAAAGTGCCTAGAAATGCCCCGGAGAAACAGCCCCGTGGCAGCGCGGATGCAATCCTACCTCTCACGCCGCACCTGAAGGCCCGCCAGGCAGACAGGCTTACTCCCAGAGCCCCGTGGCAGGCGAGCGTCGCGTCGGCCGCTCCTTCCAGACCCCGGCTCCTCTGTCCGGAAGGGCTCTCCTGGCAAAGCACCCGCAGCCGGGAGCCGCTCTTCGAACCCGGAGCCCGAGGTCCCGACGGCTGACCTGGACTCACAGCCTGCGCTGATCCTGGCCTGCGCTCTGCCCGGCAGCCTCCTCCACCCGCCTCCTCCGCCCGCCGACCGATTCAAATCCCCGACCCCGCCCCTCGGTACCGAATTTACTCTACGAATCACTCCGCCACCTCCCCCTTCTCCAGTCCGCGCACACTCCGAGCGCTCCCAGGCCTCTCCCTCGGCACTGGAGTGGCTTCCTGGGCTCGGAGAGGGACCACCGCGAGCTGCAGTCAACCCGAGGACTACAGACACCTGCCACTGCCTTGTGACCTCGGGGACTACTTTTCAGGAGAGTCTCGCGGAGTAACGCTTCTCTTAGCGCTTTAACTCCGCCTCCCACCTTTCTATTGGATGCTGCAAACTTCGAAAAGACTCATTCAACCAATCCTAACAGAGCGACGAGCTGGCTCTTACCCAATCAGTCCGTCCCTACCGCAGCCGTTTCCTAGCTGGGCCGGCTTGTGGGCGGGGCTAACGCTGGAGGAGGGGCTGACTGGTGCTTGGGTCCCTTTCAGCGCTCCACCTCCTTTCCCCAGACCCCGCCCTCGTATGCAGATAAGCGCTACCTAAACTAGAGGGTGCGCCTGCTCAGTAACGCTGGAAGCCGCCGTCCGGCTCCAGGAGCCTCTCTGATTGGCTGATGCCCCTTCCCGTCTACTAGCCTTCAGCGTCTCTTCCCTCCCTCCGTCCCGGCTAGGTTAGCCAGAGCCCGCCCGATACTGGGTGCTGATTGGCTGGACTCTGTCCGGTGACGCGGGTTGGTTGGTACGGCAGAGTGTCAGTCTCGGAGAGGTGGGGGAAGGGCCCCAGGCAGGCTGAGGAGCCTAGGGGCGGGGTGGGAAGGAGGACCGGCCGAACCTTGGGTGTGGGACAGAGTGCGTGCGTGTGGTGTGTCCCCAAGGGCAGGAAGGTGGCGAAGGGAGGCGAATCCGAGTGGGTGGAGGGAGGGGAAGGGCGGGAGGAGAAAAAGGTGGGAGGAGGACCAGGTGGGAGGGTGGCGGCTCACTCAGGACCCAGCGGGGGCAGCGCGATGAGGCGGGTGACCCTGTTCCTGAACGGCAGCCCCAAGAACGGAAAGGTAACGGGGGCGTGAGGGGGCGCGGCGGGCCGGGGGTCGGGGCGAGGGCGGACGGTGCGGAACCGGCTGGCGGGGCAGCGGTGAAGTTGGGTAGAGGGGCTGGGAGGTGGGCGTGCGCGGGCTGGGGGCGCTCGGGGACAGCACAGGGTCCCCGCGGCCTCCTCCCGACCCTCAGGACCCCCGTGCCCGAGCCTGCCCTTCAGTGCCTCAGCTGCCTGGGGGCCGGCGCGGTTCGGCCCGGGGGCTCCGGGTCTCCCGGATGCTTGGTGCGGGGGGCGCGGGGACGGGGGCGCGGGGAGGGCCGCGGTCACCTGGGCGCCCGGGCGGTCGCGCCTCTTCCCGCCTCTCCCCGAGACCCCGCTCCCGCCTGCGGGAGGAGGCGCGCCGGCTCCGGTGCTGAGTAATGATCTGCTCGGAAAGTGGCGGCGAGCACCAGAGCCTGTGGAGATGGGTCAGGGAGACAGAAGTAAACTGCCCGTGGATAAACAAAATCTCCCATCCGAGGTCGCAGACAGGATTTTTAAAATGGGGGCATTTTCTTGTTGATTTTTGCCCTCCTCTCTGAGATGCCTCAAGCCCCCACGCCCCGCCGCCGCCAAACTTCTCTGTACTCTTTTTATTATTTTGCCTTATTTTGATTCCCTAGAGGACGGGTACAGCAGACCCAAAAGGGATCGATTTGACAGTCGCCTTTGCTGTGTTAGGCCTTTGCGGAGAGTGTGGTGCTCAGTGTTCTTCCAGCGCTGGAGCAAGCCAAAACGAATTCTCTTCCTTCCCAGCCTTTTGCCCCACCCATGAAAGTTGTTCTGCTCCTTTGGGAAATTTTCACTGTTCGAGGCAGACATTTATTGCGTTGCTAAATGATACCTAGAAGTAACTCAGCCTTTACGAGTCTAAGGTAAAGGTAAATGGGTCTCGCTGTGTTGGTTGCCAAAATACTCTGCTGCCTGCACATTCGGGGAACACTGTAAATTTTTAAATAGTGAAATTGTCCAGTGGCATTAAAAATGGCTTTCCGATTATTCAGTGTAGAGTAAACATGCTCCGAAAATTCGAACCAGAGTGTGGTTTGTTGGCTATAATTTTATGTTCTTTTGGTCTTAGAGATTTAATACTCATTTAAAATCAGAATTCGTATAAATTCGAGTTCTTGAGTTATCATGAATGCTACCCCGAAAATATGTTCACGAAGTTTACATTTCTCATCACTATTAACTTTTTCTAAACCTGTTCTGTACTTAGCTACTACCTGTTATCTAAAACGTATGTTGTTACTCTAAGAAAGATTTAGTATGTTCAAAATTGGTAATATTTCTCAAAAACAAACTTCTGGTTGACCTTTTTAATGCAGTATCTCTGCTATGTTACTCATGGAAGACAAATATTTAAACCTAGTCATAAATATTTTTGCTCTAAATCTCTCCCAAATCCACTCAATTTGGTTGTCAAAAATTAACTGAGTTGGTCTTTCCATATTGTTGTTCACACGGATTTTTTTTTTAAGCTATCTAGTTTTGACTAGATTAGATTCTTGGATTTAAATTTTATTTACTTTAAAAATATTCTGCTAGAGAATCTCAGAAGATTGGGGAAAATGCATCTCAAATAATTAAATATAAATATGTTTATGTTACAACGTAAAAATCCAAACTGGAGAGTACTAGATAAAAAGAAGCAAAGCCATGATCTTCACTGCTCAGCTGATGAACATATTCTAAGACGTTGGCAGTGTTTTCTCTCCCTTCAGTTGATTAAAAAAATTTATAATTATTCTTATTTGACAAAAGAGCTGCATAATACATAACAGCTTGCATTTTTATATATAAAGTGACTAATTGGATTGGCATGATCATGACATGAATGTTCATTAAGAATAAGCTGGGAAAAGTGCTACTCAAATAGAATAGAATTTGATTTCCCATCCACCAGTTGGAATATCTGTACCACTTACTTTATCTCCCTTACCTCGCTTCTGCTTTTGTTTCCTGGTTATAAGAATAATCTCTGTTTTTTCAAGTAAGTTTCCCTCTCATAGCTTGTTTAGTAGTTACCAGACTGTGAGACTATGAAGCCTGGGGAAGGGCGTGGAGAGGCACAGAATTCTTCCAAGGTGCTGTGTTATATGCTCGCCAGGAATTGTCTGTGTATTGAATGAATGTAACTAGTGGTGGACGTATTTGACGTTGGAGAGAGGGCTATGCATTCTCTAAACTGTGGTTTCTGGAGTGAGATGACACACCACAGACAGTGTCCAAGACGATTTATTGGAGGTCAGGAAGAAATATACCTTTTGTTTATATCTTACACTTAAAAATATAAAATAATGTGAAAACTTGATTTTTCCGATCTAGAAAGACACAGGTGCCTCCAGTCACTGAACATTCAGCTGGTCTCAGGTCTCCTGTAAGAAGGGACGGCCTTCACATGTGAAAAGGTTAATAGTGTCTTCTTCACAGATTGGTTGTCATTGACATTGTGATATGGAAGCTTACAACCGGCACATTAAGATTTATATCTAGTTTTAACCAAATTAACCCTCACCAAAATGCCAAGTGATCTTAAAGGATTACTTCAAAGAAACTGCAGCTTGAGACAATATTAATTATGCAAGCACAAGTAAACAATGAGGAAATGGCAGAAGCTGCCACTTCTCCTAGTATGTATAAACCATGAGACTAAAAAAAGAGTGGGTCTCTTTGGACCTGAGAAGTTGAAACAGTGCTGAGTTTTAAAGAAGAATATTTGAAGTCCTATTTATTAATTGCTATTAATAATCAGCCTCTCCCTAAGTGTATGTTATTCTTTGAAATATTAGCCATTGATAGGATGAGTCATCCTAGTTAGCAAGATATTTAGAAATAAGTTCTAGTGCATGAAGACAAATGGCTTCAGATTTTTTTCTTTTCTGATTTTTTGGTTTTTGTTTGTTTTTTACTTTTATTTATTTATTTATTATTTATTATTATTATTTTTTGAGACGGAGTTTTGCTCTTCCACCCAGGCTGGAGTGAAGTGGCGTGATCTCAGCTCACTGCAACCTCTGCCCCCCAGGTTCAAGCGATTCTCCTAACTCAGCCTCTTGCTTAGCTGGGATTACAGGGGCTTGCCACCATGCCCTGCTAATTTTTGTATTTTTAGTAGAGACGGTTTTCACCATGTTGGCCAGGCTGATCCTGAACTCTTGACCTCATGTGATCCACCTGCCTTGGCTTCCCAAAGTGCTAGGATTACAGGCGTGAGCCACCATGCCCGGCTTATTTTAATGTTTAAAGTCAATCCTGTATTTGGCAGAATTTCACTAAATTTAATGATAAATATTTAGGAGATTCTTAGTGGCTAATTCATAGTCTGAGTCACTGAAAGTCCTCATCATTTGGGAAAACATGTACTTTCTAACAGTGGAATGTAGTTCATAAATACATAAATATACAGATGTTTGAGTACATGCCCAAAAGTATGTTACCAATGGGGTGTGTGGTCAGAAACATTTGAAGGCCTTAGTTCTAATCACTGGAATCTTTGGTTTAAATTTTGAGGGTTTTTTTTGTTTTTGTTTTTTAAAACTGCTCCGAAAGAGTCAGTTATGTTGTTTGTACCTGTCATCCTTTTTCCATGTGCCTCAACATTTTCGTTATTCTTTTTAATATTCCCTGTAAGAGTTGGCATTAAGGAAATTGAAATGGGGACTTGCACATCTGCATGCAGTGTGTGGCTTCTGAGCAACTTAATGTCAGTGCAGAGTTTCTATACGTCTTGAACACAGAGTGCTTTTTTTACTTCAGAATATTCAATAATGAGCTGTGCAAGTCCTAGGCCTTTTGTATACTGATTAATTCATCATTCATTCATTCATTCATTCAGTGAACACTTAGTAAATGCCTTCTGAGTATGTGGCATCATGCCAAACATGGCAAACAGGGTAGGAAATACTTTCATTCTGTACCGTGTTTTCATTCTTGGTCCAAGAAATAACTTTTCTTCAGGTTTTGGTATTAGGTCAGAAACATGTTGGGGGCAGGCACAATGGCTCATGCCTGTAATCCCAGCACTTTGAGAGGCTGAGATGGGAGGATTGCTTGAGTTCAGGAGTTCAAGACCAGCCTGGGCAACATAGTGAGATCCCATCTCTAAAACAACAACAACAACAAAGAATGAAAAAGAAATATGTTGTTAGTAGTAAGTATCCAGGTTTGAATCCATTACGTTGTTAGAGTTGGAGAAAGGTGAAAATTTATCTGAACCTCTGCCTCTGAAGGCTAAACATTAATAAGAACCTAGTGAGGGCCCACTTTTTAAGCTTGAACATTTCTTAATATATTTGATACATAGAAAAGAATACAATAAAGAATATACATAAAAAGAGGAACATAATATAGCAAACATCTGTAAATCTGCCAGATAACCCAAGAAGTAGCATGTTATCAATAACATAATGTGTTTATCCACGTTCCTGTACTCCTGTTTTGTTTTTCTCTTTGCCGTGTGTTTTTAAATAGTTTTGTCACATATATATGCATAACTAAATTACCTTTTTTTTTTTTTTTTGAGTCGGAGTCTCACTCTGTCGCCCAGGTTGGAGTGCAGTGGCATGATCTCTGGCTCAATACAACCTCCGCCTCCCGGGTTCAAGCAATTCTCCTGCCTCAGCCTCCCAAGTAGGTGGGATTACAGGCGCCCGCCACCATACCTGGCTATTTTTGTGTTTTTAGTAGAGACAGGGTTTCACCATATTGGCCAGGCTGGTCTCAAACTCCTGACTTCGTGATCCGCCAGCCTCAGCCTCCCAAAGTGCTGGAATTACAGGCTTGAGCCACCGTGCCCGGCCCTCACCTTTTTTTTTTTGAGACAGAGTCTCGCACTGTCACCCAGGCTAGAGTGCAGTGGCGCGATCTTGGCTCACTGCAACCTCTGCCTCCTGGGTTCAAGCGATTCTCCTGCCTCAGCCTCCTGAGTAGCTGGAATTACAGGCACGTGCCACCACTCCCAGCTAATTTTTGTATTTTTAGTAGAGATGGGGTTTCACCATGTTGGTCAGGCTGGTCTCGGCTGACCTCCTGATCTGCCCGCCTCAGCCGCCCAAAGTACTGGGATTACAGGCGTGAGCCACTCTGCCTAGCCACTAAGTTACATTTTTAAAAAATCAGCTTCGGGACATACGGTATCTCAAATTGATATTATACTGTATATAGTTTTTTGTGGAGACAATGTCTTCCTATATTGCCCAGACTGGTCTCAAACTCCTGGCCTCAAGCAGTCCTCCTTCCTCAGTCTCCCAAGGTGCTGCGACTACAGGCATGAGCCATCATGCCAGGCCAGTCCTTGCTTTTTTCGTTCAATATAATTCTCTTCCAACCATAATATCTGACATAGTGATAATTTATTCATTTTTACTGCTTTATTAAAGTACATGTTATACAAATACTACCATGATATTCCTGTCAGTGGACATTAGGTTGTTTATTTTCTTTATATTTTGTTGTTAAATTGACAGTGCTGTCATGAATATTTCTGTATATGTATCCTGGCACACAGCAGCAAGCATTTTTCTAGGGAGGTAGTTAATCAAACTTTAGCATGCATCAGAGTCACTTGGAGGAGGAGGAGGACTTGAGAAAACTGCTGGACTTCATCCCCAAAGATTAATATTCAGTAGGTCTGGGGTGGGGTAGGAATGTACATTTTTAATTTGCAGGTGAAATGTGGTTCAGATGCTGCAGGTGACAGGATCACACATTTGAGAACCACCACTCTAAGGTATAGACACATAGTTGTAATTATTGGGTGTTAGAATATGTAAATATTCAGTTTTGCAAAATAATGCCAGATTGTTTTTCAAAGTCATTGCAGTAATTTATATTCCCACCACCATTGCATAAATCTTCCCTATTGGTCCACATCCACTCCAACACTTGATATTACCAGTATTTTCCATTTTAAAATTTTCTTTTTTCACCTTAGAGTTAATTATCTCATCTTTTTTTTAAATTATCTCATCTTTTAAAGAATAAGATCATGTAAATATTTAAAATGTATTTGACTAAAAGTATAGGTAGAGAAAATTGAGTTCTGTATTTAGTTACTAGTGGTGATTAGTGGTTTTGTTGGGTAAATCAGCCTGCATAAATTCAACAATTTATGTGTATTGTATATTACATAATGCACAATAAATACTTGTGTATTTATCATAACAACTTTTTGCAAATTAATTTTTTTATTGGACCTTTAGGATCCAGGCAGACAGCCAGATTAGAAAATATTTAGTGATATGGTAAATTGTTTTTGATACTTTATTAGGATTGATTAAAGTGGCAATAAAAGTTGAATTCAAATACACAAATACTTGTGTATTTATTGTGTATTATGTAATAAATCTTGTGGGTATAAAAGAAAAAAATATTTTACATGCATGTGCAGGTTTTAATTTTTAAATTTAAATAATACAGGTTACAATTTGAAAATGGTGTTTAAAGGTAAATTAAAACTAGCCAATCGTACTAGGCATGGTGTTCCATTTACTCTCCAACTCATAGGCAGCTTTCACTTGTCATGGGATCTGAAATTTAAAAATAATTGACTCTGAAAAGTAGTATAATACAGACATCATGAACTTTAATAGACATGCTTCTCAATAAATGTAAAATGCTTCTATTCTTAGGGCCTAAGTTGTTAAGGTAGATAATCCCAGTGACATGGAAACATCAGGCCACATGGTGGAGATAACACATACAAAGTAAATGACCTTTGTAAGCACTATCATTTTATGATTTATTTGGCTCAGTATGAGGACAAAAACAATCTTAGTATATACTAACTGGAGCTTATGTCCATGATATACAAGATTTTTATTGCTCCTCTTTCTCAAAAGAGTTATATAAAGAAGAATGCATGTGCCAGTCTGTTTGCAACTTTCTCCGTAACTTAATCATCTTTTCCATATGTATGACAAATTTATGTTGATATATATATTTTAAAACCTGGTTTCTAATTAGTTTAAAATACAGAGTTTTTGCATATTTGAATATTAGTATTGCAACATAACTCCTTTTTATTTGTATGGTATTGTTAGTATGTGCGAATGATTA
Organism: Homo sapiens; assembly: GCF_000001405.40. Classification (NCBI taxonomy): domain Eukaryota; kingdom Metazoa; phylum Chordata; class Mammalia; order Primates; family Hominidae; genus Homo; species Homo sapiens. Next base: position 25,451,116 of record NC_000008.11, on the reverse strand, counting down.
GTTGGAAAACAAACGTCAAGAATAGCCCTCCAAGTGAAAACAAGTATATTGGCCCAACTTAAGGGAAATTTTCAAATTTCTAGAACTATAAGATTCTTCGTATTAATTTTAATTCTGTTTTCTCTAATTGACCACCCTTTGGTTATTTCACTTAAAGGAAATTGTTAACTGCCTGATTGCAAACTGCTAAAATAATTTTATTTATAGAACTAGTATCTGGAGCTATGGAGACCTTAAAATAAATTAAAACTTCCCCCCTTATTACAAAAGTAATATAGGTTCATTGTAACAAATTTGGAAAACAAACAAAATAAAGCAAAAAACTTAGCAGGGTGTGGTGGCTCATGCCTGTAATCCCAGCACTTGGGAGGCTGAGGCGGTTGGATCACGAGGTCAAGAGATTGACACCCTCCTGGCCAACATGGTGAAACCCCGTCTCTACTAAAAATACAAAAATTAGCTGGGCGTGGTGGCACGGTTTTACCATGTTGGCCAGGCTGGTCTTGAACTCCTGACCTCAGGTGATCCACCCACCTTGGCCTCCCAAAAAGTGCCGGCATTACAGGCTTGAGCCACCATGCCCAGACTGCTTTAGAATTGCATTTATACTGTGTATTTTTTTACCCTAATGACAGTGTAAGAGACTTAAATGAATATGACTGTCACACAAAAAAGGTGTGTCCTACTTCAACACTCAACATTCAAGAAATATTTGTCAAAGACCTGCTGTAAGCCAGGTAATGTACCATTTGAACCTATGGCGGTTATTAGTAGAACAGCTCAGGAATGTACTTCTTTAGTGCTGCTTATCAGCTTTACCAAGGGATAATTGGTCACCTCTATTCACAGAATTCATAACAACTTTTTGCAAATTAATTTTTTTTATTGGACCTTTAGGATCCAGGCAGACAGCCAGATTAGAAAATATTTAGTGATACGGTAAATTGTTTTTGATACCTTATTAGGATTGATTTAAGTGGCAATAAAAGTTGAATTCAATTTATACCTAGACTGTGCTCCTTAGTAGTTTTACAGCCTACAAGGAAATACCTGTTGTACTTTGATTGCCTTGAAAATAGTCCTTGCCAAGCAGTATGTGTGGTTTTTTTCTATCATCTGGTCACATTTGACTTCAGTGGGGAAGAAACAGAAGATGGCAACATCCCAACCCTCTAAATAAAACAACAAACAGGTCTTGAGTTGTATTTCATCAGTTTGTTACTTTGGGTTCCTATGTCATGGGAAAGCCTAATAGAATTAAAATAGTTGTGTTTTTTTTTCTTCATTTTTTTTTTTCTGCTCTTTAAAATGGCACTGTCTAATAGAACTACTGAGATGATGGAAATTTGTGCTATTCAATATGGTAACAATTAGCCAGTGTGGCAGTTGAGCACTTGAAATGTGGCTAGTGTGACTGAACTGCATTTTAACTTTTAATTTTAATAGATTAAAATTTAAATAGACTCATGAAGCTAGTGGCTTCCACACTGGACAGCACAGCTTTAAAACATGGCAGGTGGCCTTTATTTTCATCGGAAGACAATAGACCCACAGAAAAACCAAGTCAATCATATGGAAGTAGACGACAATTCAAGTTAGTGTATTTTGAATAAGTCATATAAGATCTTAAGCTATAATATTACATTAAGTATTAAGCATAATACAGGCAGGTGCATTCAACTTGCATCTATTTTTTGGTATGGCCAAGAGAGAACAGTGAAAGAGATGCTGAGAGAGAAAGTTGATGTTAGGGCAAGGAGGGGATATCAGGCAAAAGAAAGCCATACTGAGATGTAAGAGCCAGAGGTAAATAAGAGGGAAAAGAAAGATTTAGAAAATTCTTTGTATGATGGCAACTATGCCAAGAACATTGAATTGGGAAAGAGGTGCTTGTGCTTCTTACCCTCTTTTCACAGCACCTTCTGACTGCAGGAGTTGTTTTGCATCTGCTTTGGTCAATCTCTTGCTCCTTTGCATGTTTGCTTCTCTCTTCTCTGTCTTTACTCTCTTCATGCTCTTTGCCTTAACACAACCCCAGCTTTGCCGTGTGCAATGCCCTAGGTACTGTATTTCGCTTCGCTTTGTCCCAGGAATGTGTATAATGCAATTACAGAATACCTCACTGTGTTGCAGAGGTGAACAATCATAGGAAATATGGGGGACATGTTTTAGTCAGGCTTTTTTTTCTTTTTTTTTTTCTTGGAGAAGGAGTCTCACTTTGTCGCCCAGGCTGGAGTGTGGTGGTGTGATCTCAGCTAACTGCAACCTCTGCCTCCCGGGTTGAAGCAATTCTCCTGCCTCAGCCTCCCAAGTAGCTGGGACTACAGGCACACGCCACCACGCCCGGCTAATTTTTTGTATTTTAGTAGAGATGGGGTTTCACTGTGTTGCCCAAGCTGGTCTCGAACTCCTGAGCTTAAGCAATCCATCCGCCTCAGCCTCCCATAGTGCAGATTTTACAGGCGTGAGCCACCGCGCCCAGCCCTACTCAGGCTTTAATTATTTATGGCAAGCCTGCTGTGTGTAGGACACTGTGCCAAGTGCTTTGCAGTATTTTTTTTATTGTGATAAAAGATGGAACAAAATTTATTATTTTAACCATTTTTTAAATGTGTAATTCATTGACATTGTTTACATTCACAATGTGTGTAACCATCACCACGGTTTATTTCCAGTACTTGGTCATCATCCCAAACAGAAATTGTAACCATTAAGAAATAAGTCTCCATTCCCATCTATGCCTTGGTAACCTTTATTCTGCTTTCTTTCTCTATGAATTTGCCTGTGTTGGGTACTTTCATGTGAGTGGTATCATAGAATATTTATCCTTTTGTGACTGGCTTATTTCATTTAGCATACTGTCAAAAAGGTTCATCCATGTTGCAGCATGTGTCAGAATTCATGTCTCTTCTCTTCTCGCTTTGCTTTCCTTTCCTTTTTCTTTATTCTTTCCTTTCCTTTCCTTTTCTCTTTTCTTTTTCCTTTCCTTTTTTCTTTTCCGTCCCATCATGTCCAGGCTGGAGTGCAGTGGCGTGATCTTGGCTCACTGCAGCCTTGAATTGGCAGGCTCAAGTGATCCTCCCATCTCGGCCTCCCAAGCAGCTAAGACTACAGGCATGTGCCTCCATGCTTGGCTACTTTTTGTATTTTTTTGTAGAGACCATGTTTCACCATGTTGGCCAGGCAGGTCTCGAACTCCTGGGCTCAAGCGATCCACCTGCCACAGCCTCTCAAAGTGCTGGGATTACAGGCATGAGCCATTGTACCTGGCCTCATTGTTTCTTATTGCTGAATAATATTCCATTGTATATATATACCATATTTTATTTATGCAATTACCTGCTTATGGACACTTGGGTTGTACATTATTTTTTATAATGCACTTGGTTCCGCTTAAATTTTTCTTGCCTTCAACACTTTCCAAAATGCCCCAGCACTCTTCTGGCTTTCATCCTTCTGATCCAAGAGAAAAAAGTTAGAATCTGAGTACTCTGCTTTTGAAAAACTGCACACTCGTATGTTATCGAGCAGCTTTTTCCATGTCCTCCATTTACTGTATTTATTTAACTAGAAACTGTCCACTCTATTCCAGTCACTGGTGGACAGAGGACCAGCCTTAGTGCTCACTTCATATGGCATCTTGACATAATAAATCTTGGGACGTCCATGAGCTAGCTGACTGTGCTTCGTGTTTAGCTCTTCACCTACTTATTTTTCTTTTTTTAGCGGGGAGACAGAGCCTTGCTTGGTCATAAAGGCTGGAGTGCAGTGGTGCAACCTTGGCTCACTGCAACCTCTGCCTCCTGGGTTCAAGCAATTCTCATGCTTCAGCCTCTGGAGTAGCTACAGGCATACACCACCACACCTGGCTGATTTTTGTATTTTAGTAGGGATGGGGTTTCTCCATGTTGGTCTGGCTGGTCTCAAACTCCAGGCCTTAAGTGCTCTGCCCGTCTCAGCCTCACAAAGTGCTGGGATTACAGGCATGAACCACTGCGCCCGACCCTTACCTAGTTTTTATTCCTAACTTTCAGAGGTCATAACTGATAATGGTGCAACTGCACAACTCAGTCGCTGGGAACCCATAGTTACAGTTAGGACCAGGGCACAAAATTCACTTACATGTAGAAATTCTCAGCACCCTGCTTAGACAGTTGCATGTATCTTGCACATATATCAGACTGCTTGATTCACAGCAGGACACATCAATTCATTGTCACCCAGCTGTTTGCTCTGTTCTTAAATGTTAGATGCTAAAATCTGGCTTAGTTAGTGAAGAATTAAATAAATGAGGTGAGAAGTTATCTTTTCTGTGGTAGTTGATGTCGTTAATGATATAATAAACAGTACCAGCACACTCCTGTTCTAAGGATGAACCATTCAAATAAATAAATAATAAAAGGACAACATAATAGGGACTTACTAGGTCTCAGGCACTTTGCTAAGCTCTTATGCATGAACTCATTTCATAATACCTTCTGAAGTAGGTGCTACTATTTTCTTCATTTCTAGTTAAAGCAACAGAAGCATCAGTAGGTTGACTCAAGTTGACAGCTAGAAAATGTCAGACTCTAGATCGAAGTGTAGGTCTATCTTACTTCACAACTGGAGCGCTATTTAACACACCTTAGGATTGTAGATTGTTTTGGTCAGAGATGATTTCTTATGTTCTAGTTGAGGAGTCGGCAATATTAGGCACCAAGTGAATAAATGAGTCATGGAAGAAAAGGGGGCACTGTTAAGAACCTTTTGAAGTCTCCTTTTATATGATAATCTTTTTAGCACTGTTCTAGTGTGGTAGTTTATAACTTATGGGGGATAACATGTATTAAAGAAATTGTTCATATTATTCTGGTGTGTTTACAGGTGGTTGCTGTATATGGAACTTTATCTGATTTGCTTTCTGTGGCCAGCAGTAAACTCGGCATAAAAGCCACCAGTGTGTATAATGGGAAAGGTGGACTGATTGATGATATTGCTTTGATCAGGTAACCTTCACCTTTTTATAAGCTGTCAACAGTGTGCCTCAACTTCTTGGTGCTATGCTGTTTCCCTTAAGCAGTAATTTAATCACTGTTAAGAGTACAGGATTTTGGCAAGTGTTTACCTAGAATTTGCTCTTTGGAATTTAAATCATTTGGGCTTAAGGTGAATTGATCAGCTAGAAAACCCTTAGTACATTTCAGTATACTGATAGTCTTTCTGCATAGTTCATATATAGCTATGAGGAATTTCTTCTTTGTGGTACTAGAGAAGGATCTAGTAAGACGTGCAGTTTTTAACATTAAAAATCTAATTCATCTCTTCACTTTTATATGCGCCTGCTTGTTAATCATTTCCTAAGAATGCTTTGCATTTTATAATCATTACAAAGGCCAGATTTTGTAAAAACTTTATAAATATGATAGAATTCTAAGTAGTGATATCACCAGTGATCCACCATAATTATAGGCTTATGTTTGTACCTTAAATATCTCAGGCAGATTTATCTCTTTAAAACAAGTGTGTAGTTCACCTTACTTCATCTTCATGAGGTCAGAGAATTTTGGAGCAGGAAGATGCTTAACAAAGAAGATGGTAAAGGGAACACAAATTAAGTATTGACTATGCCACTTATGTTATCATTGCTTTGCCTGAGTTATACCATTTAATTGGCAAAACATGAGTTTTTTTTATCAGTGATGTGAAGATAATGATGCTTTAACCTATAATGATATACAAAGTCTCTGTATAAATCTAGATCAAAATGACCTTTCAGTATAATATACTGCTTTGCAGTTAATCAGTTCTAGACCCTTCATTTTACAGATGAGGAAACGAATTACCTGTGAAGCTGAGGACTCACTCAGGTCATACAGCTAGTTGGGTTTTGTTAATGAAAACAGATTTTTATACTAATCTGAAAAAGTAAACTGGCATGGTGAACAAGTAGGAAATACTATACACTACATTTTAAATCCAAATAAATTAGGATAACTTCTTAGTTTTTCAATATGTATCTCCCAGCTTCTTTCAGTTTCTAAGGAAAACTGAGTCACATTGTTGGATGATGATCCTCATCAACCTAACTTTCTTCTTAACAAACACGAACTCTGCTTCTTAGAAAAATTTAACGTGTCCTGTGATGTCCTATAGGAAATAAAAACGTCTACAATGGAAGGTTATAATTGAAGCCTTCTGAGCTATAAGATATCTGTTTATTCATTTTTGGTTCACAATACAGTATCTGGGGTAATGGGTTGAGGAAGAGGATGTGCACTGATTGTCCAGAACTCTGGGTTATGTGCAGCCATTTACATTTGGGTGTATGGTGGATGTGTAGTGGGTAAACACTGACAGTAGAGTTACTTCCAGCTATATTTTTCCTAGATTTAATATGACAGTTTATTTCATCTCCAAAGCACACAACAGCTGATGATTTAGGGGTAAAAAATGTAAAGAAAAAAAGAATAGTTGGCTGTGACTTTAATCTATCCTTTCAGCATAATTATTCATTCTCAATTGATAAGAAAGCTGAACTCAACATCGTTTGTGTAAGGAGATTTTTTTCCCCACATTTCAAAAGTACTTTCATGTGCAAGATCTTATTTTTGAATTTAAATTCAAAGACAGTTAAGTTCAAGGGGTTAAACAAAGCATTGGAAACTTAGCTTCTTTGCAGTCTAGATTGATAGCAAAACCTATTGTCTATATAATTGTAAGGAATAGTTCCTATAAGCAACAGATAATTAATGTGATTTTTAGATTTTGATGGTAGCTTTTTAAATTTTGATTTCCCCAGGGATGATGATGTTTTGTTTGTTTGTGAAGGAGAGCCATTTATTGGTAAGTGACTTTAAAAGCCAATTTTATCTGCCAAAAAAAAAAAAAAAAGATGGAATGACAATTATTTTAAATGGGGCTATTAAGCTTAAACATTAAAAATGATCTTATGGCTGTATTCAAATCTTCACACTTTTTGATTCTGCATTGGGTATGTTAAAGTAAATTTTTTACTATATGATCGTAGTTTATTATAGATGCATGTTTTACATGCCGTTAAAATGCTCTGGAGGTATACATATTCATTAACTGTAACATAGTAAGGTAGTTTTGATCTTAGAAACAATTGTTTTGTTTGAAAATTTTTTCTTTGATGGTGAATGTCAAAATTTTTCTACGTGTTGTATTACATATTTGTGAGTAAATATTGCTTGCGTAAGTAGTGTTTGACAGTATTTCACAGTGATCAGATCAGCCAAAAAATGACTTGGTATCAACCACACACACAGGTGTGCACACACACTACCCTTTGATTTGGAAGAAAGCTTATAGTTGTATATCTCAAAAGAAAAGGCCGAAAGGAAGATAAAGTATTTGATTTATTTAGATCCATACAGTCCACACTCTGAATATTTAAGTATTTTTTAAAGCATCATACTAATTGCATTTGGTGAGTGGAAGTAGTTCTCACGATTGTTGCACAGGCAATTGTCAACTTAGAAGTAAGTGCATACTCTTGTCTGTCTGTCTCTACCTTAAAACTGTAAGCAAGAACTTCTCATCTTCTTTTATCCATTGGCCTAACAGTGACTGGCAGGCAATGGTCACTTAATTGGTCCACTGCATACAAACACAATAAAAAATGATCAATTAAGGTTTTTTTATTGTTATTAACTCATGGATTTAAAAATATTTGGTATATTTTCATCCTCTGCATTTATTGATGTTCAGATGGTCTTAATTTTTTGCCACTGGAAATCTCTTCGGGTCTTTTTAACAAACCTTGTTGGATTTTATGGCTTTCTTATTATCTGGAATAACTGGTGTTCATCTTAAAACCTTTTCCTGTCTCAGACCTGGATCAACATTTTTCCAACAAGCCTTGATTTTTTTAGTGGGAAGTGTCATTCCAAGACAAATCTGGGTGCTAGGGAGGCTCTTCGCTATTGGGTTCATTATTGTTGCTATGCCTTTTGGTGGACAGAATTGAAAATATATAGGTAGAGATAAAATTTGTATATAATGTATGTTATAGGATATAAAGTTTATATGTCATATATAACAAAATATGGATAGATGAAATAACTCATGGCTTCATAGTAGTACTTAAAGTTTATATTAAGGATTATAAGGTTTTTACTTATCCTCTTCTGTCTTACATCTGTGTCTCCTTTTTCTATATCAATAGTCCTGACTTTCAGGGACATGGAGACTAATAGAATTATAATGTCACATAATTACTCATTTACTTTACCCCATACAGAACACATCTAAAAATGTCAGAGTAACAAACTCAATACTTTCAGTACCAATATAATTACTAAAAACAGTTAAATGTTTTTCATATGCTAAATCCCTTCTCCCCTTACTTAAAAATAATTGTATTGTTTCTGAATTGTCGGAACATATAGCCATTGTATATTATAGTGTCTCCCTTTATACACTCATTTAGTTTTACTTCTTCAAGCGTACACTTACCTCCAGTCCTTTTGTTATGTTTCCAGTGTTTATCTGAAACTTGTTCTCTAGTAGATTTCTCTCCAAGATACTATGAGAACAATATTCGGTGACATCTTCCAATGGCAAGATGCCATTGCCATCCACCATCTTTATATAATTTTGGTATAAAATTATATGTCAAAGCTTATTAAATTATAAACTTTAGTATGTGTAACTTGTTCTGTGTTAATTATACCTCAGTGAAGCTATTGAAAAATCCTTGGTTCACATTATTTTTCTTTGAATATCTTAAATATGTTACTGCATTTTATTCTGGCCTGAGGTGTTGGTCTCAAAAAATCTGATCTTTCTTATGTGATTATTTTTCATAGATCACCCAAAGGATATTTCTCTTTCTTTAAAGTACAGTAATTTTAGTAGAATATTTATTGGTGTTCTGAGTTGTTCTGGATTGGTTTTCTCAGTATGTGATGGATCCTTTCAATATATAGTTTCAAGTGTATGTATTTTAAAATTTCAGTACAGTTCTCTTGAAGTTGACATTTTTATTTTGTTCACTTTGATTTGATTTCCTTCTTTCAGGACTCTATTGTATGTAGGGTGGATCTTTTACACTTGTCTTTTATGTTTGAAACTTTCTTTTCCTTTCTTTTTATTTTATTTATTTTTTTGAGACAGGGCCTCACTTCATCACTCAGGCTGTAGTGCAGTGGTATGATCTTGGCTCACTACAGCTTCAACCTCCTGGGTTCAAGTGATCCTCCTGCCTCAGCCCCCAACCAGGAGCTGGGACTGCAGATGTGTGCTACCATGCCCGGATAATTTTTTTGTATTTTTTGTAGAGATGGGGTTTTGGGGTTTTGCCCTGTTGCCCAGGCTGGTCTCGAACTCCTGAGCTCAAGCAATCCACCCGCCTCGGCCTCCCAGAGGATTATAGGCATGAGCCACCACGTCTGACCATTTCTTTTTAATTTTTCAAGCTATTCTCTTTTTTACCTTTTCTTTCCCTTAAGTCATTGTCTATTGTGTTTAATCACTCTTGTATTTCTTTTGCTTTAGTCTTTAAAAATCATTTTTCTTTTATTTCTAATTCTCTTGGGAGTTCTTGCTACTCATTTCTGAATTTTTAAATCCTGGTTTATATTGTTGTTTTATACCTTGTATAAACTTCTTTTAGCATGTTTTGGAATATTAGATTATAATTTTGATCTATTTTGTGGGTATTTCTGGCATGTTTTCATTATCTATAAGGACAATTATTATTTTAACACTTTTGTATTAACATTTGATCAGTCTTTTTGTATTGCTCATTTTTATATGAAATTAGTTTTTCTTAACTTGAAAAGAGGGCTGACAGGACAGTTTTTCCAATTTCATGGCTCTAGAGTTCCCTTTTCTGTTGTTTTTGTGAAGTGTTTAAAATACACAGAACTCATTTTCTGATATATTCTGGTCTATTAAACCTCTTAACTTTCATCTGCAGTCCTTTTTTTTTTTTGTCTCTGTTGTCTTTGTTGCATTCAACTTGGATTATTTTCCCAGCATCTTATCAGTATGGGGCTTTGTCCATGGAAGGGAGTTTTGGCCATTTGGTTTTAAGAGTTTATTTTCAGCCCTATAAGATCTTACTGCAAACTACTTGCATCACCCACTTTTGGGATGATCTCAATCTGTTGTTTTCAGCTAGACTTATTAAGCAATGAAGTCAGTATCTATGGATGGCTTTAACATTCATGGGTTCATCATATACCCTGTTGCTTCTCTCTGCTTTTTCTTTCACAGGCGCTGAAAGCATGCTGCTCTTATAGCTGTTGGTATTGGTGGGACTACCTTATCACCTAGTGTTGTTTTAGATGCAGTCTGTGGGTTTGGGTATTGCTGTCCTAGTAGCTCTGGTATGCTTTTATTATGTGTGTATTCAGTTTAAAAAATTATGCCATTACCATCTTCCCAGAATCCCCAATCTTAATATTTGTATTATTTTCTACATGTCATCTCTAGATCCTCAGACAGATTCTAAGCCTCCTGAGGGATTGTTAGGATTCCACACAGACTGGCTGACATTAAATGTTGGAGGGCGGTACTTTACAACTACACGGTAGGTGTGTGTGTATGTGTGTTAGAAAGAGAATGCAAAAGAAGCACTGTGTACCCTTTGTTCTTCAATTTGCTGATTTCCTTAAAAGATACTCAAATGCTGCTTAAATATACTATGTGATCTGAAACCATTTTTTATAACTTTTTTTGAAGAAAAAAACATGGTTCACTCCAGAGAAAGCATAAAAGGCATCACTTCAGTGTTTTAGAACATGCTTTTGGCTGGGCGCGGTGGCTCACGCCTGTAATCCCAGCACTTTGGGAGGCCGAGGCGGGCGGATCACGAGGTCAGGAGATCGAGACCATCCCGGCTAAAATGGTGAAACCCCGTCTCTACTAAAAATACAAAAAATTAGCCGGGCGTAGTGGCGGGCGCCTGTAGTCCCAGCTACTTGGGAGGCTGAGGCAGGAGAATGGCGTGAACCCGGGAGGCGGAGCTTGCAGTGAGCCGAGATCCTGCCACTGCACTCCAGCCTGGGTGACAGAGTGAGACTCCTTCTCAAAAAAAAAAAAAAAAACATGCTTTTTAGATATTGAGTAATAAACACACAATATAAGTAAAAATTAACACTACTGAAATTTGTGGAGACTACAACTGCTTTTATTAAAGGGCAGAAAAATGTAAGTTTGGAAGATCAAGAATATTATTATGTAATAATTTGCTTACAGGATAGACAGACAAGTATTTAAAGCAAAGGAAACTAAAACAATGTTTAAATCAAAGGAAGTACCCTATTAGAAGGGATCTGATAAATGGCAACTTACTGCACGTTTTTGTTTCCCAGCGTTACTCCTACCAGGTTGTAGCATGCATCTTTTTGAGAGAGCAGCTGGGATCGAGTATACTCTTGACTTAAATATGTTTGTTTATAAAGACAAATGGAGAAATCAATTTTTTTCCCTGAATTCTTAGGAGCACTTTAGTGAATAAAGAACCTGACAGTATGCTGGCCCACATGTTTAAGGACAAAGGTGAGTGTAACACGTTGTTTTCACATTTCATCTTACCTGTTTTATATCTGTGCTGACTTTATAACTCCTGACCTTCTGTACTTACTAATTATGTCAGTTTTTAAGAGTAAAAACTTATATTTAGCAATTTTTTCCTCATACATTTCTGACTTTATTTTTTGTTTATGGGGGACTTTCTTTATTATAATGGTGACACAGGTGTCTGGGGAAATAAGCAAGATCATAGAGGAGCTTTCTTAATTGACCGAAGTCCTGAGTACTTCGAACCCATTTTGAACTACTTGCGTCATGGACAGCTCATTGTAAATGATGGCATTAATTTATTGGGTGAGTTTATTTAGACTTTCAATATAATTATGTAACTACTCACATTTTTGTAAGTTTAAGATTTTAACTTTGTTTCACTCAGTAACAGTATATTTCCATAAAGTAAAAGTATATATTTTTTCTATTTTTTAAACTAGATGTTTTCACATGTATATGAGTGATATAGGTGTAGAAATAGATTTAGGCACGGGCAGGTGGTCCTTCAGGTAGATAGTCTTTGTACATATAGCTAAATATGTAAGCCATACGCATCAACTTTATATTCTAAATTGATTTACGTTCTATCACAAGTGACTTTAAAGGATTTTGTTGTTTCCTTTTTTAAAAATTGAATTAAGAATGTAACTTGGCTCCAAGTTCTGGATATTCCCCACATTATGTGAGAACTAGAGTAGTCAAGAGGGCAAATCATGCCTTGCAATCATAATTCTCAATTAGAGTCTTGATTCTACAACTTGCTAACTTAGGGAGACTAACTTGGGGAAATTTCTCTGAGTCATATTGGAAAAATGAGTGTTAAAAGCACTCTTGACCCTATCTACATCACAAGATTTTTGTGAAGATTCACGGAGGTGATGTAGACAAAGCCCTTATAAAACACTGGTTGCATATTTGGAAGCTAATAGGCCTCCAAGTGACTGAAGTTGATGTGATGTTAGTACTTGAGGAATGGTAGGCAGTTGGCAATCTTGAGGTCACATGCCTGTCAGCTTCAGCAGATCATTGCCATGTGCAAAGTGGTCAGACGTAGAGTGCCAGAACCTTGGTTTTTAAAGAAAACCTGGGTATCTAAAATTTTATGTGACATGTTTTTGTTTTGAAAACATTACATGCTGAACACATCAGAATCAGCCTGAGGACTGCTGGCTTACAGTTTCTGTAGTGAAATACAAAACACCCATTAACTTTTAGTGTTGCTATAACAAACTTTATATTCCCTTGAACATGTACCTATTGCAAAAAAAAAAAAAAAAGATATTATTTGACCCTTTTAGCTAGTTCTATAACTTTATAACTAAATTCTTGTTGCTTTCTATTTCTCCCATTTTAATTTTTCTTCAAATTATTGATAGCATTTTGTATCCCACTTGCCTAGAAAATGTCAGAAATATATTTATCCATGCTGTGTCACACATCTGCAAACCAAGCTATTACCAAGATTTGCTAGTTTTTTCTTTTTCATGTTTCTCAACCATTTATTTGTTCAAGTGTTCAAAAAGCAGAGCTCTCTGCTGGATTCATTTTATAAAGCATTGTTTTCAGTTAGTACAGTTTCCATCCAAACTCTTTACATTGCCTACAGGTTGCCCCAAGTAATTATATGCTTTAAAACAATCTACAGTAATTTCACTAACACCAAAAAGTAGTGAGTGGCAGAGCTGGGATTCAAATCCAGATTTTTTTTTTTTTTTTTTTTTTTTTTTTTTTTTTGAGACAGGGTCTCGCTCTGTCACCCAGGCTGGAGTGCAATGGTGTGATCTCTGCTCACTGCAACCTATGCCTCCTGGGTTCAAGTGATTCTCCTGCCTCAACTTCCCAAGTAGATGGGATTACAGGCACACACCATGATGCCCAGCTAATATTTGTATTTTTTTTGTTTTGAGATGGAGTCTTGCTGTGTCACCCAGGCTGGAGTGCAGTGGCGCGATCTCGGCTCACTGTAAGGTCCGCCTCCTGGATTCACGCCATTCTCCTGCCTCAGCTTCCCGAGTAGCTGGGACTACAGGCACCTGCCACCACGCCTGGCTAATTTTTTGTATTTTTAGTAGAGACAGGGTTTCACCATGTGTTGGCCAGGCTGGTCTCGAACTCCTGACCTCAAGTGATCTACCCACCTCAGCCTCCCAAAGTGCTGGGATTACAGGTGTGAGCCCGGCCTGTCTTTTGTATTTCTATGGCTTCTCTGGATGTTTTAAAGGTTTAATTCTAAACCTAGAATTGGAAACGTATCCTGGCTGCATTCCCTAAGAGTTCTGCTTTACTTAGACCTTGGCAAATTGAGAGCGTGGCCCACAAGAACCTCTTTTATAATATGTTGAGTTTCCACCAGGGATATATATCCGAACGGAATGGCATAATCTTTGGATGCCTCTTGAAGGGGAAATGTGGACCCTGTATGCCAGAGTGGTAGCCCGATGCTGTACCTTGGATGACGTTTGTTTTACAATTGGATTGTTGACCATAGAGTTTGGTCTTCACAGAAAAGATTGTATTATTCTTCCCAAATAACTGCTTCTGGTTTTCTGTATCTACTTACCCTTATTAGCTTGTAAGTGTTTGAAGGGAGGGATTATGTCTGATACTTTCTTTGTAATTCCAGAGTTCTAAGTAGTTTTTTACTGAGTCAACAGCCAACTGATTGAGGTCTTCTCATTTGAAAGATAATGGAACCCAAATGTATTCCCACACATTCTGATGATGTTTATTAACAGATTAGAATAAGTAAATATACCAAGTCATGTAAAGGATGTACATTTTTTTTTACCAAGTTAAAGTAAATGATAAATGAAAGCTCTTTTAGTATTTACAAATATTTTAAAATTTATTCTCCTATAAGACAGATTTCTGAATTATACTTTTGACTTTTTTGTACTTTTTAAACTTTTATTCATTTCTATCATTTTCTGATTCAGTATGTAAAAGATACTTGTGGCAAACCTGTTCAGATCTGCTCCATTTAAAAAGGCAATTAAATGTTAAGATTATGTGAACTAATCGTATTTTAGTAAATTCAAAATGAATGTAATACATTCACTAAATTAGGTTGTTTCAGAATTATTTTTGTTCTGATAGGTGTGTTAGAAGAAGCAAGATTTTTTGGTATTGACTCATTGATTGAACACCTAGAAGTGGCAATAAAGGTAAGCCTGTTTTTACATTAGCCAGTGTTACATTCATTGTAGCTATCTCCCAAAAGACTCCACTAATTTCTTAATGTCTTTTTTAAGAATTCTCAACCACCGGAGGATCATTCACCAATATCCCGAAAGGAATTTGTCCGATTTTTGCTAGCAACTCCAACCAAGTCAGAACTGCGATGCCAGGTAATTAGCAGGCTTTTACATCAATTATTTCTATCAGCAAATCTATGAATAAAATTTTACATTCTTCTAGTGTTTTGGGATTATCTTGCTTTGTTTTTCTTTTACATGCAAGATCTAATTTAATTATGAGTCATAGCATTGATTTAGTTCTGAAATGGTTAACGAAAAAGAGATGCAATAATAGCCTTTTTAAATTGTCTAATTATACCTCATGCAACAGTTTATGAATAATGCATAGAAATTGCAGCAGTTTTTTAAAAGTCAGTATTTGTACATTTGCAATATATGGGCTGATCAGTGGCAGGTACTTTACTTATGTGTACTATAGCATTTCAAATTGTAAAGACCACAGTACTCATTTTTGCCTAATAAACTGTTTTGAATTACTGAATTAATAAAATAATTTAAATATAATTAGGTTTAAATACTTATTAGCAGGTATAGGACTAACAGGGATCCCTCTTTAGAAGCTTCTACACAGAAATGAATTATAGCCGGGCTATATTCTAATGTATATATTGATAGAGTTTCTTTTATGAGGAACCTATTTAAGGACACTTCTTTTATGTATCTAAGTTCCATTTTATCATGTTCTGTAATAAACTCCAAGTGACTGAACTGCCAATTGCTTCTAAAAAAAACTTGGTGGTTAGCTATAGTAATTAAATTTAATACAAACAGACGATTTAGTTATGGTGACAATTTGTGCTTTTTTATTTCAGGGTTTGAACTTCAGTGGTGCTGATCTTTCTCGTTTGGACCTTCGATACATTAACTTCAAAATGGCCAATTTAAGCCGCTGTAATCTTGCACATGCAAATCTTTGCTGTGCAAATCTTGAACGAGCTGATCTCTCTGGATCAGTGCTTGACGTAAGTATCATTTTAGGCTACAAGAGAAAATTAAATGTTTAGTCTATTGAACAGTCTCAAAGAGCCTTTGAGACAGGAATTATAACTATCTTTTACTGGAGCTTTTACTTGAAAACAGATAATTTATTATGTTGATATAAGACTAAAGGTCTGAAAGTGAAATGAATTTGGTTTTACAGGTTTGATATCCTTTATTAAACATAGACTTGAAAGGTTTAGTAACTAATAAGAAATTAAATCTTGGAATTAGTTCTTGATCTCCTCAATATACTGTACTTTATTTATCAGGACTCATATTTTCAGCTAATTGTAAAGGTAAAGCTGAAAGGAACCTTGAAATCTATTCAGCCTCATTTCTGGAATGGGAAAATGTTACTGCTCAAGAAGTATTTGACAGATATTTTGAAATAAACATGGTATGCATCAGTTTGTGGAAGTTAACATCTCAGTGGCGTTTTCCCTCTCTCTACATATATGTGTATATTTATATATATGTATATGTATGTATTTATAACAGTTATCTGTGTTTATTTGAAGTTAGAGGATATATGCAGACCAACAATGAAATCTATTAATTTTTAACAACTTTAAGTTCCTTACCACCAAGGCCCGTGTCTGTATGTCTTTTGAATTAATACCATCTTGCTTTTGGTAGTCATTTATTGAATTACTCTAATTTGGGTTTTACTCATTAGCTGCAGCTTATTTTTCCATGAAGCTGTGTATCAGGGCGAGTAACAAAATCTACCAAATATGCATTTTAGTTACTTTCACTGTCCTTTATTCTGTCTTATCATGAAGGGTCAGGTTAGTAGCAAAACAGGAAAAAGACTAACATCAAAAAAACGTTTGAAGGACCTAATCTTTAAATAGTGAAATGTCGAGAGGCATCTTTGTTTGTGTTAAGGACAAAAAAAAAAAGATGTTTGTCAAAAACGCTTTGAGATAAATGAACATAATTTAAAACTCTTGGCTGCGTGTGGTGGATCATGCCTGTAAACCCAGCACTTTGGGGAGCAGAGGCAGGCAGATCACTTGAGGTCAAGACCATCTTAGCCAACATGGCGAAACCCCGTCTCTACTAAAAATACAAAAATTAGCCAGGCGTGGTGGTGCATGCCTGTAATTCAAGCTACTCAGGAGGCTGAGGCACGAGAATCACTTGAACTTGGGAGGCAGAGATTGCAGTGAGCTGAGACAGCACCACTGCACTCCATCCTGGGTGACGGAGTGAGACTTTGTCTCAAACAAAACAAAACAAAAAAATAAAGTCTTAAAACATATATTTTCTACCATTTTACTCTCTGCCCTGCATTATGCATTGTGATGTGCCTGCTCAGGGTTAATAATGTTTAGCCATGGTTGGTGCAGAAAGACCCAGCCAGCATCTTGTTAGTGTTTTCTAGCTAAATAATGCCTTTAAATGCTGGCTTTTGTATTCTGACCTCTGACTTGAGGGCAGTAGTAGCATCTTAGAATATCAAGAATTTCACTTAGAACATCAAGATTCCTACAGTAATAAGAAAATCCATACCCCTAACAAGTCTATGCCTTCCTTACCCATACATTTTGACTGTTTCATTGTCATGCATAGGTATGTTTATAAAAATAGAGATAGAGGTGTCAGAGTTCTGACTCACCCAACTTCTTTATCTAAACCGTTATGTTTCATGTAAAATGAGCATGCTATTGTTAATTTGCATTTATTTTTTAAAAAACAGTTCTTTAAAAAAATTTTTCTTTCAAATGTTCCCAGTTCTTACTGTATTTAATTAGAAAAGCCTTTATTGTAAACAGAAAATAAAATTGAGTATGAGTGTTTTGAGTTGAGCCTTTCCCTCTTTTCTATTTTTTTTCTTTTACTGTTTGAGCTAATTTGAACAAAATTATGAACCTTACAACCAGGACTTTTCTCTTTTCTTTGCAGTGTGCGAATCTCCAGGGAGTCAAGATGCTCTGTTCTAATGCAGAAGGAGCATCCCTGAAACTGTGTAATTTTGAGGATCCTTCTGGTCTTAAAGCCAATTTAGAAGGTGAGATCCTTTCTGTAAATACCTATTCTACGAAGGAAGCAGACTGTAAAGGAAAAAAGCCCTGGAAAATAATTGTTAAGGGTGAAACAGGATAGCTGTAGGGGATAGGTTTCTTCTGTCATCATATTTGGAGAACTTCCAAAGTGGTAAGAAACCTCCATTTGGTTTCAGTCAAATGCTAATCAAAATTGAGGACTCAGAAAAAATAAAACCTCAAATATTTAATAAGGTTTTAGTTGGAAAATTAAATATCAACATCTTAAACTTTCAAATGGAATAAAATATTCTTACACTGACCAAAAGGAAAAATTTCATTTGCATAAAGCCAGGGAGTTTTTAAAAATCATTTTTAGATTTAATGTATTGTTTCTTAATTTGTTACTATCTGTGACTGATCACTTTGTTTACTTGTATATTTAGGAGACTACTTCACTCCCTTATCATAAACCTGTAGAGGCATATTATGAAAGTGCTAACTATCATAAGACAGAACTAAATTTCTTCCCTCAAAAGTATTGTGAAAGCATTCTTTCATCAGTAAACTGTTTATATATATAAGTTCGTTGAGAGACAAGATTTTAGATTAATTTCCAAAAGTTAAAAGAGGCCTCCATTAAGTCATCTTGCAGTTCTGTTGAAGGTAGATAACTATATTTTTAAGTTAAACTACTCCCAGAATGTGTTCACTGTAGGTGCTAATCTGAAAGGTGTGGATATGGAAGGAAGTCAGATGACAGGAATTAACCTGAGAGTGGCTACCTTAAAAAATGCAAAGTTGAAGAACTGTAACCTCAGAGGAGCAACTCTGGCAGGAACTGATTTAGAGGTGAGTTCACCAACACTTTAAGAATTTTTATTACTCTAGACTTACTAAGCATCTCATGCAAAATTTATTGAAATCAAAACAAAGTAGTTGGCTGGTAAAACTGGATTGGAAGACTCATCTGACATTCAGTCTAAGTTGATTTCATTTCTCTCCTTTTCCTTGAGTTTTTCTCAAGTAAATAAGTTTGATAGATGTGTTATCTAATGTATTGCATTTTCCATAAAATTTAATTCCGAATAGAATTAAATGGGCTAGATTACTTCTTAAACTACTTGAGAAATTTAAATGATATCCAGGTTTGAAATCAGGTTCAGGAAAAGTCTATTTGAAATTGGAACCATATGTTTTTTGGTTTTCAGCTTGAGATTATAATTTTGCCTGGTCATCTTTTTCAAAGAATTATATTTGTATGTCTTCTTAATTTGCCAGTTTAGCTAGCAGACTTGATAGCTGTTGATAGGTCTATATCAGCACTATCCAATAGCACTTTGTGCAGGAGGGACATGTTCTATATCTGTGCTGTTCAGTATAGTAGCTACCACCCATATATAGCTATTGAGCGCTTGAGATTTGGCTAGTGCAAATGAGAAATTGATTTTTAAATTTTATTTAATTTTAATTCATTTAAATTTAAGTAGCCACATGTGGCTGGTAGCTATGAAATCTGGTATAAATTGGATAGCAGAGAACGGTATGTCAAAATTTAGCTTGCTGTTAATGTTTTTTCATAATATTTTTGCCTAGATATCTTGATAGCTCTCGGTAGCAGAGTAGCAGGCCCCTTTCAACTTCAAGGCAAAAAGAATTGGCCTAAGTATAATCCTATCACGAGCACAATTATTTATTGTTTGTTACATTACTTTCACCTAAGATTATATTTTTTTCCTTGGTTTTAGTACTGTGTACTCAGTGTGGCCTAGCAGCAAAAGCCTCCCTCTCTCTGATTGCAAAGACTGATCAGGTTGACTATTGAGGGGAGAGCTGCTGACATTTGTTCTCCTAACAGGTTACGTTTAGTCACCCTTCTCTCTAACCATTGTCCCCTATCATATCCAGGGACTTAAGTGGAATCTCTATCTTATTGCTCCGTGATCTCAAGACAAATTAAGAAATAGCTTCAAATTGCGGTGGTTACACTGTTCTGTACATCTGTCAAACTCACTGTATTATATACGTACCTTTGGGGCTTTAAAAAGAAGGGCAGTTCCTTGCTATAAAAATACTAGGGCTAGGGAATGGAAAAATCTATTACACAATTTGATTAAGTAAAATCTTTTCAGATTAAAAAAAAAGTCTTCCCCCCATCTCATTCCTTTTGTTGTTGTTGTTCTTGGATCATAGTAAAATTGTTTTGATAATATTTATTACTTTGGGGCCAGGCGCAGTGGCTCATGCCTGTAACCCCAGCATTTTGGGAGGCCAAGGTGGGCGAATCACTTGAGGTTAGGAGTTTGAGACCAGCCTGGCCAACATGGTGAAACCCCGTCTCTACTAAAAATAGAAAAAATTAGCCAGGCGTGGTGGTGAGTGCCTGTAACCCCAGCTACTCTGGAAGCTGAGGCAGGAGAATAGCTCGAATCCTGGAGGTGGAGGTTGCAGTGAGCCGAGATTGCACTCCAGCCTGGGCAACAAGAGCAAAACTCCGTTTCAAAAAAAAAATTGTGTGTGTGTGTGTGTGTGTGTGTGTGTGTGTGTATTTATTATGTTGGAATCCATTCTGTATTTTAAATCAGTGGTCCCCAACCTTTTTGGCACCAGGGACTGGTTTTGTGGAAGAAAATATTTTCACAGATCAGAGTCGGGGGCTGGTTTTGGGATGATTCAAGCGCGTTACATTTATTGTGCACTTTATTTCTACTAGTATTACATTGTAATACATAATGAAATAATTATATAACTCACCATAATGTAGAATCAGTGGGAGCCCTGAGTTTGTTTTCTTGCAACTAGACAGTCCCATCTGGGGGTGTTGGAGACAGTGACAGATCATCAGGCATTAGATTCTCATGAGGAGTACCCCACCTAGATCCCTCACATGTGCAGTTCACAATAGGGTTCACGCTCCTGTGCGAATCTAATGCCCCTGCTGATCTGACAGGAGGTGGAGCTCAGGCTGTAACTTGAGCCATACAGGGACTGGCTGTAAATACAGATGAAGCTTCATCTACTGGTGACCTCCTGCTGTGTGGCCTGATTCTTAACAGGCCATGGACCAGTATCAGTCTGTGGCCCAGGGGTTGGGGACCCCTGTTTTCAATGTCTCCTTATAAAATATGCAAGAACAAGGGACATGCTTCCTCTTTAACCTTTGTTTATACATATTTATGGTGATCAGCCTGAACTAGAGGTAACAAATAAAGATAGAAGAACATCTTAATTTAGGGTGGTGTATCATCAGTTTTCCGGAAATTAACTGAGTTTTATTGTATAAGAACATTTTCCTAATCTGCCCCAGAAATCATTTTGAGCAGAAATAGATAAGGCCTGAAATTTCCACATGAATTACATGAATATTGTTTTCATCTTGCAGAATTGTGATCTGTCTGGGTGTGATCTTCAAGAAGCCAACCTGAGAGGGTCCAACGTGAAGGGAGCTATATTTGAAGAGATGCTGACACCACTACACATGTCACAAAGTGTCAGATGAGAATTTTAGGGGCTGGAGGAAGATGTAAAAGATGAAAATGTTTTCCTTATCACTTTTCTTTCTCCACCCACTCAGTTGTCTAGAAGAAATAACACTGTAAGGAAATTTAAAAAAAAAACATTTAGAGGATTATGCTTGTTTTGAGTGGTGCATAAGGGAAAAAACTGACTTTTTTTCCATATTCTGATTTTTAACAGAAAAGCACTCATTTAATAGATGTAGGGAAACTAGATATTGCTGCCTTTTGAATGGGGTAGGGGGGTTTACCTGGTTTTATGACCAGGCATAGTATCTATTATATTTGCTTTTAAATAGGCATGATGTGGAAATACCATCTTGGTTTGAGATGCATTTGAGGATTTTAATTTATGGAAAGCACAACATATGCAATTATATTTATTGAATTCCTAGATGCAGTATGGATATTTAAATTGTTAAAACTTTATGAAAACTTGGAAAAGGTTGTTCAGGTTTATAAATAGCTTTAGTGATGCCTCCCCTCTTTAAATACCTGTCACACCGTATGAATATGGTGAGATCAGACTCCCTAAGACTCTTTTCAGGTTCATTTTTATAATGTTTACTTTTTAGGACAGAACAGTAGCTAAATTAAAGTAATATCCAGTTCTTACTGATTGAGACAGAGTGGAAAGAAAGACATCATTGTACATCACTGTCATTCCAAAGGTACAGTGTAACTCTGGATGGAGGAATAACTTACCTATCACTACAACACTTACAAATGAGAATTTCTCAGAATTTCATTCTAGGCAAGTTCCACTCAACACCAGATCAAGCAATTCTATCTATTTACACTATTAGCCTAGTTTTCTCATACAGTCATCACAAGCATAGGAAGATACTTCAAAACCAAAAAAACCAAGGTGCATCATTAATATTCATTTAATTCAAATACCAAATAGTTTACATAGGGCCAGCTTAGAAATAGATACTAAATCCAGAGCTACTGCAATCAAAGCTTATATGAGTGAATATGGTAGAGTTGCCTGCTAAAAGGCAATGTAATATAATTGCAGCTAGAACCCTACAGTGGGGAATGAGGAATTTTAAACACACATTTGATTACAGCCACCAAAAAAATAGACGTAAAAATAAAGGCATTTGGCTGGTCCAAGATGTAATTATCAATCAGTCAGCACCTGTGATTCTTTTACTTATTTTTTTGTGGTTTTTTTTTTTTAAACAAATTTTAGCCCAATTTTCTTGAGTCATTCTCTCTCTGCAGCAGCAGAGGAAGGGCCTGTACCTCCCTACCAATGACTTGGTGTCCTTATTTTCTACCCCAAGAGCAGGGATATTAGCTGTGTCCAAATGGGTTCTGAATTCTACAGACTCATCAACATGAGGCAAGGAATCATTGAAAACCACCTGTGTCTCCTTTGGGAGAATGACATATCTTTAGTATTTACGTAGCTTATTCTTCTATATCTACATATGCAAAGCTTTCCTTAACAGTAAAGGGTACATATGCATAGTGGGAGGAGATCAGACCTTTACAAGTGAAGGAAAGCAACTTCAGAAATGAATTATTTTCTTTGCTTTATTATTTTTACCAAGACAGAGAAGTATTGTATTGAGAGATAATCTATTTTCATAATCAATATGTGCCTAAATTATATTTAAATCATTTCACTCTGTACTATATTTTCAGGAATTACAGAATGTGGTATTCATTCACTTAAAGGTACCTCTGTAGAAATAACCTAAAACTGCAGAAGGATCTGAAAGATCTAAACATGGTGTGCTTAGAAACTGCAGATTTTAGATCTAATGTATACTGCATTAATAAATGATATAAAGTGTTTGTTGAAAAGGAGTTTCTTCTCTTCCTTTTGAAAATCATCACTTTCTGTATTTTGCTTACATTTCTTCAATATGTGTTGACAACCAGCCCTGTGGTTCTGGGTAGCAAAGGAAATACAGTATAACTTAATTTGTTATGGATTAGTCTTTTTGAAAGTACCATTAAAGTAAATTTATTTCTTTAAACATGATTATTTTTATCATTCTTTTAAAAATACACCATGCTAACAACACAAACCTTATGAATTCTGAACAAAAGAAAAGACTGCCTCCCCAATAATTCGTTTAATTTGTTTGTGTTAAATTCATCACTCTTTAGGTGATGAATATTACCAGTTAGCTTTATTAGACTGGATAAATAGCATGCCCCAAAACATTTTTTGCCTGATAACTAGGATAGAGAATTTTAAGGAGGGAAGAAACCGTTAAAATAGTAAAACTTCCATTAACCCTAGAGATGAAACATGTCTGTACACATAGGTAAAAATACAGCTGTTGGGATGACAGGAAAAAGGTTTTAAATCAAAATTAAACTAGCTGGATTATCTGCATTAATAAAATTTGGTACTCAACTAAGCAATACTATCTATTGTAGTCTAGTTCTTTCAACTATAGTCTCAAGGAAATTCTGGTAGAAAATGTTGTAAATTAATTATTCTTATGAAGGGTTCAATCATAAATCAAGACTTGGAATATTTTCTCCATTTCATTTTATGACTCTTATGTGTACTGTAAATCTGCCCTATGTCAACTTTAAATCATCTTTAATATATGGAAAAAACTTAGAATTGCACTAAGTAAGTCCCCAAGGAAGAATTACCTTTAAAATTAAAAGGTTCATTACTACAAAGAAAAGTGGTTACATTATTTCAGTATAAAGCACCTTATCCAAGGATTAATTCTCTGAAACCCTTTTACAACCTGATTAGACATGTCAGCAGGAGTTAACCTTAAGTGCTTCCTGCTGAGATTTTACATTAGGGCAAGAAAAGATTTTTTTCATCTGTCATTTCAGTGATATTATGAGATCATCGCTGTAATAATTTTGAGGTGTTTTGATGTTGATGAAGCAGTTTTTTCTCTAAAGCCATTCTTTCAAATTTAGAAAAAAATATGACAAATATAAAATCCAATTATTTAAACCCAATTTATTATATTTAACTTTTTGATAAACTGACCTAACCATGGAATCCTTAAATGGTTTTAAGTTTGTCATTCAATATCAAAAACTCATTAATTGCATAGTGGCTTGATAACCTATTTGGTGCTATAGAAAGTAAGACAAAACAAAGTTGACTCTTGCCTTGAGATCTGTGTGACCTAAGACAATGCTAATGGAGACTTTAAGGACAACAGCATATTGGATGAATTCATAGACCATATTTGTGATGGTTAATACTGAATATCAATTTGATTGGATCAAAGCATGCAAAGTATTGATCCTGGGTGTGTCTATAAAGGTGTCGCCAAAGGAGATTAACATTTGAGTCAGTGGGCTGGGGAAGGCAGACCCACCCTTAATCTGGGTGGGCACCATCTAATCAGCTGCCAGCAAATATAAAGCAGGCAGAAAAACGTGAAAAGTCTAGATGGGCCTAACCTCCCAGCCTACATCCTTCTCCTGTGCTGGATGCTTCCTGCCCTCGAACATTGGACTCAAAGTTCTTCAGCTTTGGGACTCAGACTGGCTTTCCTTGCTCCTCAGCTTGCGGACGGCCTACTGTGGGACCTTGGGATCGTGTGAGTTAATACTTAATAAACTCTCCTATGTGCGTGTGTTTGTGTGTGTGTGTGTGTGTGTATGTATTCTGTCCCTCTAGAGAATGCTGAGTAATACAATATTGCTGTGTTCATCTTAATAATTTCAAAACATTTTTCAAAAATTTAATCCCAACTGTTAGAAATAACCTACAAGAAATCCAGTGAGGCCTACCTACCCAGAGATAAGTGATTCACCTGACAATATGCATCACAAGTCTTAACTCTCATTTCATTAGTCCTATCCAGAGACCACATTTTCTACTTAAGCAATACTTAGAGGCACATCTCTCAGCAAACACAAACCAATTGGACAATTTAAACTAGCACTATTCAACCATAATGAACTCTGGTTGAAAAACAGTCTGTCCCTACTTGCATATTGTAGTGAGATGAGATTCCACTCTTCATGTCAGAATGGCACTTACATGAGTCAAAGTGTCTAAATGAAATAATTTAAATGGAACAAAGTCAAATACTTACATTTTATTTTTAAATTCTCCTCTATTTGCAGTTATACTTTAAAGTGTACTCCCTTCTCTATCCTATCATGAGGACTGGACAGCCTCCACAGAGATGGCTGGACAAAGCAAGGGAATTTACTTAGGTAAGACACCATTTCTCTTTACTCTGAAATCCCTGCAAATGTAGTTATTCCAGAGGAGACTGTGCAATGACTGATGGGTTTAGCATCCTACATGAGGGGAAATTGCCATTCCCAGCTGTAAAATGAACAAATATCCAGTTATTTTTTTTAGCCATCTTACAGCTTAGCTAATATAACAGGATTTACAGCCAATTATACATGAAAGTTTAATTCTGTGTCAGATAAAGCATATCTTTGATGCAGAAATAGAGGCAGCATTAGGCCTTACCTGGTTAAAAGCTTTTTGCTTTCTATTCATTCATTCGTTCATTCATTCATTCAAACCTATACTTACTGAATGCTCACTAAATGCCGGGGGTTTATTAAGAGAGATTTAAATAAGATGGGATCTTTGACTATTACAGGTTTCAGCCTAGGGGTAAATTAGGGGAAGACAACCATGTATTCAAATAAATGTAATTAAGAGTAATGGTTGTGTGTGTATTTTACATGCTTGTCCTGTGTAAATAACACGTCCACGGTTGCACCTCTGGGGTGGAACATCTATAAAATTTAGATAATGATACCCACTTTGCATGGCTATTGTAATGAATGCTCTTATACATTTGCTATTTATTAAATAACTATAATTTCTCATCTTTCTGTTCCCACTGCCCTTAAGAGTGATTTGCATATTTAACTCAATAAGCATCTACTGAAATGAGTTGATCTGTTGATGTAAGTCTGCTCAATATGGTCTTGCTCTCAGAATATGTTTCTTGCCTTTTTGATGCTTTAGAAGGCTTTCAAGGTAAGTCAAGCAGGGAACCTGGTGGGTAGATGAGGGAATTTTCAAACACACAACTGTCTGATTTAGGATCCTACATGGACTTGGTATATAGTGTCACTTACTTGTAAATCAGATTTTTAAAATTGGAAGCAACTCTGTGATCATCTAGTCCATCTAGTCTACACCCTTCCTTTTACAAATGAAGAATCCAAGAGCCAGAAGCTCCCAGACATCCTGACTCAATGTCCTATATTTGTTGTATAGCCTCCTTTGTGGAAGTTATGTATGCATTTGACTTCACTTAATCTAAGACATCTATTTTCCTTGAACTCTTGATAGGTCTGCTGGTTTCCTCAAGGGAATCCAATCTAGCTGGATTTTAATCTCTTTGAATTGTGTCCTCAGCTATAAAAGTTTTAGCTGAGGTTTTAATGGCTGCACTTAAGTAAATCTAACAGATATACCAGGGGGTGTTCCAATTACATACACCATTAAAGGGCTTTATGTGAGGATTTTTAAAAATTACCATTAAAAAAAAAAAAGCATAGTCCATTTGCAGTATAATTTACCAGCAGGAAAGATTTCAATGTCCTGGAAAAATTCCCTATAAAAAGGAAGATAGGAAAACAGAAAAGTCACAGTACTCAACCTACTTCAAGGGAAGATTGGGATCTTTTTGGCTCTCTGCCTCTAAACAGGTAAAAGGCTTTGTATTATTTCTAGCACGAGTTTTTCTTCTTTAGATTGCATGCTATTGTATGTCTACAGGGCATTTGACAGCCCAAGGGCTAAATCCAGGTGTGACGGTATCTAATGATGTCCTGTCCTTCACTGTCCTTGCCATCACCAGCCACAGAGATCCAGGCTTTGGGGACTCCCACAGCTTATCGACCAGTGTTTGATTTAGTTTTTAGCCTCTTTCCCATCAAATGAAAATTAACTTGGAGACACATTTCATTAGAAAATTAGAGGCCCCCTTGGCTAGGAAGGCATCTGGTCTGGGACTAACTACTTTGAACAGTGTTGAGTCCTCTCTCCCACAGATGGTTCAGCCAGCAGTAATGCTAGGAAGACTGAAGGATAAATAGAAAAATGTCATTAGTACCATGGGGTAGCCATGTAATGTCAAGCAATTTTATATTAGCCAGAGATTCCTAGTAGGAGCTACTTTTCTTAACAGATGACTCAGTTCTCTTTATCTCAGGAATGAAAGAGTTGAAGACCAATCCACAACAGGGGAAATGTTAAGGCAAAATGATGAACTTGATAAGGGATGAATTATGGGGTTTGGATAACCAAACAATAAAAATAAAAGTATAGACTATTTTAGTACTAAAAAGGTCCTGAACATGTGAGCTTAAGTACTCATTTTGTCCCCAGTGGCTAAGAAACTAAAGGCAAGCCAGCAAGTGTCTCTGAGTTTCAGTGTCTGTATGTAAAAACTGACTCTGACTTCCATCTTCTGCAGGGTTAGTGATACAGATGCTAGCTTTTTCACTAAAGAGGTCTTTTAGTTTATACTCAACCTTGTCTGGATCTAATTTGATTGTGCATTCATGTGCCTTAGAATGAAGCCAATTCAAAAACTCCTAGCTGGCCTTATTCTACTGACTTGGTGCGTGGAAGGCTGCTCCAGCCAGCACTGGTCCTATGGACTGCGCCCTGGAGGAAAGAGAGATGCCGAAAATTTGATTGATTCTTTCCAAGAGGTAAGTTTCTCTCAGCTTCAAAATAAGACATAGTGATTTTATTCAATTTAACTATATTAAACATTCAGGATAGCCCCAATGTCAATATTCTATGATGTTGTACCCTAGATGCTCCAGGTGAGATAAGGCACTTACAAAGTAGAAGTCCCATTCCTACTTTCAGTTCACACAGGGACTAAACAAAGAGCTGGAAAAATTCCAAAAGAATATATTAATAGCAACAAGTGTGAGACAGCACGTCATACTCTGAGTGTATGGGATTGCTAAAGGAATTAGAAACAATGGGATAGGGTCAAGGTCTGTATCAGAAGATGATTCTTTGGGATTTGGAAAAAACGTTAGAACTTCGTTTTTTTTTTCCTCATTTCATCTTTTAAACATATCTATGCTATTAGATCAGTACATTTTTATAATTTATAAATGAGTATCCTTATCAAGGATGCATGCCCTATAATTTCTTTTCACTGATAGGGGCATTTAAGCAAAGTTGGAGACTGGTAGAATACAGGAATTAGCAAACTCAAGATGATAAGATAACGTAGTAGAAAACATGCTGATTTAAATTCATATAGATTAGATTATAGGACTGGCACCAACACTAACGTGAGGTACTTGCTTTCTTGTTTTTTGGGGTTATTTTCTAAGACAGGGTCTCGCTGTGTTATCTAGGCTGGAATTTAGTGGCACGATCACAGCTCACTGCAGCCTTGACTTCTTGGGCTCAAGTGATCCTCCCACCTCAGCCGTCTGCATAGCTGGGACCACAGGCATGCACTATCACACCCAACTAATTTTTAAAACTTTTTATAGAGATGGGGTTTCCCTATGTTGCCCAGGCTGGTCTCAAACTCCTGGGCTCAAGGGATCCTCCCACCTTGGCCTCCCAAAGTGCCGGGAGGATTTTTGTTTATAAAATATGACCACTCATCAGGGTCATGTAAGGAAAGAAGCCATCTATGTTAGCTGATTAACCTGAAAAATAACCTAGGACTGAGAATGGGAAAAATTTTAAATCATTTCATTATCATTGGAAGGAATTATCTCTTTTCTGAGAAATAATAAAGATAATTTAGTATTAAAGAAGACCCAGAATCTGAAGCCTCTTCTCTGCAGGTTATACATGAAGCAAATCTCATTGAACTATAACATATTTAGTAAAACCTAGAAAATAAAAACCAACCTTTTTTTACAACTATAAACTCTTGGGGGTTTTTTGCTTTTTGTTTTTTTGGGTATACTGACTCTCATGAGGCTCAAAGTGCCTCCCTCTTTTCATCTTTAAGGGGAAAATATGATATCTTCTTACTGTCTCCATTATCTCCAGATCCCCATGCCATTCAGTAGAAATGTCAGATGGCAGATCTGTGTCCTTAAAGTCCCTATGCTAATCCTGCAACTTTCCCAATCTCCCCCAGCCCCACATCCCCCTTGACCCCACTCTCCACAATTTTTTGGTGGAAATGGAAAACACCATTTCATTTCTTTATCTCCATCTCAAAGCATCACATTCTCTTTCTTCAGATAGTCAAAGAGGTTGGTCAACTGGCAGAAACCCAACGCTTCGAATGCACCACGCACCAGCCACGTTCTCCCCTCCGAGACCTGAAAGGAGCTCTGG
The DNA here is from genome assembly GCF_000001405.40 of Homo sapiens. Taxonomy (NCBI): domain Eukaryota; kingdom Metazoa; phylum Chordata; class Mammalia; order Primates; family Hominidae; genus Homo; species Homo sapiens. Next base: position 25,421,571 of record NC_000008.11, on the reverse strand, counting down.
TAAGTTAAAGTGATCATAACATGATCACAGCATAGAGCTCTAGAGGTGGATAAGCCTTTGGGGATCACTTAGGACAGCTACCTCCCAGATACTGTGGGGCTTACATTCCTGACTCCTCTGTTACCTCCTGTGGTAGGACCGTGTTTCATGACAATCCCAGTTGGTGGTTAGACAGCACTAGGGGCTGAAACGTTTTTTTGTTTGTTTGTTTTTTCTGAAGTTGAATTGAAATCTCTCTGTAACTTTTATCTCTTAATCCTGGTTCTAGCTTTTGGGATAACTAACAAAACAAATTTCTTCCCACTGCTGCATTTCATTTCTTCAAGTAAAATCACCAAACCCCCTAGACTACTCCACTCCAGGCTACTCCACAGCCCTCCACCTGATCCTGCAACTGTGCTTTATCTTACATGGTTTTCCAGAACCTTGGGGAATAGAGACATGAGAAACACTGCTGTAGATGGGTTTTTTTTTCTCTTCTTTGGAATGAAAAATGCCAAACTACTAAATTTATAATTTAGAGAGTGATGGACTTGATTTCCAGTTTCCTGATAGGACAATAATCACCTCCAAATTCCGCCCCCCAAAATGGAAATACACTAATCATATTAGGTTTTTGATGAAAAAGTATAAAGAGAATTGAATGTATAAATTGAATCTTTTAAAAAAATTATTTGTTGAGACAGGATCTTGCTCTGTTCCCCGGGCTAGAGTGCAATGGTGCAATCAATGCTCACCACAGCCTCAACCTCCCAGGCTCAAGCAATTCTGGAGACTAGATTAGCCTCTCTAGTAGCTGGGACTATAAGCACTTGCCACCACACCCAGCTGATTTTATTTTTTAATTTTTTGTAGAGACAGGGTCTATGTTGCCCAGGCTGGTCTCAAACTCCCAGCCTCAAGATCCTCCCAAAGTGCTGGGATTAAAGGTGCAAGCCACTGTGCCTGACTTAAGTTGAATCTTGGATTCAATGTTGATATTCTCTGATCTCTATTGTCCACTTATCTGCAGCAATCAGAAGGCATTACAGTTAATGATCAGTTATGCCTAGGAGCTGGGAAAGCCCAAATAAATCATATATAAAAATAAGCTGTAATTTTAATTGTCTACAGTGACTTCAACTTAATATACCCACAGAACAAAGAAAAAAGTGGGCAGACGTCGTTATTTCCTTTTTCGTTTTTTTTGGAGTGCAGTGGCGCAATCTCGGCTCAATGCAACCTCCATCTCCTGGGTTCAAGCGATTCTCCTGACTCAGCCTCCCGAGTAGCTGAGATTACAGGCATGAGCCACCACACTGGACTAATTTTTGTATTTTTAGTAGAGATGGGGTTTCACCATGTTGGCCAGGATGGTCTCAATCCCTTAACCTTGTGATCCGCCCACCTCGGCCTCCCAAAGTGCTGGGATTACAGGCATGAGCCACCACGCCCAGCCTATTTCCTTTCTTTTTCTAATCTTGCTTACTGCATTACAAAAATGGCAAGCAGTGAAATTTGTCAAACATGACATTATGAAGAAATTGAAGCAAAGGCTGGTTTAATAGCAAAGTAATTGACCAGACTTTTTTTTCACTTCCTTCCTCACAACTCATCCTTAAACTATTAATGTAGATTTTATGTATATTAAGTGCTTAAAAAGACCCAATCGGCCAGGCACAGTGGCTCATGCCTGTAATCCTAGCATTTTGGGAAGCCGAGGTAAGTGGATCACTTGAGGCCAGGAGTTCAAGACCAGCCTGGCCAACATGGTGACACCCTGTCTCTACTAAAACTATAAAAATTAGCCAGATGCGGTGATGCATGCCTGCAATCCCAACTACTAGAGAGGCTGAGGCACGAGAATCATTTGAACCTGGAAGGTGGAGGTTGCCATGAGCTGAGATCATACTACTGCACTCCAGCCTGGGTGACAGAGTGAGGTTCTGTCTCAAAAAAAAAAAAAACCAGAAAAACAAACCCAATTTATCATGTCTCCCTAGCACTAACTAGAGCACAAAATCAAACAGACCAATTCCTTCCAGACTGATATTTTAGAAATTAAAATGTCAAAATGTAATGAAATTCAGCTGGTAAAGTCAGTCTTGATATATTTGTTATATATTTTTCAGGAAAGTCTGATTGAAGAGGAAACTGGGCAGAAGAAGATTTAAATCCATTGGGCCAGAAGGAATGACCATTACTAACATGACTTAAGTATAATTCTGACATTGAAAATTTATAACCCATTAAATACCTGTAAATGGTATGAATTTCAGAAATCCTTACACCAAGTTGCACATATTCCATAATAAAGTGCTGTGTTGTGAATGAAGTGGCATACCTGTTAAATCTTTCTCCAACTCAGAACTCCGGGGGAAGGATCACTGTAAACCCACCAAAGGGAGCCCTCCATGTGTGTATACAGGTGGCAGATGGGAGGGCAGGTAAGATAAAGTGTCTGTTGTTGACAAAAGGGATCTCAGGCTCTCCAGCACCCATACCCTGCATCTACCCACAAGCAGAACAGCCACATACTGGTCCAGCCAGAAAAAGCTGATTCAGCTCCAGTTTCTCTGGGATTATAACTTTATCTTCGACCATACTCTTCAGAAGTTGAGGTGGGGCCACGGCCAAGGCTTTCTTCCACTTGGAAAGAAGTTCCCTCCCTTGATCGTCTCCAAACCCTTTGAAAGTTTACTGGAACCCAAATGAGGCCTGGGGGTAAGGAGAGGGGGCCTCCAAGGACTCCTAGTCCAGCGCTCCTTCTGGTCCCACGCAATCTATCCAAGTGGTGCACACTGAGGGTTGGGACTGAGACCTAAAAAATAATAGAGTGTTCATCTGCTTGATCTGTTTGGTTTGCATTTAAGAAACACAATGGAGTACAGACAGACCGTTGGAGATGGGACTCTATTGTTCCTATGTCCCCTGGTCAGATAGCATTGCCACCATTCTTTCTCCAAAAAGACCAGGGGCAGGCTTTGTGCTACATATGTGCACAGATATTTTTACTAACCATCATAAGAACCTTGGATTGTAGTTAGTATTGCCTTTGCTTTAAAATGAGGAAACGGGCTCAGAGAGTTTAAGAGACCCAGCCATGTTTGGTTCCATGTTCACTATTCTAGTATTGCCCTATGATGAGCAGCTAACAGAACTGGACTTTGGAGGCTGGGTTATTTTGTCCATTGGAGCTGAAACAGGAAACTAGGGTTCATAGGTCAATGTAGATTTAGCAATGACTAATCCTCCATAAGGCCCCAGACACTATGACATTGATGTTCTCATTTAGCCACATAACTTCCAAGTGGCTATGAGACCATTGGAAAAAAAAAAACAAATTTCAGATAACTTGCCCAATGTCTCAGTAACAAACTGACCTGTCAAAGATCTAAGCCCTTTTTCCTCTTTTAATCAAATGAACTCGCCTCCCTACCCCCTACCCTGCTCCCTCAAAAAAGGAAAGACTTATGCTAAGAAATTTGAACAGGGGTGAGAAACATCCCGTGGGGGAAAACCGCCTCTTTTTAATACAAATATTTGCTACTGCACAATGACAGGTTTCCCAAATACCTCCATTGGAAGAGTCTCTAAAGTGGAATCAAATAATGTCTTCACTCCGTCTTTAATAAAATTAGGCAATGATGTGATCCACAACCTGCTTTATGAAACAAAAGCAAAACTGCATTATTTCATTAATCAATACATGTGAGCAAGATGAGAGGCTTCCATTAGCCAATTACCCGGTGACTTTTTTTTTAATGAAAACAGTATACAATCTTCACATTACTTAACACATTAACAAAAAGCAACACACCCACTTAACTTACACATCCTGTGTGAAGCATCAGATTTCCTTAGCCAAAGTTTGTCTTTGGGACAATTTCTTGAGGGCCAGCTGCAGGCCTCCCTTGAATGGGATAAAAAGATGCTCATCCAACTGCCTGATGCTGATGTTAGAGGCTTTCAGGAGGTACCCTTGATGCTCCAATGGCCCAAATAACTAACGGGAAGGAGGAGAGTGAAAATGGCCACTTTGGAGCTGAGCATGGTGGCTCACACCAGTAGTTCCAGCTACTTAGGAGGCTGAGGCATAAGGATTGCTTGAGCCCAGTTTGAGGCTGCAGTGAGCCATGATTGCAACACTGACTTTAGCCTGGACAACAGAGTGAGACCCCATTTTGAAAATGAAAATGGCCTCCTTATAAAAATCATAAACACTGAATCTGAAGAGTCTAACTCATCAATGTAGCTTTAAGAAAAAAAAAATCCTAAGCCTTTCATAATAAAGGGTAGGGAAACATATCAAATGATACATTTAATGAGATGAGTTCTCAAATACATATGGCTTTAAATGATCAAGTAGTAAAAAAAATGGTTCAAAAATAGATCATTTTAGCAAAACTTTTAGAAGTTGCAGTAGCTTACAGATGACTGGAAAAAAGCCAAGAATCACTGCATAAGATAATAGCACTTGGATTTTGACAGAGGAAGACACTTTATAGTATTTCTCTATGGGGATCCTAGAGCCAAAAGATTACCCAGATCTGTCAAGTTAGTATTTACGGCCCAAACGCTGTGGTGTTTTCAAGAAGCGTGACTCTTACAAATCATATGAACACAGTGAAGCATTATTGCTTCTAAAAAGCAAAGCACTGGAACACTTTTTTTTTTTTTTGAGATAGGGTTTCTCTTTGTCACCCAGGCTGGAGTGCAGTGGCATAATTATAGCTCACTGCAGCCTTGACCTCCTGGGCTCAAGTGATTCTCCCACCTCAGCCTCCCAAGTAGCTGGGACTACAGGCACGCACCACCATGCCTAGCTAATTTTTTTTTATTTTTTGTAGAGATGGGGCCTCTGTCGCTCCTGCTGGAGTGCAGTAAGATGATCATGGGTAACTGCAGGCTTGACTTCCAGGGCTCAAACGATCCTCCTACCTCAGCCTCCCAAGTAGCTGGGACTATAGACACGCATCACTGTGCCTGGCTAATTTCTTTAAATTTTTTGTGGAAACAGAGTCTTACTCTGTCACTCAGGCTGGAGTGCAGTTGCATGATCAGGGCTTACTGTTGCCTCTACCTCCTGGGCTTAGGCAGTCCTCCTGCCTTGGCCTCCCAAAGTGCTGAGATTATAGGCTTGAGCCACAGCTCCTGGACAGAACACTTTCTTGGGGGAAAAAAAATCGTAAGCATAAGCTCAGGACTAAACAGTGGTGCTAATACAGGTGTGACTGCCCCTTCCCTCTCTCCAACTTGACCCACCACCAGCAGGGATTTTATGAAACACATCTTAAATACCAATTTTCTAAAGTCTCATTTCCTTTATGTGGTGGTTTTCCAACCTTGGTCTAGCATTGGAATAACTTGGGAGGGACTTTAAAGAAATATGGATGCCTGGGATCTTACTCCCCACCCTCAGAAATTCTGATGTAATTGGTCTGGGAATGGCCTCTCCCCAGGTGATACAAACATTCAACCATTTTAGAACCAGTTCCTATCCTTTTCATGTAAGTTATTAGATATCCCCTTTAACCTTTTTATTTCTCTCTTTACCTGTCTAAATATCTATGGGGAATGGGTAAAGAAACAGAACCTATGTACATTAAATGAATTGCTATCAGAAAACTGTCAGCCTAGATAGAAAAAAAAATAGATAGGGTGAAAGGAAGCAAGTGGTTTGTAATTTTTCTTATTTCTGGGCAAAGATGACTCCAGGACCCCACAGTGCAGGTTTAACCTAACAGGACCTGTAAGGAAACAAGCCAGAAAAATGCTAGGTGTGATGTGTCATGAAGGAGGCATGGATAAGGAAAAACTGCCAAGTTCAGGAATGATTTCATCAACTTAAGGGCAATAACAAACTAAACACACAATAAACTTTAAAATACATTTCCATTTTTAATTTAAAAAATAAATAACAGCAAATCTGAACAAAATTTTCCTACTTCAATGCACATCTTCCTAACTGTCCATGTTTGAAATCCAGATAGCAACAAAATCATGGCAAAGGCATTTTTGACAAAGTTTAGACAAACGACTCACAAAATATGGCTAATAGTAGATGAGTTTGGACATCTGATACTGCAGACCAGCCTTGGCTAGATCCTAGGCGTCAGAGTGAAATCATGAATTTCCTTTTGTAGATTAGAATTGATGGTCCAACTCTCAACCCACCAAAGAGAAACTTACCTTTTCCAATTTAATTGTAAAAGCCAGATATATCACTGAATGAAGGTATCTAAGGAAGTGATATTTATCAACTTCCCAAATGATACAGAGAAGGAAAGCATAATTATTAAAATGAACCTAAAGTCTAGATACAGTGGGCCAGGCTGGTGAAGCCTTAGACTACTATGGAAATGACATTGTTTATAAGATGTTGCACAAATTATGGTAATCTGTGTCAATATTTCAATGTGTGCTGGATTATTACTGACATATTCATAATTTTAATGTCCACAAATCTTTTTATCTTAATAGCCAGGGTATGGCAGGGTCAAAGCACCACCTGGGATGATAAATGGGACAAGTATAGTCCATGGACCTCAAAGCCTTTGTACAGAAAACTAGTTTCCTTCAGATCCTCCCCCTCTTTTTGTTTAAATAAAAAGCAGAATAAAAGCAGCTAGGGCTGAAGGAATTCTAAACCTCAGGTAGCTTCAAAATTAAAAAAAAAAAAAGACAGGCCCAGGGACTGACTACAAATTGACTTGTTAAAAGGTGCACAGTCTTTATAGCCTTGTTTTGTGTTGATGGTGGGGTTTTTCTCCCCCTTTCATTATACCTGAGAAGTATGAGAAAGGAAGCCACAAATTTGAAGGGCCTTATAAATACCTTTCACAAAATGGCACCATGGGCATGTGGGAACTTTCTGGGGTGCTGAAAACAGTGTATGTCTCTATCTTAGAGGCACGGATGTGGGCAAATAGCTATGTGAAAATTACCCATCTGCACGGCTAAGATTTGTGCACTTAACTATACATGAGTTCCATCTAAATTTTAAAATAAATTAGCCAGTGACCTAGGGGCAACTAGAGGAGAAGGACTCTTCCAGCTTGGAAAGAGTAAACAAAGGTAGGTTGTTGTCTCAAAGCCTGCTTTATATCTTGTTCTACATTAGGAAATTGCAGTGTGGCTGCAGTTTTTAATGGATTTCCTTGGCAGAAGAAAATGACTGCAATTCTGGAATCAGAGGGTTAAGGTGGAGGAGGAGGAAGCAACTCATGGCCCAGCAGTCTTCTTTAGGGTTTCATTTTCATCTGGTACCACTCCCTTTCCAATCCTACAGCACACCAGAGTGAACTGTCTTTGTATACTGGGGCTGTTTCCATTGAACACACTCAACCACTACATCCCAAGGGGCTAGTACCATGACTGGCATTCCATAAGAACTTGATATATGTTGAATAAAACAATCCTTTAAAAAAAATCTTAAAGCAAGACAAGTCACTAGAACAAAGAAAGAGAGGAAATAAAGATTTAAAAACACCTCCAACCGTATACCAGTATTCACAAAAGTTGTGACAATTTTAGGGATAATTTCAATGTCTTTCAATACTCCAGAGAGTTCTTAGCAAGAAAAATAAAGACCAATTCTTTCTCTTTTTTCCTCCTTGCTCCTTATCTCTTTATATTTAATGGAATCATGAGGTGTTTCTTTGCAGTCATCCTCTGACTTCAGGACACATTATTTATGAATTCTGTCAAATGTGACTCTTCCTACCCAACACCTTCCCTAAAAAATGAACCTTCCATCGTCCGCTGTAATCTCTTAGCCACAATACTACCTGGAATCCCTTTTGTTCAGGCAGGAGAGAGCTATTATTTCCATTAAGGTGGAAAGGGAATCATACGGAATATATTCTATTAAAAAGAGAAGGTATCCAGACAGTGATGTATCCTATCTTCCCAGCCTCTGCTCAAAGACCAGGCTGTGGGACTCATTTCTACTGCTCTGGAAGGATAGCCTTGAGGTTTGGTTTTTTTGGTGACCCAGTTTTATATCTTTCTATTTTAATGGCAGCCCGGCAAGTAGAGTGTGGCACACAAATCCCCTCTAGCCGGTCTGCTGGGTGACTTCTCAGAAGTCGTGCCAGGCTCTAGGTAAGCCCCTACATATCCTGTCTGTTGCCTCCTCCTTTCTCTACAGCTTGAGTTCTCTCCATTTAAAATCCTCTTGAGTTCTTATTAAGTTTGTCTCTAGTCATAAATAATCATGTAAAAGACCTCAAAGGAAACCACCATTTGGAGAAGGGCTGTATGTGCAGAACTAACTTGCACTCACATTCCAAACTACCTTGGAAGAAAAAAAAAGTATGAGTAATGCTCTTAGAGAGTTCCAGTTCCTACTCAGGCCTAGCAGAGGAAAGCAGGGACCATCAGGTGAGTACCTCTTCTTTCCCATATTTCATCTCATTGAAACCTCACAACAACCGATGCAGGAGGCATTATCCCCATTCTGGAAGGTGAGAAAATGAAAACTCAGATAATTTCAAATAATTTTTGTGAGTTTGCAAAGTTAACAGATGTCATAACTGGGATTTGAAACCAAATGGGTTTAATTCCACCAAATGGGTTTAATTCCAAAGCCCATGATTCTTCCATGCTAGCACAATGCAGGTTTTCCTGGGTGGGGGTAAAGGATCACCTTTTCCACACCCCTTCCAGAATCTGCATACTCATTTCTTAAGTAACGCCCTGGACACATCTGAGAGCTTTTGCTTCCCTGACCCTCATGATGAACTGGTGTAGTTCTCTCCTGAAAGGGTGGCGGTGAAACAGGAAACACAGAGAATCAGGCAGGCAAATACCAGCTCTGGCAGCAGAAATGGAAATCTCTTTCTCTGTTCTCTTCACCTCCTTAGTGGAAAGGACTCTGGGCAAGGTTGTGGGAGAGACCACCAGCAAGTTTCCCCCAGTGCTGACCTCTGCCTTCACAGTCAAAAAGCTTTCTGCTTTGCCACAAATATCTAAGTAGCATAGAAATATCTGGGACATTTCAAATATTGTTCCAACCAGGGGTAAATATTAAAGAGTCTGTCAGAGTTGTCTTCTAGAGATTACCTAGGTATAGCCTAATTTAGCAAGCTGGGTTATTAGTAATAATCTGTAGCACAATTTTCTGTGTGTAGCCTCAATTTCCTTATTTACTAAATAAGGGGACTGGTTGGTTGATCTTTGAGGCTTCAAGTCCAAACGTCTAAAACTTCATGTGGCTATTTATGTATGTAATATTTGGTCACCTAAATCGCTCCATTTTTTCTTCTGAAAGGAGTACTACTAGTACCATTAGCAAGCAATCAAATTAATTCCACAATCAAGAGGAATAAATAATCAAAGAGAAATATTGCACTGTATTCTCCAGGATAAAATCAGGTAGCAGATGCGGCTGCTGAGTCACCCAAATGGGTTTTAGAAAAGAAACTGCTGAATCCAGACTGGTAAGTCCCTTGTAGCCAGTGATTTGCGCTCAGAGGAGGTAATAGGACAAAAAAAAAAAAAAAAAAAAAAAGCCGTATGTGCAAAAGGAAGAGCTTCAAAGAAGTCCGTAGGGAAGGAGTGACTGCGACGCAGTGAAGGCCATTAGTCAGGAGTGTGGTGGGAGAGGGAGAGGGCAGCTTTCCTGTGCCACAAGAAGATGGGAGTTGGGTGGACTCAAGAACTCAGGGCTGATGTTTGAGTCCATGCTCTTTCAATGATAGACACACATACCTGAAAGCAGCCAATCTCCATTAAAAATGTGTGTTCTTTTCCTCAAAGGAGATACAATAGACATCAGAAAGATATGATTATTTCAGCTACCAAAGTGTACTTGATATCCATCTCTTCCAAGATGCAATATGGGATGGGATCAGTGTGTCCACGTGAGAAAAGTACCTAAGTCTCAAGCACAGCTTTTCATAAGCAAAGCAAAAAATCCTTCCAAGGAGTAGATTACAGGGGTTGCTCCACCATCAATATGGAAGAACTTGTCCAGGCTTGTGCAGACCACCATGTCTCTGCCGTACAGGCTGACATTTAACAATGGTGAAGGCAATCTCTTCTTGGAAAAAATCAGAGGCTGTGACTGATTCTGGAATTCCATGTGGACTGGAAGGGAGGTGGCATGGCCTCAAAATTCTATCAAAGAGAAGCTTTTGGAAGAACATGACTGGTTTTGGGCTGGTAAACATCATCCCAGATCAGGAAATGCAGTCAGCAGGGAGCCCCATGGAATGAGGACACCGGCTGGAGGCCAGTTCTCAGGCAGCAGCTGTCTAAGGCACTCGGTGTTGCAGGGAGGGCAAGATCCTTACTGGGATCCAGGCTCGGAAGTAGGGATGCCAGACTTCCGAGCCTTTGGAGGTGGAGGGGGTGGTGCTTTGGCTTCTCTTCGGACAGGCAGTGGGGGAGCGAGCTGCAGAAGCAGAAACACAAAATTAGAAGCAGGTCTTAGCTTTCTTCCCAATTCTGCCTTCTCCTCCTATTTCTCATATTCTGCTTTAGCTTCTAATTGATCTGAGTTTATCTACACAGGCTTTGCAAAGTGAAATGGAAAACTACACTGACTTATCCTCCTTGTTTCCCATGAGCTAATCAGACACACGCGTGCGTGCGTGCGTGCGTGCGCGCGCGCGCACACACACACACACACACACACACACACACACATTTTCTCTCTCTCTCTCGCTGCCATATCCCCAACACTTGGGTTCCTGGCGTATAGACAGGAGGCACTTAAAAGTCATTTGTTAAATGACTGAAGGAAACCCATCTGAGGTCACTCCAGAATGACTGTCCTTTATTCAGAAGAAGTAAACTCTTCAAATGTGAAATAGAGGGCTGGGGGCAGGCAGTGGCTCACATCTGTAATCTCAGCACTTTGGAAGGCTGAGGTGGGTGGGGGGGATCACTTGAGGCCAGGAGTTTGAGATCAGCCTGGGCAATATGGAGAGACCCCATTTCAACAAAAGATTAAAAAATTAGCTGGGCATGGTGGCACATGCCTGTAGTCCCAGCTAATTGAGAGGCCAAGGTAGGAGAATCACTTGAGCCCAGGAGTTTGAGGCTGCAGTGAGCTATGATCGCACTATTGCACTCCAGCCTGGGTGACAGAGCCAGACCCTGCCCCCGCCCCCCTAAAAAGGTGAACTAGAACTCACGGCTTATTTCACAGGTACCCAGGACGAGGTACAGAGAACACCTGCCTCTACCTTCATCATCTGCTTGCATGTCTGTCCTTCCCATTGAAAACTTCTCTATCTCCTGTGGTTTCAGGAATGAGCCAAGAATCGACTGCAGTGACAGGTCTATGAGCAAACCTGCCCACTAAAGAGCCTGGAAAACCTGATGCTGCCTTCCCAGGAGTGGCGCTCCCTGGCCACAGTTGCCAGCTGTGATTTCCCTACCTCAGTGGAGTTCCTCTGGCTGCCTTCATAGGGCTTGCTTTTGGGGGGAGGTGGAGGTGGGACAGGAGTGGCCGCGATTCCATCTGTCTGCAACGATGGGGAGCCTAGAAATGACAGAAAGTGCAGGCGGCAGAGAGAGGCACTGAGCAAGGAAGCTCATGGAAATGTTGCTGGCACTGTAACACCTAAGCCAACCTGGTCAACCAACTGATGAAAGCCACATTCTATGGTTTCTGCGGATAGAACGAAGAAGACTTCTTACCCCACATCACACAGGTGACGCCCTCGCCAGAAGTTTCAAGAGCTCCACAAGGTGTTCTGAAGCAAAAACTTTATTTTTTTTATTTTTGTTTTTTTGAGATGGAGTCTCGCTCTGTTGCCCAGGCTGGAGTGCAGTGGCGCGATCTCAGCTCACTGCAAGCTCCGCCTCCCGGGTTCACGCCATTCTCCTGCCTCAGCCTCCCAGGTAGCTGGGACTACAGGCACCCACCATCACGCCCAGCTAATTTTTTGTATTTTTTAGTACAGATGGGGTTTCACTGTAGCCAGGATGATCTCGATCTCCTGACCTCGTGATTCACCTGCCTCGGCCTCCCAAAGTGCTGGGATTACAGGCGTGAGCTACCGTGCCTGGCCAAAACTTTTTTTGTTCAGGGTTTTAGTATTAAGCTGAAGATGACAACATTTTCTGGAATGTATGGTATTATTCTGTTCTCTGATATAGCCCAAGTGCTTAGGAAAATATCCACTTCCTCCAGGAAACTGTAACTGATTATCTCTAACTCTTGGTTGACAATTGTCTCCCATCTGGCTCGATAGATTTATCCCTCTACCATGCCTCTGGACTATGGGTACTTTGCAATTCTTCTCAAGTGTTGTGCACTGCTGGTTCCCCAAGCCAGACTATAAGCAGTAGATGGAATGGGTCTATTTCTTGTCCCTGTTCAGGTCTACCTAACTAATGGTTAGCTTGTAAGTTACTTGTTATCTGTCTAGTCCTAGTGCAGATCTGCCTCATTTATACCTTCACAATTATAAAACTGACACTAATGCCCTTTGGATCACTATCCAGAAAAGTTTAATGAGTCCTAGTGGCCTCCTTGCCAAACTCCAGTCTAACTGTATAATACACGAACACGAAATTGAACCAGTTTTACAATGGTCTTACATACATTCTGGCTGGTTTAGTTACAAACTGCCCAGATGCATAAACATACTCCATTCCCTAGTAAAAAGACTATAAGGAATACAGGAAAACTTACTTAGGGTCCTGGTGGCTTTGGGAGTGAGTGGAGGTGGGCTCAAGGGTGTTGACTGAGGAGGTGAAGAACCGTGAAATGGTGATAGCCGATTATCCATCAACTGGAGACTCTTTGGCCTTTGTGCTTTTCTGGTTGGGCTCTAGGACCAGAGAGAAAAAGCAAAACATTTTCACGGTGAGGAAGGCTGAGCTCAACAATGCTCTCAACAGCCTTGTCTTCTGAGAAGACACTTGGAAAAGGACTTAACTGAAGGAGCGATTTTTAAGCATTGTCATATGATGGGCAACACCGAACAGGCACTGACTAGAACCACTGAACCACAGATTATTTTCTGAATGGCCACAGACTTGATTCTTCTGATCACAGTTGGGCTGTGTCATTTATGTTGGAAATAAGCCACCCTGATTCTCAGGAAAAGGTGGTCTTGCCACATTTAACAACTTGATATGGAAGGAAAAGTACCTTTTAAAAAAATTAAAGAAGAGAAATGACAATGTTTGGATTGACTCAGGGGACAGAGTGGCAAGAACGACAGCTCTAAGCATCAACCCACATGTTTACATTGTGGGTACAAGATCTTCACCAATGTTGATTTATAGACTCGAACTTCTCATGAGGTATGTGCTTTCCTTACCACAATCTGCGACCTGACACTAACCCAGGCTGCTGAGTCCTGAAACAAGCCATAGCCCAGCTTCAATCTGGGAGGGGATGGTGATATGCCTGGGTACAGGGGAGAGGGGGGCAAGCCTCCAGAGATTTCTTTTTTTCTTTTCTGTTTTTTACCATCAAATCGGGTTCTGGTGCTTTCTCTGCAATGACCTGGGACTTGCTCAGACTCCAGTCTTTTCTCTTAAACTTGCTGATCCGGTTCTCGCTGTTCTCCTCTCTAAGGGACAGATCTTCAACTCTGGCACCTGACGAGGCCCTGCGCTCCAAAAGTGGCTCCAAGATTGAGCTATTGGCCAGGAACAAGGACAAACATCACAAATACTGATCACCTTGCAATCAAAATTCACTATGAAAGTACCAGCAGTTATGACTCTTTAGGCTATTTTTTTTTTTTTTTTTTTTTTGAGACAGGGTCTTTCTCCCATCATTCAGGCTGGAGTGCAGTGGTGCGATCACATCTCACTATAACCTTGACTTCTGAGTGGCTGGGACTACAGGTGTGTACCACCATGCCCAGCTAAAGTTTGTATTGTTTTAGTAGGGATGGGGTTTCACCATGTTGCCCAGGCTGGTCTCAAACTGTTGCCCAGGCTGTCTCAAACTCCTGGGCTCAAGTGATGCTCCTACCTCAGCCCTCCCAAAGTGCTAAGGCTAGAGGCGTGAGCCACCATGCCCGGCCTCCTCAACCTACTCTTGACCTATGACTTCACTCTCAGATTCTAAATCTAAATTTTCAATTACAACTGAACAAACATCTCAAGGTGTTAATGTACAGAAACAAGACCATCAGACGACTGGACGAAAATATTAGGGAGTATCTTATCCCAGGAAGTGAAGGGCTTAATTCAATGTACAGGCAAAGACAGAATCTTTAAAGTAAGAGATTCAATAGACAGTTTTATGTAGTGGGTAAGAGCACAACTCTGGAGCCAGATAGCCTGTGTTCAAATCCTACCCACAAACTACATACTACTAGAATGTAGTAATCTAGATTACTATATACTACTAGAATGTAATCTAGATTCTAGAAGTAATCTAGAATCTAGATTACTACATTCTAGAAATAATCCCACCACTTCTAAGAATGCATCCTAATAAGAAAGCTACATGTCCAAATATGTTTGCTATAGTTTTTAATAAAAATATATTTTATACTGATACAAGTTACATACATATTTTTGTATTAAAATCTATAATGAAGTTTTATGGTTAATTGTTTAGAAAGAAGGATACAGCTTAAATATTCTATAGTAGAAGAATAATTAATCATGGCATATTTGTATGATGCAATGTCAACTGCCATCAAAAATGATGGTAAAAGCTGATAGTAATAAAGATTACACAGCCAGGCACGGTGGCTCACGCCTGTAATCCCAGCACTTTGAGAGGCCGAGGTGGGCGGATCATGAGGTCAGGAGTTAGAGACCAGCCTGGCCAATACGGTGAAACCTCGTCTCTACTAAGAATATAAAACTTCACCAGGCGTGGTGGTGGGCGCCTGTAGTCCCAGCTACTCAAGAGGCTAAGGCAGGAGAATAGCTTGAACCCAGGAGGCAGAGGTTGCAGCGAGCCGAGATTGCACCACTGCACTCCAGCCTGGGCGACACAACGAGACTCTGTCTCAAAAAAAAATACATAAATAAAAATTACACAGCAACATGACAAATGCTTATAATAAAAAGGTAAGAAAGAACAGCAAAGTACCAAACTATATGCTATAATTGGAGCTATGTAAATATACCTATATCAACGGAAAAGAATGCATAATTTAAGAAACACTACATATTTGATTTCCAGGCAGGGTGGCATTCAGGTAGGTTATTTTTATGATGTAATTATTGTATTATGGAATTAAACATTTGTGAAAAAATGGTGAGTCAACTGATAACTTATATTCAAGACTATTTTAAATACTTAATGATGCATAAATGCTCATCACCTATATTAAATTAAGCAGTAGGTCACAACATGATAGATGCAATGCTTTTCCACTTGTATAAAAAATAAACAGGGCCAGGTGTGGTGGCTCACGCCTGTAATCCCAGCACTTTGGGAAGCTGAGGCGGGCGAATCACGAGGTCAGGAGATCGACACCATCCTGGCTAACATGGTGAAACCCCATCTCTACTAAAAGTACAAAAAATTAGTCGGGCATGGTGGCGGGCGCCTGTAGTCTCAGCTACTCGGGAGACTGAGGCAGGAGAATGGCGTGAACCCGGGAGGCGGAGCTTGCGGTGAGCCGAGATCGCACCACTGCACTCCAGCCTGGGTGACAGAGCCAGACTCCATCTCAAAGAAATAAAAATAAAAAATAAAAAATAAACATACTTTTTTGATATTATATACCTGAGCTTTAACGGTGGTTATCTTTGAGTGATGAAGTAATAAAGCATTGTTTTCTTTTAAACCTTTCCTGTATTTTAGCAATATATTATTTAAATATATTGCTAGGCAGAAAGAACACAACTATAACTCCTTTCAAATATTTTAAATTTGAACATATGGAAAGGCATTTTATGTTTCTGGCAAGGAAGCCTCAGCATCAAAAAGCCATCACTCTTCCTAAAGTTAGTCCATACATTTAACATGATCCTAATAAAAATAGCAATAGGATTCTAGACAAGTTAATCTAACAGTGAGCAATAGCGACACTAGCCAGATTAAATTCTGAAAAGGAATATTAGGAAATAAAAAATGTTTTATATCTATAATAATTAAGATTGCATAGTACTGATACATGAATAGACAGGTAAATCTAAGAAATAGAAAAAAAATGTCCACAGACTAAAGAGTATGTGGAAATTTGATTTTTTATAAGATTGACATTTCAAAAAAAACAAAAAGATGACTTGTTCACTAAATGTTATAAGAAGAATTGAGTAGCCATTTGGAAATAAAAATGTTGGCTCCATACTTAACATCTTATATTAGAATAAATTCTAAAGGATTACAGACAAAATTGTAAATAGTGAAACCCTAAAAGTCAATGAAAAAAAAAAAGTACCTTTTTTGTTATCTTAGAGTGGGAAAGGCCTTTAATTGTGAAATAAAACCCAGAAGTCATAAAATAAAAGATTGATTATATAACTACATAAAAAAATCAGCACAACTCAATAAAAAATTAGAAGCAACAAATTAGAAGTCAAAAGATAAAGGAGAAATTAGGAGAAAACATTTCAACTCATTTCACAGACAAAGGGCCAACAATTCAACAGAAAAAAGTATTTGACCACAGGTCACAGAAAATAAAACTACAAACAAATGAAAAGATGTTCAACTTCAGGCAAAACAAGAAAAATAAACAAAAACCAAAAAACAAACAAAAAGTATACAAGAAAATATTTTCCACCTATCAGATTGGTAAAATTTAAAAAGACTAAGAGTACAGTTTGGTGGCTAGGGTGAGTAACTAGGCACTCCTGTGTGTTGCTGGTGGGAGTGTAAACTGGTATAATCTTTATGGAAGTCGGTTTAGGAATAATTTTCAAAATTGCAAATATACATCTTTGACAGAGCAATTTCACATACGAGATTTTTCCCATATTGATATAGTTGTATATGTACAAAATAACATGTGTTTAAGGTTATTCATTGTCACACTGAAGTAACAGTAATAGAGTGAAAGCAACTGAATAACCACCAGTAAGCACTGGTAGAATATACAGGTTGAATATCCCCAATCCCAAAATCCAAAATCCAAAATGCTCCAAAATGTGAAATATTTGAATGCTGACATGACGCTCAAAGGAAATGCTTACTGGAACATTTCAGATTTGGGGTTTTTGGATTAGGGATGCTGAACAGGTATAACGCAAATATCCAAAAATACTAAAACATCCGAAATTCAAAACACTTCGGGCCCCAAGCATTTTGGATGAGGGATACTCAATCTGTATCATGCCACATACATACAATGAGCCATATCTATAGCTACAGAAAGCATAAAGAGGGGGCTTTTTATGTTCTGAAATGGAAAGAGTTTCAAGATATAATATTAAATGAAAAAAAGCAAAGTAAAGAAAATTCTACCATTCATATAAAAAAAGTGTGGGGAAGAACACATAATTACGCAATGCTTGTGAACCTATAAAGAGCTGCCATGGGGCTACCAAGAACCTGAATGTTAGCATCATCTGGCTCTAGGGGTGGGGCTACTGCAGGGCTTCTACTGTAGTGGGAAGTCTCAGATTAAAGGGAGATTTTTTGTGATATATCGTTTGGTTCTTTTGGAATTTCATGCCATGTGATTATAAAACCTATTCATAAAATAGATGTAAAAATTTATTTTTTAAAATGGAAATGATGAAAAAAATAGGTAATGACTATAGGTATGTAATAGTGTGGTAGGATTATGGGTGATTTCTTTGTCATTTTTCATTTTTAGTAACTGTTGTTATTATTCTGCTAATCATGACATTCCTCATGAGGAAGACAATGAGAATGACCCAAAGGCTATTTTTCTCAAAGGAGTGATGCGTGGCTAAAGGCAAACATTAGTAAGGCGTTACCCCACCCTTCCTGCAGATTAAAGATGAAACCCTTACCCATCAGATCCCGGTCTGGAAGGAGCATTGTCAGACGAGTTTGAAGAGGTGGAAACCACAGAGGAAGTGACTGAGGTGATGGACAACCTCCGCAGAGTGGAAGACATGATGTAGGGGAGCACAATAGACCCCGTGCGGCTTTGCTTCCTCTCCGTCAAGTTGGGTGGCTGAAAACATATGACTCCACATGGTTAGCGGACCTGGAATCCAGCCCCTATGAACTGGCCACAGCTGCCCTGTTTGCTTGTGGCTAACCAGTACCCATCTGTACTGGTTATGTGGCTGGCACCCCATTCTGATTGGTTGGTGCCTGTGCTGCCTCTATTGTTAAATATTGCATGTACTGATACTGTTAGCTATAGGTACAACTTAGGTTAAACCTCCCTGATGCTAAGACTAGAGAAAAAGTTGTCATAATTTTCTGCTACCTAAATGAGACAGGAAAAAATTAAGATGTGCCTCACACTCTCCAATAAATAGCAAAACCTTCCGTCTGCTTCCCCAGCTCAGCTGCTTTCAGTCTTTTAAAATATGGAATATTGGGGTTAGAGAAAATTGTTAGATTGACACTGTAGACATGCAGCTTAACCTGGTGAATCCTATGTTCTCTAGAAATGTCACCAGTAGGATTACCCCCAGATGCCACCATATGAAAATGACTCACTAATACCGGCCAAGTTCTAATAATGACTAAGCTCATTAAATCGAAGACAGTCTTTGCTGTCTAGGAATGTGTGTGCAAAAGACAAATGCTCCTAGAAAAACTCTTAAGTAGCAGCAGGTTAGGAGGCACAATCTTAGGAAGAAGGCACGACTGAACACTTAATGGCTGAAAGACACGCTCAAAAAGATACCCTGGAGGAAACTGTACTGAAGGTGGGCAGACAGGAATGGGGGAGAAAAGAGCATGAAAAGAAACTCAGAGCTTTGGTTTGAGGAAATAATGTGAAAATAAGGGGTTTAAGAATAAGACCATTAAAGGGCTGGGCATGCTGGTTCACACCTGTAATCCCAGCATTTTGGGAGGCTGAGGCAGGAGGATTGCTTGAGTCCAGGAGTTGGAGGCCAGCCTGGGCAACATAGGGAGACTCTATCTCTACAAAAAAGTTTTAAAAATTAGCTGGGTGTGGGCCGGGCGCGGTGGCTCACACCTGTAATCCCAGCACTTTGGGAGGCCGAGGCAGGCGGATCACAAGGTCAGGAGATTGAGACCATTCCGGCTAACATGGTGAAACCTCGTCTCTACTAAAAATGCAAAAAAATAGCTGGGCATGGTGGCGGGCACATGTAGTCCCAGCTACTCAGGAGGCTGAGGCAGGAGAATGGTGTGAACCTGGGAGGCAGAGCTTGCAGTGAGCTGAGATCGTGCCACTGCACTCCAGCCTGGGCGACAGAGCGAGACTCTGTCTCAAAAAACAAACAAAAAAAAATTAGCTGGGTGTGGTGGAGCACACCTGTAGTTCCAGCTACTCAGGAAGCTGAGGTGGGAGGATGGCTTGAGCCTGGGAAGTCAAGGCTGCAGTGAGCTGTGATCTCGCACTGCACTTCAGCCTGGGTGACAAAGAGAGATCCTGTCTCAAAAACAAAAACAAAACAAAACAAAAAGAATAAGACCATTAAAGAGAACAGGATGAATTCAAAGAAAAAAATGCAGATAAGTAGAGCTAGAACGTATTACACCATCACTCACTGGAGAGAAAAGGTTAGTACATACACGCACTATCCACTGAACTGCTCAGGAGGAGAAAAGAAAATTGTAGCTGTGAGGAGCTCGTCAAAAACAATTATGAAAGCAGCTACATGCATATGAAATGTAATTCACAATTCCTTCTTCCCTTCAAAGGCGTGAAAACTGTATACTTTTCATCAAAATAGATACTATTTCTAAGATTAGGAAAAAATGTAAGAATTTGGCCAGACAGCACAAGAATAACCAGTGTCTAGGATTCAGAAAACTTTGAGTTATTTTGGTTTGTTTGTTTGTTTGTTTTGAGATAGAGTCTCGCTCTGTCGCCCAGGCTGGAGTGCAATGGTGTGATCTCGGCTCAATGAAACCTCCGCCTCCTGGGTACAAGCAATTCTCTTGCCACAGCCTCCTGAATAGCCGGGACTACAGGTGCCTGACGCCATGCCCAGCTAATTTTTTGTATTTTTAGTAGAGATGGTGTTTCACCATGTTGGCCAGGCTGGTCTCGAACTCCTGACCACAAGTGATCAGCCCTCCTTGGCCTCCCAAAGTGCTGGGATTACAGCTGTGAGCCACTGCACCTGGCCTGATTTCTAGTACAGTGGTTCTCAAAGTGTTGTCCCCAGACCAGCAGCATCAATATCACCCGGGAACTTCTCAGAATTGCAACTACTTGGGCCCCACCCCCAGATCTATGGAATCATAAACTCCAGGGTTATGATGGCTCAGCCATCTGTATTTTCACAGGCGCTCTGGGAGGTTCTGATAGTTGTTCAAGTTGGAGAACCTCTGACCAGCACAAGGACTGCTCAAGGTCACCAAGAGGGGAACACACTCTCTCCCACCAGCCTCACTATTTCCATGCCATAGCTAAGTTATTACAACTCACTTGGCATCTGAAAAACGAATCAGTGTCATAAAAGGTCACAGAGCCTAGAAAAAGGTGTGAAGGCTACTTAGATCATGCTTACCAGTGTTATAACCCCATAGTGCTTTTCTACTTTCTCCTTGAGTTCCCGGAAGCAAGAAGACAACCGCTCATGCAGCGGCTTCAGCTGCTCTGTGAGTTTCTCCCCATGGATGCGGATCCCTTCTGTTAGCAGGGGCATCTGGAAAGAAGGGCAAAAAATGAGTGCAGTGTGCTTCAGGAAGAGGGATCGTTTTGATTTGGTTGGGGAAGGGAGGGATGGGGTGGAAAGGTAAACTGCTAGACATAGTGCTGGCCAATGGGAAGGCCACTTCTCAGTGTAGGACTTGTGGACTGGATGGACTTTGGTCAATGATGTGGGAAAATGTGCACACCAAGAATACAGGTTGGCCCTAAACTGGGGAAGGACTGTGGGATGAGGCAAATCTAACGGAGTCCTGGGGCACTTCCGTGGATGAGCAACTGATAGGTTTAAGTCTTAGACTGAATTTGGTAGTCATGTTTTCTACCACTGCCCACTGAAGTCTTGAGAGAAAAAAATGAGGCCAGCATCTCTCAGCTGGAAACACATGCCAGGAAACCAACAGATGAACTTTTCTTTTTTTTTTTTTTGAGATGGAGTCTCACTCTGTTGCCCAGGCTGGAGTGCTGTGGCGTGATCTCGGCTCACTGCAACCTCTGCCTCCTGAGTTCAAATGATTCTCCTGCCTCGGCCTCCTGAGTAGCTGGGATTACAAGCATGCACCACCATGCCTGGCTAATTTTGTAGTTTTAGTAGAGATGGGGTTTCACCATGTTGGCCAGGCTGGTCTGGAACTCCTGACCTCAGGTGATCCACCCACTTCAGCCTCCCAAAGTGCTGGGATTACAGGCATAAGCCACTGGGCCCGGCCCCAGCCGATGAACTTTGATCTCAGCTTTAAGAAGGCTCCGTCAACCCTGGGCAGTTTAACTGCCGGCCGAGCAAACAAATACATAGATAGGTGGTGCTTTCACAAGGGTTAAAAAAAGAAAGAAAAGTCACCCTGAGTGGGCTTGTAGACTTAAGCCCTGGAGAATAATGGGTGTCCCACACTGTGGCCTCCCTGGGAGTGTAGAGGAAAGCCGTCCTGTACCTGTAATGCTATTAGTCGCTTTAGCAGCTCAACCTTCTCCTGGTCTTCAGGATGCTCCTGCAAGTACTTTTCTGTAAAAAAAGCCTAAAAAAAAGCATATGCAAGTTTTAATTAGAACACATTCCTATCTGTGCAGGAAAGCCTGGAAGGGTGAAACATGTGTCCTGTGCGGAAGAACCAGATGTGTCTAACTAAAAATGCATCCCTTTCCTCAGACAGCTCTTATACTATGTTGGACAATGCAAAAAAGTGTGTGCTATTGTGTGGTCTTTCCTTAATTAGCAAATTCTTAGCAAAACTACATTCTTAACAGTCACCAGCCCACCACACACACACACTAATCAAATAATCATCATCAACAAAGCAAAACGTCATTCGTTAAAATAACTTTCCCAAAGAACAAAGCAAAGGCGAAATGGCAATATCTCAAGGCTAATCATTAAATTAAGTGCATAGATATTATAAGGGAAAGAGCAAAAAGTTAAAAAACAGAAGATGGAGGTGACAGTTTTTCTGCTCGTCCCGTGACATTGGCTATATCACGCTTTTTTCCTATATTAAGTGAAGGTTAATATTTGCACTTTCTTACTAGTCCCCTATCCCAAGTGCTATTTTAAAAAGAAAATGAGATGTAGATGTGAAGACATTTCAAATATATTAAATGCTGGTTGCCCTTATTATTATATATCAGCACCAGGCTCATCAGTAAACACTCA
This sequence comes from Homo sapiens, assembly GCF_000001405.40. Taxonomy (NCBI): domain Eukaryota; kingdom Metazoa; phylum Chordata; class Mammalia; order Primates; family Hominidae; genus Homo; species Homo sapiens. The sequence goes on along the minus strand of NC_000008.11, from coordinate 25,399,278 downwards.
TGACCCCCCAGCTAAGTCCCTGTAACAGGTAAATAAAACCCAAACTTAAATTCCAAACACAGGCCTTATATAGGGTACTGTTTTAAAGACAGAATTCATCAGGAAAGAGAAATAGAAGTTTGCAGCAAACGTTTCCAACAGACTCCAAAATTGGAGTGACATGTTTTCTTCCCAGACCTTAACATTCATTTCTGAAAGTGCTTTCGAAGACCAGCCTTCAGATTCCCCTTCGGTCTTCTGCTTTAATGCCTTGAGAGCCAAACCCCCCATTATATAAAACCAAGAGCTCCTGGAACTACAGGACAGACTTATAAAAGTGAATGGCCCATTTTGCGTGGCAAACAAAGTATGTGCAAAGCCTATCTTGCGAGCAGACATTATGGGTTGAATTATGTCCCCCAAATTCCTATGCTGAAGTCCTAATGCCTGGTACCTTAGAATGTGACCCTATTTGGAAGCAAGGCTGTTGCAGATTTAATTAGTTAAGAGGAGGTCATACATACTGGAGTAGGGTGGGCCCTTAAGCCCATATGACTGGTGTCCTTATAAAAAGGGGAAATTTGGAGACAGAAGTGCAAACACTGGGAGAACATTATGTGAAGAGATGCAAGAAGATGGCCATCGACAAGACATGGAGGAGCATCCTCAAGCCACGGAGCACCAAGAAGACACCAGAAGCCAGGACGAGAGACATGGAACATTCTTTCACACATCCTTGGAAGGAACCAACACTGTGACACCTTGATTTCAGACTTCTTGCTCGTGCAACAGTGAAACAAGAAGTTTTTGTTGTTTTAAGCCACCCAGTTTGGAGAACTTTGTTACAGCAGCCCTAGCAAACTAATACAACAGAGAATATGAATATATATGAAATAATTATCAGAAAAAGAAGCATGACAATATAATACATTAGCAAAACAGCTCATTCTAGCCAGGATCGTATTTAGAGGGACTGTCAGTATAAATGAAAAAGGAGTATTTACTTAAGTTTTCATTGACTTTTACCTTTCAAATACAAGTACTTGAAATTTTTGAAAGTTGTAACAATTTTGTTTTTGGTAAATGGTAGGACACATGGAAATTCCCAAAGTATTGGTTAGATCAGGGAACACTGGAGCAGAGAGCCCTGAAATTCATTTTTCTAGTAGGGTTCTGCCTCAGAACAGAAAGGGGAGATGAATTACAGCACACAGCTCCTGTGTTCTTATCATTTTGGCGATGAATAAAGAGCTGGATTAGAATAGTTTACCTACTACCTATTACCATTACATATTACATCAAATATGTAATGACGGGCTACCCCACTGATTGCAATACATCATGGTGATTAATGAGTTTACCTTTTTCTTACGTTTAGAAATGTGCAGTCATACATATTAACTAAATGAATACATTAGTATCTTAAGCCAAAGGTCCCGAAATGTACGTATGTATGTATGTATGTATGTATTTATCCTAGCTTTTTGTTCATTTTAATTAGAACACTGTCACGCTGGAAAAACTTCATATGATATTATGTGTCAGTCACAGATATTGGCATATATAAATCTGTGATTAGGGGTATTCTGTAAAAATTAATACTTGGAAAAAATACATGAAGATTAGTATCAAACAATATATATGAAAAAGTACACACTGAAAGTATTACAGTATTTAAAAAGTAGTGTATATTAGATCCTATTTTTATATTGACTGCCATTGTAACACTGGATATTATTATGGCACCTAACATGGAGAAACTAGAATTTGTCTCTGGTGTTGAGTCTTTCCCAGCTGCTGAGTATAATAAGGCTACAGAAGGCTGAAAGCCTGAGAAAAAGGACAGAAAGAAGACGATCATAGTGGCAGCCACAGAGCATAGATGTCACCACCCATGAAGAACATTCCAATTACACCGTCTGCTCCAAGTAGGCAGGAAGAAAACCAACACTGGTGAAGCCTCGACTCTATGTCAAGCACTGTCTGATGTTCCTTCTACACAGGATGTCTCCCTTAATCTTCCAAACCATCCTGTGATCTATCTTGTGAGTCAGGCATTTTTCTTCTTTTTTTTTTTTTAGACGGAGTGTTGTTCTGTCACCCAGGCTGGAGTTCAGTGGTACAATCTTGGCTCACTGCAGCCTCCACCTCCCGGGTTCAAGCAATTCTAATGCCTCAGCCTCTCCAGTACCTGAGATTACAGGCACCCGCCATCACGCCCAGCTGATTTTTTTATGTTTTTATTAGAGACAGGGTTTCGCCAAGTTCGCCAGGCTGGTCTCTATCTCTTGGCCTCAGGTGATCTCCCGCCTCGGCTTCCCAAAGTGCTGGGATTACAGGCATGAGTCACCGTGCCTGGCCAAGTCAGGCATTCTTCTCACTTTGCAGATATATGGAGCTCAGAGAGGTGAAGCATGTTGCCCAGAGCACACAGTGGCCAATTGGAAGCCAGAACTGGGTCCTGGGAGCAACTGAGTGCAAAGCTCCTGCTCTTCCCGGGACACACACACACACACACACACACACACACACACACGGACACAAGAGTGCCACCCAATTAATGCTGCTCACCCTTCCCCTCTGGCTCCTTTAATTTCTACCCACTCTCCAGGCGGCTCCACAGGGGCGTCCTTGACAAATGTTGATTTATATCCAAAAAGTTTATATTCAAAAAATATTTAACCACTGTAAACATACCACAGCAATGAAAAATTCTGCCTCCATTAATTATACCTAACATACACTGAATGCATGATGTGTATTTTAAATGCTGTTACATCCTAACCCTATCCCATGGATTAAATTGTGCCAAGTACTGCTTTCATGTCTCAACTAAGAATACTTAGTTGAACTAATTTAATTGTAGAGTCAGGGCCATCAGTTGTCCATACAACCTCTGGCACACCAAGTCAGGCAGGGGTCCTAGAAGCTAATTCCGCCACCCAAGCTGGAGTGCAGTGGCCCAATCTCGGCTTACTGAAACCTTTGCCTCTGGGGTTAAAAGTGATTCTCGTGCCTCAGCCTCCTGAGTAGCTCGGACTACAGGCATGCACCATCATGCCTGGCCAATTTTTGTATTTTTAGTAGAGACGCGGTTTCACCATGTTGGCCAAGATGGTCTCGCGCTCCTGACCTCAAGTGATCCACCTGCCTTGGCCTCCCTAAATCCTGGGATTACAGGTGTGAACCACTACACCTGGCCCCTAGAAGCTAATTCTAAAGAGAGTGTGGCTCTGCCATCCCCAGAGATGCTGCTTCATTTCCAGTGCGCCTGGGTTCTGGGGTCCACCAATCAGTTTGTATAACCCTCAGGGGAGACAGAATAACAGGTGCTTTGACCAGAGGCATGTTGGTTTTTTTTCTGTGACGCTTTACTAGGTAAGTTCTATACCAGCTGGGTTGCTGATAGTCTCTAAGAAGTCAGGGACAATCGTTTCATTCACTTCACTTGCCAGAAGGGAAAGTGAACATTTCTTAGAGCAGCTGTAGGAAATGAATTTGTCAGTGGCAAATGGCACAGAGGGAGGCACACAGACACCCAGGTCTGTGAATCCCTAGGGGATTCTGGGACCAAGCGAACCTTTTCATAGTTGGAGAAGCCCCCCATGACGGCCGGGTCCACGATGCCACTGAGCAGCATGGAGAGAGGGTGCACAGAGAGGGACCGGTCCCAGGCATGCTGCTGAACACAGTTGCTGATCCTCTCGTTGGTCAGCTCCATGGTTTCGATGGCATTCTCCAGAGGACTGATCTCTTCCTGAGTGACAGAGCACATGGGAGAAAGAGGACACTTGTCAGCTCCAAGTAAAGACTGAAAAAAGTTTAACTCTTCCCTTGAAGAGGTATAAAATGCCCACAAGCTATAGAAAAGGGAAGATTTGCTAATCAAGGTTAGACTTATAGCAGGGGTCCCAAAATGCCAGGCCAGTATCAGTCCGTGGCCTATTAGGAAACAGGCCACACAGCCAGAGGTGAGCGACAGGTAAGTGAGGGAAGCTTCATCTGTATTTATAGCCACTCTCCATCGCTCGCATTACAACCTGAGCTCTGCCTGCTGTCAGATCAGTGGTGGTATCAGATTTTCATAGGAGTGCAAACTCTATCGTGAACTGCACATGCGAGGGATCTAGGTTGTGCATGCCTTATGAGAATCTAATGCCTGATGATCTGTCACTGTCTCCCATTACCTCTAGAAGGGACCTTCTAGTTGCAGGAAAACAAGCTAGGGCTCCTACTGATTCCACATGATAATTATTTCAATATGTGTTACAATATAATAATGATAGAAATATAGTGCACAGTAAATGTAATGTGCTTGAATCATTCCAAAACCATCCCCTATCCCCCAACACCCCCCACCTTCCCACCCCAGGTCCATGGAAAAATTGTCTTCCAGGAAAGCAGTCCCTGTGTCAAAAAGATTGGGGACTGCTAGCTTATAAGGACACCACAATTTTTTGGAATAGTGGTAAGATACAAAATAAGCTATTTAAAATCTCCTTACAAAGTAGAATGATGACTTAAACATTGGAGCTATGGTAATGATTATTCCTTGGACAAAATGTCTACAGAAAATTTGAGAAGAAAAGAACTGGACCTGTAGTAAGAATCATTTCCTAGGCAACACTTCCTTGGAGACTTTTGAGAAGATCAACGACAAGAGAACAGCAGGATATCAGATCTGAGTCACTTCTGAACCACCAAGAATGTCCACTGGCAAAACGTTTGATGCTTCCTCCATGAAAAGAGGTAAGTGATCTTGGAGGCCATGCATTCAGACCATACATAATCTTAGTATGAATTCTATGTGTATCAGAAGTCAGAAATAATAGGATGTATTCGAATATACAGGCTGAATTTTGAATGAAAAGAAAATGAGACACAGTACAGATTCAGAGAGTTCTTCCTATGGAAATGTCTACAAAATCAGGTTTCAAAAAAAAAAAAAGTATCTCCTTCTTCATTTTACCCATTATCAGTCAACATGACCTCCTATTCCAGACTTGATTCCAAAAGTCTCCATCCAAAATTCATATCCATAACTGAGGAATAATGTCTAATTTTTTTTTCTTTTAGAGACAGGGTGTCACTCAGTTGACCAGGCTGGACTGCAGTAGTGCAATTATTCACAGCTCACTGTAACCTCCAACTCCTGGGCTCAAGCCATCTTCTTGCCTCAGCCTCCCAAGTAGCTAGGATGACAGGCACATGCCACCACATACTGCTATTCTTTTTGTAGAGGTGGGGGTCTTGCTATGTTGCCCAGGGTGGTCTTGAACTCCTGAGCTCAAGTGATCCTCCCACCTTGGCTTCTCAAAGTTCAGGGATTACAGGCATGAGCCACTGTACCTAGCCATGACTTATAACACATCAAACTTCAGTTCAGCTTTGGTCAAGAAACATTTCTTGAACACCTACTTTAGGCTAAGTGCCATGCTATGCACCACAGATACAAAAGTGATTAAGATGTATGTATTTCATGGCTTGGAGGAGCTGATGGTGTTAGCGGGGTCTCAGGACATGTAAACATGGTAGGTTAGAAACACGCCCAGGATGCCACAGGGGACAGACAAAGGGCAGGTCACCCAACTTGGGTGTTCCAGAGATGGATTCATTGAGAAGCTGGTGCCTAAACTGAACCTTGATGGGAGTTAGTTAGGTGCAGAAATTGCAAGAGTGTGTTTCAGGCAGAGAAAACGATCCAGTGTCACAGAGGACTGAAATTAGCATGGGATGAACAGTATGGTTCCAACAGATTGCCTAGGAGATGGGGCAGAAGAGTTAGGCCATACGTGTGTGTGCTAAGGAGGACAGGCTTTATACTCCAGGTACTTGGAGCCATGGAAGGACTTTAAGCACGAGAATGGACGAAATGGTGAGATTTCCTTAATGGAATTCCCACTGAGGCAGTGAGGTAACTGGACCTGAGAAGGCCATGCATGGCAGGGAGGCCAATGAGGAGGTGGGAAATAAAACAGATTTAATCAATACTAAACAGGTAAAATAAGCAGCTTTTGGGCGAGATGAAGAGGGAGGAGTCTAGGGTAACTGTGGATATGATTAGCAGAGAATAAAAGAAGAGAACAGGCTTTGGGAGGGAAGATGTAATTGACAAGAAACTCCAAAGCAGCATTCCAAAAATGTTTCTGGGTGCTGGCAGGATCGCTGAGCAGACACCACTCCTCTGGACATAAAAGAGTCATTCACTGTGATTGACCTTTAGGGCTGGTGTTGTCACATCAGTTTTACAAAGGAGCTCTATTATATAAGCATGCCTTTTATTTCTCTTTTGAAAAACAAAGTTGGCCAGAGGAGGCTGGCCAAGCTGGTGTGAACTGCAGAGGGAATTCAACAAAGGCTGTTATTATATTTGGAAACAGAAAGTTTTTTTCTAAATGCCAATTTCAAATGACTCACTGTTGAAATCTGTTTGACTTCAAACCACTTGAGAATCCCAGGAAAGGTATATGCAGTCGTATACGTGGTCCGTTCAATCCACATCGTCTGGTGGCAAGAAGGAAAACATGAAATGTTGGTCAATTCCCAGGAGGAAAACATGAAATGTTGGTCAATTCCCAGGGAAAACAGCAAGACTCCCTGGTTCACTTAAGTGAGATTCTATTCTCAAATGCCTCGTAGAGACTGAGCCAAATTTTCTCATAAAATTCAAGGATTCTGGATGTTTAAAGCTGAAAGGGATCGTCTACTTGGGACTTCTCACCCTACAGAGGGAAATGTGAGGTCTAGAGAGGTATGACTAGCCCAAGGTCATTACAAGCAGCAGGCCCAGGAAGAGACCAGATTCTGGACTCCTAGTCTAGCATTTTCCATGGAGATGACAGCTGGCTGTCTAGGTAATTAGTACTTGCTGTCTAGGTAATTAGCAGGTGAAGTCTCTGTTCCCAGGGGTGCCATCGTTTCTCCTGTGGAAGCTGGTTAGGTAGGTGGAAGATCTCCACTTGGGATGTCAATTTTACCTTTTTTTTTTTTTTTTTTGAGACGAAGTCTCGCTCTGTCGCCCATGCTGGAGTGCAGTGGTGCGACCTCAGCTCACTGCAACCTCCGCCTCCTGGGTTTAAGCAATTCTCGTGCCTCAGCCTCCCGAGTAGCTGGGACTACAGGTGCGTGCCACCACGCCCGGCTAATTTTTTTGTATTTTTAGTACCGATGGGGTTTCACCGTATTAGCCAGGATGGTCTCGATCTCTTGACTTCGTGATCCGCCCGCATCGGCCTCCCAGAATGCTGGGATTACAGGCGTGAGCCACCGTGCTCAGCCCGTTAATTTTACCTCTTAAAGGACAAAAGGGGTGAACTCACAGCAAATTCATTGTCTGGATCCTTTTCTCCTTTCCGGAACGGCCGGGAGTATCTGAACTGCTGCACTTCATTGGCTCTGTAGTAGCTGGAGAAGGACAAAGCAATGCTGTATTTTTCTCTCTTAGAACAACCACTGCTTGACTTGACTTCAACAAAACCTATAACACATCTGCCTGGTCTGAGTTTTACCCACTAAGCTATCTCATAATCAATAGTGCCTCCACATGAAGGCCTGAGAAAGTGTACAATTTGATTTTATTTCACACCTTACTTTTATATTATTTAGGAATTTATTTCACAGCACACAATTTTATTTATTTATTTTTATTTATTTATCTACTTTGAGTCAGAGTCTAACTCTGTCACCCAGGCTGGAGTGCAGTGACACGATCTTGGCTCACTGCAGGCTGCACTTTCTGAGTTCAAGTGATTCTCCTACCTCAGCCACCTGAGTAGCCGAGATTACAAGCACGCACCATCACGACTGGCTAATTTTTTTGTATTTTTAGTACAGATGGGGTTTCACCATGTTGGCCAGGCTGGTCTTGAACTCCTGACCTCAAGTGATCCACCCGCCTCAGCCTCAAAGTCACAGCACACAATTTTAAAAGGTATATGTGGCCAGGTGTGGTGGCTCACACCTGTAATCCTACCACTTCGGGAGGCAGAGGTGGGAGGATCGCTTGAACTCAAGACCAGCCAACCTGGGCAGCACAGCAAGATCCCATTTACACACACACACACACACACACACACACACACACACACACACACACACACACAGGTGTGGTGGTGTATGTCCCAGCTACTTAGGAGGCTGAGGTGGGAGGGAGGGTCTCTTGAGCCCAGGAGTTTGAAGTTGCAGTGGGCTATGATCGTGCCACTGCATGCCAGCCTAGTTGACAGAGAGACCCTGTCTCTTAGTGGGCGGATTGCCTGAGCTCAGGAGTTTGAGACCAGCCTGGGCAACACGGTGAAACCCCGTCTCTATTAAAATACAAAAAATTAGCCAGGTGTGGCGGCGTGTACCTGTAATCCCAGCTACTTGGGAGGCTGAGGCAGGAGAATTGCTTGAACTTGGGAGGCAGAAGTTGCAGTGAGCCAAGATCACGCACTGTACTCCAGCCTGGGTGACGGAGCAAGATTCCGTCTCAAAAAAAAACAAAAAAAAAGGTGTATGCACTTACACATACATTTGTGATCTCATTAGTCTAGTTTTATAACAGTTCTTTCAATACTGTTAGCATTCAGCTTTTCAAGACAAGGAATGAGCCCCTCCATCACTGGGGACCAGCCACTCCTCTGCGATGCTTTTGGGTGAAAATAAAAGCTCAGGGATCTGTAAGCTAGGTGTGAAATTTCTGATTTTCCTCTGCCTAAAAAAACCAAAACCCCCACATCCCTTTGTATTACCAAGCTTTTATCTTACACTCAAAGTAGAACAGACAGTAGGTCTTGCAAACTGTAATAAATGTAAGGCTTTGGTTTTGATGTACTCCAAACAGGTGTGAGGGAGAGACAAACTTTTCTCTTTTTTGTAGAGACAGCATCCCACTTTGTTGCCCAGGCTGGTCTCAAATTCCTGGCTTCGAGCAATACTCCTCCCTCAGCTTCGGAAAATGTTGAGATTATAGATGTGAGCCACTGTGCCTAGACACAGATTTTTTTTTTTTTTAAATGAAAAACCACTTACTTTAAGATCTGCTCTGGAACAGGTTTATCCTTGTAGCTGGGCGGCAAGCTCATCACTGGCTTTACAGTGAAGCACTGCATGTCTGAAGAGCTCGTTAAGGAAAGGAGAGGGGCTGGGGTCGTGAAGGTGTCAGACACCAAACACCCCTGTTCCTCCTGCTTCACAGCCGGAAATGCCACCAGCACCAATCACTCCCTTTGACCCCAATGCCAGGACCACACTGAAAATGGGAGTTCCTTTGTGTATCACTGGAATGCCTTATTCAGTGATTATAATTAATCCTAGGGCCCTTTTTTTTTTTTCGGTCAGACATCTGGCAAACAATCCTTGCCATAGGGAAATAGACATCAATGCAATATCAGGAAATAGGTACTTAGAAATGGATTTAAACAATTTCTTGGGACAAGCATCCCTCTGAAATCACCAGAATCAGAGCCCAGGCAACAAGAATTACTTTTATCTTTGGATCCCGTCTGTTTATCCAGTGCCATAGTTGGGCACTGTGCTAGGTATTTTGAATGTGTTATCTCTACTATACACAACAACTCTACATGAGGGATATTCTTATTCTCTTTTCACAGATGGAGAATCTGAGGATAAGAGAGGTTAAAATCCAACATCACACAACTGGTAAATGGTAAAGTTAGGCTTCAAAAGCAGCTCAAGTGTAAGCGCTCCTGCTCTGATTTAATGATCAAGTCTTAGAAAGTCTTAGCTCCCCAACCCACCAGGACAGAGATACTGTCTCAAAGTCTACAACAGAATCCAGAATTCACAATAGAAAGTATATATTCCACTTAAGCTCCCCATCTGGCTACGAAGTATATTTCATATCCATCATTTGTCTATTATCTCTCCTCTTTTGTTATGTCATCACCACCAGCTAATGCTATTAGGGTCCCAAAGATTTTACATGGAATGGGAACCTGTGTCAGAATGCTTGAGAAGATGGTGTGTCTGCAGAGAAGGGACTGTAGCTCCTATGTTCTCTGGCTTAGCTGGGGCTGTGCACAGCCATAAGAGCCTCGGGGCCATACTCCCCCCGGAAAGGATACACTGCTTGGGGGACGACTTGATGTCTTCCCCAGGAGGCGTGGTACTGGTCATCTTCTCCGCATTGGGGAACTGGGTTAACAACCTCAGGCTGAAGTCCTCTCGCCTCTCATACTCCTTTCCCCGATAGATGAAGATTTTATTCTGCAGGTGAGACACAGAAAGGGAAGTCATTACATAGGAAGAGTGGAGAGGCAACTGGAGTTCCGGGTACTGAGGTAGCCACTGCACTCCCCAGCCAACGTTCAATCCCCACCATCAAGTTCTCACTGAAAATCTAGTCCTTGCCTGACAGCGACCATCATATCCTACAAGAGCTGCGGTTTATTGGAGAAGTTAAATCACAGGCATAAAAAATACTTAGCCCAGTTCTTCTTCCAGTGTGGCCCAAGGACCATGGCCAGTCTGCAAACAGTCTGGACCCATCTGCAAGGAAATACGGAACTTGTGCCCTCATTTAAATCAATGACATCCACAGGCATGCTGATATTTTCATGGCAAGACATTCTTAAGGAAGGAAGGAAGTGCATTAATTTACATTGAGGTATAAACTCCTAATCGATCTCATCACCATCCAGCAACAATTTGTGGACCACCACTTAAACAGCACTGCATAAGAGAATGAGGAGAAGCAATGTGTCTTCTGGCACAGAAACAGAGTGACAGAGAACAGAAGCAATGTACCACAGTCCCCAGCCAATCCTGAAAGTCTAATAGAAAATTACTGCATTAAATACTATTTTCTCCACTCTAGACTGTAAATATAATCTCTTTAATCATTTTTTTTTCCCCAAAGAGATTTCCTAGGCCCCAGGCATGGGAGTAATTTGTCTCACAGGTGTGGTTGCCTGGGCAAGTGCAAACATAGCCATGTTTGAAATGAGCAGTTTCCATTGGTAGCCCACACATGATTCCTTTTTAAGCAACACTTGGGCCCAGGTTGTCTTGTAAAATGTCTTTCAAAATCACTTGTCCATTCATATAAAAATATGTATTGCACAAAGAGAAGATCAGCTGGACAACAGGAATACAATGGTGATCTTGCTCTCACAGAACTTACCTTCTAGAGGAGAGAATAAAAAACAAGCAAGTAAATATATTAGTAAACATGATAGTGTAAGTACCGTGAGGGCAATTACACTTTCCAGGCAAACACTGAATGAAGGGAGTAAAAACTACTGGATCTTTTGGAATATATGATAAAACTTTTCCAAGTTAGGAAAAGTCTATGGGACTCAAGCCTGTTGAAATTCCATCATTCAGATGAAACAATGGTGGGTAAAGGATCAGAGTGTAATACAACGCTAGTTGTATGATGCAGACGATAACTGTAAAAGGAATCACAGAAGCAGGTCAGGAAGAATTAGCTCGACTGGAAAGAGAAGGCTTCAAGCAAGACATGGGCCTTAGATGGGCATAGACAGATGAATGGGATAAGGAAGCGTAAAGAGAAGGGGTGCGAAGGACCAGGTGGGTATGTGGAAAGAGTCAGGCCCAGGGGCGGAAAGCACAGAATTCTGGGAGAAGAAATGAGCTTGGACTGGAAGAATGAGCCAGAAAATGAATGGTCTCGCATGGCAGGCAGAGGTTTCAAAGACTTGGAATGTTCACTGGAGGTTCTGGAAGGCAGGAGATGCATGATGAAAGAAGAAGTGTAGACAATGTAAGCCAACAGTGGCATCTATGCCCAACTGAAAGCTCACAGGCTGGACTGAGCAGAAGAAGGAAAAGTAACAGAAGGAGAGACAGAAGTAACAGCATTCAGTGTTTGCTTCTTTGGTGTCGGGAGAAGGGCAGGGCAGACAGGGGAGTCGACGCTGATTCAAAGATCACTGGTCTTGAGCCTGGGCAAGATAGTGAGACCCCATATCTAAGAAAAAATAAAAACATTAACTGGGCGTGATGGTGCACACCTGTAATCCCACCTCCTCAGGAGGCTGAGGCAGGATTGCCTGAGCCTGGGAGGTCAAGGCTGCAGGGAGCTGTGATTACACCACTGCATTTCAGCCTGGATGACAGAGCGAGACCTCTTAAAAAAAAAAAAAAAAGTCACTGGTCTTGGAGTAGGAAGAACAGTGGTACCCCTGACAGAAACAAAAGAGATAATGAGATCTCATTGGGTTGGAAGGAGAGGATGATGTAATTTTAAATATTCTGAATTCAGGGAAATATCCCATAGAAGAGAGTGGCAGTGAGGTTATATCACTCCTGAGGATTTTATATTCTACAGTATGCCTTTGAGGTATGTTAACATCTCTAAACTACTTTACAGTTTATAAAGCACTCCTATATGCTATTAACTTAATTCTCAAAACTTTCCTGCGATGTAGGCATTATTTTTCTAAATTACGGATCAGAAAACCAAGACTCAGTGATTACGTGATTTCACCAAAATTGCACACTCGCTCAGCAGGTGATTTAGACGAGAATGCTTTCGACTTGAAAGTCTGGTGTTCTTGATTTCACAGAATCACTGCTGTCTCTGTGGTCACATTTCTGATTTCATGGGACATGCAGGCATATGTAACGGCTATGGCAGGGGTTGTTCTTTTATGTTGACCTGGATTGAAGCTGAGCTAACACTAGACCCTGATGCATTTAGACCCTACACTCTTTCTATTTTTTATTTTATTTTTTGAGACAGGGTCTCACTCTGTCATCCAGGCTGGAGTGCAGTGGCTTGATCACAGCTCACTGTCACTTCTAATTCCAATACTCAAGCAATCCTCCTGCCTCAGCCTACTGAGTAGCTAGGACCATAGCACATGCTACCATGCCTGGCTAATTTTTAAAAAATTTTTTTATAGAGACGGGGTCATGCTATGATGCCCAGGCTGGCCTCAAACTGCTGGTCTCAAACTCCTGGGCTCAAGCAAGACTCCTGCCTTGGCCTACCAGTGCTGGGATTACAGGCATGAGTCACCATGCTTGGCCTCAGACCTTCCACTCTTTATTCTTTCCTCTGCCTGGTCCACCTCATCCCCAACCACGGTTATTTTAACTCCATACAAGTAACTCACCAACTTTTCTCTCCTGTCTGTAACTTCACTTGAGTTCCAGATCTATACAGCTAATGGTTGACTTGTGCCTTTTGGATGTTCCAAATGTACCTCCCCTTGAGTACGTGCAAAACCAAACTTTGCAAACACTTTAGAAAGCCCTGGGAGGCCCTCTGCTATCTGGTACCAACAGCCACCTGCCCCATTCTCCTATACACCCTCTTGTACACAACTACTCCAGCCTCATAGCTTTTGGACCTGCTATTCTCAAGGTCTGGGACCTTTGCTCAACCTCTTGATAGCTGCATAGCTTATTCTTTAACTTTTTTTCTGGTTTTTGCAAAAATGCCATTTTCTTTCTGAAGTCTTTCTTGTTTACTGTATTTAAAATTGTAACTCCATCCCCAACACCTGCCTCTCTAGTCCCCTTCCCTAAGTCCTTTTCTCCATGATACTTACTGAGTAGCTACACTGTAGGAGGCAGTGTTCTAGGCCATCTCTCATACTAAATAGTTTATTGATTTATCTCATTTTTTGATCTCTCCAAGCTGGAACATAAGCTAGATAATTTCAAGATTTTGGTTCGTTTTGACTCTGCTCCCATGCCTATATTAGAGCCAAGTATATGGTAGGAGTTTAATAAATATTTACTCAAGGAATAAATTCATTCTCTCCTCTGTGACTCTGGCCTTTTCCGGTCCTCCTGTCCCAGTAAATGGTTCAACTACCCCCTCCAATGATGCAGGCCAGAAGCCCAGAAATCATTCTTGACAACTCTCACTTCCTCACCCACACAGCCCATCAATCATCAGATGGCTGTGACCTCATCTCCACCCCTCTAGTATTTCCGCTTCTCTGTAAAGCCACCACCCCCACGTCCCGAGTCTAGCCTGTCATCTCTTTTCTGAACATCTGCAATGGTCTCTTAGTGGTTTACCTGCAGCACCTCCCATCCATTCTCCATGGATGACCATGGAGACAAAAGCCAGATGACCTTTCCAACACGAAAAGTCTGCAGCAGCTCCCACTGCTCTCAGGATGTAGACAGAACACCCCAGGAAACCCCAAGGCCCTGCAGGCTCTTCCAGGGCTCCCCGCCTCCCCGCTGGCACCCCAGCTCTCTCTGTGCCTGCTGCACTGGCCCTTCCTTTCAAGGCACTGCCCTGCTCTTGCCTGATGCTTCCTCTGCCTGCAATGCTTATTCCTACCCCCTTTACCTGCTCCACTCCCAGCTTACCTTTCAGGTTGCAGCTGAAACAGAGGATCCCTGGAAAGTCTTTCCTGATTTTTTTTATTTTATTTTGAGATGGAGTCTGGCTCTGTCGCCCAGGCTGGAGTGCAGTGGCACCATCTCGGCTCATTGCAATTTCTGCCTCCCGAGCTCAAGTGATTCTCCTACCTCAGCTTCCCAAGTAGCTGGGATTACAGGTGTGAGCCACTGTGCCAGGCCCTGATTCTTTTTTTTATTAAGACATAGGCTGGGCACGGTGGCTCATGCCTATAATTCCAAAACTTTGGGAGGCTGAGGCAGGGGGATCAACTGAGGTCAGGAGTTCGAGATCAGCCTGGCCAACATGGTGAAACCCCATCTCTACTAAAATACAAAAAATTAGCTGGGCCTGGTCGTGCACACCTGTAATCCCTGCTACTTGGGAGGCTGAGGCACGAGAATCGCTTCAACCCAGAAGACGGAGGTTGCAGTGAGCCGAGATTCCACCACTGCACTTCATCCTGGGTGACAGAGCGAGACACTGTCTCAAAAAAAAAAAAAATAAATAAATAAATAAATAAATAAATAAATAAAATAATAATATTAAGACATAATCTACATACAGTAAAATGGACCCCTTTTAGTGTAAAATTCTGTGAGTTTTGACAAACATAACCAGGACCACAATCAAGATACAGAACAGTTTCACTGCCACCAAAAATTTCCCCAGGCCCTTCTGCAGCCAACCTCCCCCTGGCCAGCAACCACTGATCTACTTTCTGTCCTGATAGGAAGCGTTGCCTAGGCAAGAATTTCGTATAAATAAAACCACAGAGTACGCAGCCTTTTAAGTGTAACTTCTTTTACCTAGCAAGCTGCATGTGGGTGGGAATCATGCCCGCAGTTGTGTGTATCAGGAGCTGACTGCCTTTGGCTGCTGCAGTATTCTGTTGTGTGGATACACTGAAGTTTGTTTATCCCATCACCAGTTCAGGGACACGTGGATTGGATCCTGTCTTTGGTGACTATGATTAAAGCTGCTATAAATATTCCTGTACATTTTTTGTAAAAGGGTAAGTTTCTATTTCACTTGGGTAAATACTTCCTGGTTACAGATTCTTATAGCACAGGGTATCTTTCTTGGTTATAGTTTATTTATTTATTTATTTTTGAGATGGAGTCTCGCTCTGTCACCTAGGATGGAGTGCAGTGGTGTGATCTCGGCTCAATGCAACCTCCACCTCCTGGGTTCAAGCAATTCCCCTGCCTCAGCCTCCTGAGTAGCTGAGATTACAGGCATGCACCACCACGCCCAGCTAATTTTTGTACTTTTAGTAGGGACAGCGTTTCAGCATGTTGGCCACACTGGTCTCGAACCCCTGACGTCAAGTGATCTGCCTGCCTCAGCCTCCCAAAGCGCTGGGATTACAGGCATGAGCCACTGCGTCCGACATGCAGATTAAATTTTACATTCATGTGTGATTAAAATCTCCCCTCATGAGTTTAGGTTGTAAAATCCATGAGAGTAGGGACTATGTTTGACTGTAATCAGCAAGATCTTTCTAATGCCTTCCCTATGCCTGGCACACAGTAGATGTTCAATAAATATTTACTGACTGAATGAATAAACTGTCTCATTAGGCACTGTTAGGAATGTAAATTGCTTGCTTTATCGCTTGTTTTCAAATTAGGAGAAAGCAGATGGATAATAAATGTTTAAGCAAAGCTCAGCTCTAAAAGAAACTTTTCGTAAGAGATAAGAATTTTTATTTATTAAACTATAAATTGAATATCGCATTATACACAATTTTGAGATGGAAGAAAAATACCATCCTTGTCATTATTATTATAATAAAATGTTTTATTTTGGGATACTCCTGCAGTCTGGTTCTTGGGATACCTATTTTCAAATTAGCTCTGGCTAGAAACATGGTAAACAACGAAATACATCAGTCCACACTTTTCCCTGGCGTGACCCGTAGCAGCTGACCAGTGCGGGGGATGGTTCTGTTTTTCCCTTTTTCACTGCACCTGGGAAAAGTCATTTCACAAAAGACCTGCAGAACACCACGGGTGTCCGGGGGTGTGGGGTGAAGAGGCCGGCTGCTCAGGAAGTGGTTTCCCTCCCCTACCTCCCACAGCGAGAACACGGGTCGGCAGCTGCTAACACCCTGTTGCCCATCTGGAAAAGAAATGAGTCTCTTCCCTCCTCCTAATGGCCTGGGAGACCACCATCAGGTTTCTTACCCGTAGGAAAGAAGGAAAGCCCTGTCCATAGTATCCAACAGCAAAGTATTCAGGCTGAGGCCTCATTGCCTTAATGATGTTCTCATAAAATGAGGCCCTTTTTTTCTGGAAAACAAAACAAGACATTCCAAGGGGAGGTTATAAGTACACAGTTGGGGGAAAAAAAAAGTCAGACTTTGTTTTGTTGTTTCCCACGTAACCCAGAGCAATGAAAGGTCTTTGGAAAACACCCTATGGGCAGAAAAGGGTTATCCTATTCTCGGATCACAGGTTTTGGACCTGGGCTCCATGAATGGACGTTGGAAGGCTGTGACTCCCTGAGGGTGTATGCTGAAGTGTGTGCACGTTGGAATTCTTCTGCGTAACGGGGCAGTGCACAACTTTCAGCAGTTTCTCAAAGTGGGCTCAGGGACTACAAAAGGTTAAAAAGTGCATTCTGAGATTCACAGAAGGCGGCTGCACTTAACCAGACACCCATGGGAGAAGATAAAGAACCTTCCAAGGCCAGGCGCAGTGGCTCACGCCTATAATCCTTGCACATTGGGAGGCAGAGGTGGGAGGATTGCTTGAGGCTAGGAGTTTGAGACCAGCCTGGGCAACATAGTGAGACTCCATCTCTACAAAAAATTAAAAAATTAGCCAGCAGCTGAGGCAGGAAGATGTCTTGAGCCCAGGAGTTCAAGGTTGCAGTGGGCTATGACTGCACCACTGCACTCCAGCCTGGGTGACAGAGTGAGACCCTGTTTTGAAAAAATAATAATAAAATAAAGAACATTTTTAAAAAGAAGGACTGTGTAGTTCATGCAGGTGGTCTGGATGAAAGTGTCTGGTAAATTATAAGTGCCCAGAAGGTGGTGGTGATGTTCGGTTTTTCAGTATCTGCTACCATCTTTATCTTTAATTCTTCACAAGATGAGGGGCTTTCCAGCTTTGGCTCACAAGGTCAGCCTTAAAGAAAGCAAAATAGCCAGCCAGACGTGGACAGCTTTGAGCAATGACCTGAGCCCCCTCCCCTACAATGGTTAGCATGCCATTACTCTTCTATCTAGGTGATGGTCTCGTCAAAATACTATTTTCTTAGACCGGTATGTAACATGTTACATTACTAATATTTCAGCTCAGTTCAGTTGATGAAATTTTTTTTTTTTTTTGAGACAGGGTCTCATTCTGTTGCCCAGGCTGGAGTGCAGTAGCATGATTACAGTTCACTGCAGCCTTGACCTCCCAGGCTCAGGTGATCCTCCCACTTCAGCCTCCCAAAAGTAGCTGGGACTAGAGGAAGGTGCCACCACACCCAGCTAATTTTTTATATTTTTTGTAGAGATGGTGTCTTACTATGTTGCTCAGACTCGTCTGGAAGTCCTAGGCTCAAGTGATCCATCTGCCTTGGCCTCCCAAAGTTCTGAGATTACAGGTATGAGCCACCGTGCCCAGCCCAGTTGATGAAATTAATAAGTCAGTTTTTTGCATGTGAAGCCAGGGGCTGGTAATAGCACACTGGTAAACTTTTTACAAAGTGATCTTGACACCCAGCTCCTCAAATAAATGATTATTTCATGACTATGGGTGACCTGATCTTTTCTAACTCCTCTACTAGAAATTATTAAATTTAATATTATGGTTGCCTACCACTGGGCATTCAGAATGGTGGCTGCCTACCATCAGGCATTCAGAATGGTGGCTGCCTTCTATTGGGCATTCAGAAGAGTGGCTGTCTACCACTGGGCATTTGGAATGGTGGCTGCCTTCCACTGGGCATTCAGAATGGTGTCTGCCTACCGCTGGGGCATTTAGAATGGTGGCTGCCTTCCACTGGGCATTCAGAATGGCTGCCTCCTCCACTGGGCATTTGGAATGGTGCTGCCTCCACTGGGCATTCGGAATGGTGCTGCCTCCACTGGGCATTCGGAATGGTGGCTGCCTCCACTGGGCATTCGGAATGGTGGCTGCCTCCACTGAGCTTTCAGAATGGTGGCTGCCTAACACTGGGCACTCATTTTTGTTTTGCTTTACTGATGGCTGGGAATATGGAGGGCCCACAGAAAGAAAAATGGCTTCAGGAAGAATGAGAGAGCTGCAGACAGAGATCCTGAGGGATGTGGAAAGCGAGTCACTACTATCTGAAACTCAATATTCCACCACACTGTCGAGACAACCCCACTCCACTTCCAGAGATGTCCTGAACCTTCTCTGAAGGATATTTGGCAGAAATATTGATCAGAGCCTTTGGACTACATCTTTTTTCATTCTCATTTCAAGCAAAGTTGACTTTTCCATTGTAAAAAAACACCATTCATCCTGACTTTCAACTTACGGAAACATTTTCATGAGTGCTAATTTTAGCAACCCTGTCAGAGGCCTAACATATTTTGACCCAGACTCACCAGGAGGTTGCCAAGGCCCTCGTAGTCAAATACTTTGCTTTCGTAAGTCTCAGCCAACTCTTTGCTCAGCTTGATGGCCTTCTCCCACATCTTCAGAAAAAGGAAAGTAAGGTTAAAAGTGGAGAACAAGGCAGTCATTGATTCAGTGGCAAAAGCCACTGGCGAGTCACTGGGAATGAGCAAGTGGTCTGGGGGATTGAGTTTCGGTAGATATTCCTCACTCGCTTTATCCCTTAGATCAGTGAAACCTTCATTTCCTGACATCATAAAGACAGTGTATATTGGCAGCTTTGCCAGGGGCGTCTTCTGTAGTTCTGTTTGCACGGACATTAAGAATAAGTACCATGTGTCGCCCAAAAAAGCAATACTGTGTTTAACAGGTCAAGCACCTACAGCACTTCAAAGTAGAGAGGAAGCTCTGCCAGCCCAGGTTCGGAAAGCATGCAAGTCTGGTTGGAGGGGGAAGGGAAGTTTCTGTGGGACTTTGGTTCTGAAATGTGTGTGTACAGGTGTGTGTATGGGTGTGTGTGTGTGTGTGTGTGTGTAGGTGTAGTGATGTTGTTTGTGGAGATGGAAAAAGGCTAACAGTACTGTTGTGTGGTGTTGCAGGAAGTCAGGGACCCCGAATGGAGGGACCGGCTGGAGCTGCGGCAGAGGAACATAAATTGTGAAGATTTCATGGACATTTATCAGTTCCCAAATAATACTTTTATAATTTCTTACGCCTGTCTTACTTTAATCTCTTAATCCTGTTATCTTTGTAAGCTGAGGATGTACGTCACCTCAGGACCACTATGATAATTGTGTTAACTGTACAAATTGATTGTAAAACATGTGCGTTTGAACAATATGAAATCAGTGCACCTTGAAAAAGAACAGAATAACAGCGATTTTTTGGGAACAAGGGAAGACAACCATAAGGTCTGACTGCCTGCGGGGTCGGGCAAAAACAGCCACATTTTTCTTCTTGCAGAGAGCCTATAAATGGACGTACAAGTAGGAGAGATATCACTAAATTCTTTTCCTAGCAAGGAATATTAATATTAAGACCCTGGGAAAGGAATGCATTCCTTGGGGGGAGGTCTATAAATGGCCACTCTGGGAATGTCTGTCCTATGCAGTTGAGATAAGGAAGAATAAACAGTCTCCTGCAGTACCCTCAGGTTTACTAGGGTTGGGAAATTCCACTCTGGTAAATTTTTGGTCAGACCGCTTCTCTGCTCTCAAACCTTGTTTTCTGTTAAGATGTTTATCAAGACTATACGTGCACCGCTGAACATAGACCCTCTTCAGGAGTTTCTGCCTTTTGCCCTTTGTCCTGTTTCCTCAGAAGCATGTGATCTTTGCTCTGCTTTTTGCCCCTTGAAGTATGTGACCTGCTCCCTGTTGGTACACCCCCTCCCCTTTTGAAATCCTTAACAAAAAGTTGCTGGTTTTGCAGCTCAGGTGGGCATCACGGTCCTACCGATATGTGATGTCGCCCCCGGCAGCCCAGCTGTAAAATTCCTCTCTTTGTACTCTTTCTCTTTATTTATCAGCCGGCCAACACTTATGGAAAATAGAAAGAACCTATGTTGAAATATTGGGGGTGGGTTTCCCCGATAGTGTGGAATTTGGCAAACTGTATTTCAATGCAGGGCACTGATTTCCCTACTTAGTGGATGAGTTTTAGGAAATGCCTCCGAGCATGTATAACCATGTAAGTTACAGGCTAAAGCACGTCCTCAGTGTCTGAGGCTAGCAGCCCAGATTGAGCCTTCTAACCCCTTTGGTATTTCATGAGCTGTCTCTTAGACGGATACTATTCAACTTGCAGCATCGGGTCACCTCCTGCTTCATTCCTGTTCACAAGGTGCTATGTTCCATTGTTTCTGGCTTCTGAGGAAATGTGTGCAGAGCCCACAAGCCATTGGGAAACACTTCAAAATTAAATCTTTTAAAATCATTGTTTGCAAAATCTGTCCCCCTCTGAAATCTCAGAATTCAAGAATACACAAGGGAAGAATAAACAGTAGCTGTGAGTTATTGTTGTATATTAAATCATGTATCTGGTCTTGGTCCTGAGTTCCGGTGAATTTTCTTAGAATTTCTCAAATAATAAGAGTGTCTTTGTTATTCCTGGTGCCCCCACCCCAGGATCATACCCAAATCTATGCTAATGAGGTGACTCATGGTGGTCTCCTAGTCTCAGGATGGGGGCTGCCATGCCAGAAATACTAATCATGTGACTAGAAGGTTAGGGCTGTGAGCCATGCGATATCAGCCCAATCTTCAGGGACAAAAGGAAGGCTAAAGATCAAGTTCATTGTGTAGTTAACGATTCATTCAATCCTGCCTGTATAATGAAACCCCACAGTGGCTCATGCCTGTAGTCTTGGCACTTTGGGAGGCCAATACAGGAGGATCACTGGAGCCCAGGAGTTCTAGGTTCTAGACCAGCCTGGGCAACTGGTGAGACCCCATATTTACCAAAAAAAAAAAAAAGAAACCCCAATAAAAACTCTGTACACCCATGGCTTGGGTGAGCTTCCTGATTGAGGAACACACTGATTTGCTGGGAAGGTGCCCCGAGTTCACAGGGGGAAGACACAGAAGCCCCACGCTTGAGATTCTCCCAGACTGTTCCCTATGGGTCCCTTCATGTGGCTGGCCCCAGTTTACATTCTTCCTGATGAAACTGGAATGGTTAAATATAGCACTTCACTGTGTACTATTGGTTGTTCTAGCAGACTATTAAACCTGAGGGGGCAGTGGAAGCCCCCCAGATGTATACCCAGTTGCCCAGAACTGTGAATGGACTGGGGACCCCCAAATTTGAAGATGGCATCTGAAGCGGGGGCAGTCTCGTTGGAGACAGTGCCCTGAACCTGGGTAGTCAGTGCTAACTCCAAGTGGTGAGCATCAGAATTGTATTGCGATACTGCGGTCATTTTCCTCTTTCCCCTAGTACAAAAACAATCCAATACTCACTTTGCCTTTGTCGAAATATGATATGATTTCTTGATACAGCTTCTCTTTAAGCTCTTGCTGGGTATAAACATAGTAACTGTCCTTCTGAAGCAAATGAGGCACACAGGGCTTGTCAGACCACTGAAAAGGAAGAAAAGCGACACACGGTTAATACAACAAATATTCAGCCCCCCAACATCAAGAAAATATTGTATATATATTTGACTCATTGATTTTGTATTTTAGATTATGTATTAAACACAAAAGTTACATATACACACATATACACATGCCAGCTCCAAAACAAGAGTATCATGCCAAATGAAGGAGCACTCACAGCATCCCCCCAAAATGCCAGCGACAAAGCAAGGTCGCTAACTGACATGACTGTCGTTGTACTGGGGCATCAGTAACACAGTCAGATAAAAGGAACAAATTAGGAGTATAAAAATGAATAGGAAGAGGTAAAACTACCACAATTTGCAAACATTATGGTTGTATTCCTCACAATGCAAGGCAGTTGACTAAGAAACTGCGACACACAATAAGAGAATTAAGTTACGCAGCAGGAAGAACAATTAATATACTTGAAATAAAATTTATTTCAGATACACGGAGACTAAATATACAGAATAGAAGAATGGAACCAAACAAAAATAAGTCCAAAAAGAACATTTCTAAGAGTGAACATTACAAGGAATATGCAAGACTTATATGCAGAAAACTTTCACACGCCATTGAAGGGCACAAAAGCAGACTCGAACAAATGGAAAGTCATACCATGCTTTTGGATAAGAAAATTCTATTTCATTAACATGTAAATTCTCACTAAATTAATTTTTAAATTTCATCTTTCCAAAGTCCATATGGAAAAATTAACAAAAAGGAATAGGTAGGAAAACTCTGAAAAAGAAGAGCAATCAAGAGTAACTACCAGGTCATAAAACACACTATCAAGAATTAATAATTAATACAGTATGGTACTGGTACATGAACAGACAGAGACCCACGTAAAAGCATATACAATCTAGAAAGAGATTCCCTCCCCCCAAAATAAGAATTTAGTAATAAAGATGGGATCTTATACCAATAAGCAAAATGTGAACTATACTTAACAAACAGCATCTCTATTGAATAGCAATCTGGGGGGAAAAAAAGCTGCATTCATACCTCATATCTTACACCAGGATAGGAGAGTTTACCTTCCTGAGTTTCCCAAATGAAAAGACCTACAGTTACAGACACTGGGGATTTCTTTCTGATCATACAATGGCGAAATCCACAGTCAACAAGCCTCACTTTCTAAGCTATATACAGTAGGTTGCTTTTTTTTTTTTTTTTTCTTTTGAGACACAGTCTTGCTCTATCACCCAGGCTGGAGTATGGTGGCACCATCTCAGCATACTGCAAACCTCCGCCTTGCAGGTTCAAATGATTCTCCTGCCTCAGCCTCCTGAGTAGCTGGGACTACAGGCAGGTGCCACCACGCCTGCTAATTTTTTGTATTTTTAGTAGAGATGGGGTTTCACCATGTTAGCCAGGCTGGTCTTGAACTCCTGACCCCAAGTGATCTGCTGGCCTCAGCTTCCCAAAGAGCTGGGATTACAGGCGTGAGCCACCAGGCCCAGTCCATTATACAATAAGCTTTTTAATGCCCTAAACTTAAATATGAATTGTGAATTTCCTTTGGGAAGTGGTGAGGCATAGGAATCCTATTTTTAACTCATATGTTCGGACAATGCCCATATATTACTTTAGTATAAAATATAAACTGTAAAAGAATATTAATAGCTGAGAACAAAACTGGAGGCAGAGACACCAAACAGGAGGCTGCTGTAGTGCTCAAGGTGTGACATGCTTACGGGATGGACCAAGGTGGTAGTCAGGGAGATAAAGAAAAGTGGATTGGCTAGCATGGTGGCTCATGCCTGTAATCCTAGTACTCTGGGAGGCTGAAGTGGGAGGATTGCTTGAGCCCAGGAGTTTGAGACCAGCCTGGGAAACATAGCAAGATCTCATCTCTTTAAAAAAAAAAATAAAGAAAGAAAAAGAAAAGCGGATAAGTTAGGGGCATGTTCTGAACAGAGGGGCCACATCTCTCGCTTGTGGAGAATGTGGGAGGTGGTGAGTAAAAGAGAGAAATTGAAGATGACTATGAGGTTGCCTGAGCAACTAAATGGATGGGAATGTTATTAGTAACATGGTAACAAAGTGAGGTAGGATGGGCTGGGGAGGAGCAAAGAGTGAGAAATAAAGGTTCCTGTTACCGCCTTGTTCAGTTTGAGCTGCATATTGGCCAATCAAAGTTTATATGTAAATCCAAAGTTAGAGAAGGTGCTCAGGGCTAGAAATAATTACTTGGGATTCATAACATATAGATGTATTTATATCTAAACCACAACATACATTTATTTAGGGAGAGAATAAAAATAGAGTACTTCTATGGTACTATATTCACTTATAACTCATCTTTCTGCAGTTTTCTGCAGTTTTACAAATTTTTTTATGTATTCATCAATGTGTGTTTTATTGCTTTAATTAGAGTGTCAATTACCAAAGGTTCATAAGTCGTGCTCTGCTTTCTAAGGATTTTTAAATAAAAGATAACTGACATTTTCCCATACTTGATCTACAAATTAGCTGTGCCTATTTAGAAAGAACTAAAAAAACTTGTATAAAAGGATATTCCTGGAATAAAGTTCTTTCCCATCAAAATCATGAAATGTATAGAATTTAGTCTGAAAGGACACTGTACTCCACCCTGTTGAAACAAGCTCTCTGAGCCATTCACCTGCAGAAGCTCAGCGTGCAAGAGAAGCGTGTAGGCAGCTTCTGTGTAGTTCTCACAGTCTCGGTGCAAATCTCGAAGCTTGTACAGATATCTGGCAAGAAGGGGAGAAGGAAGCATTTTGTCACTCGAGAGTTTTATAGGTTTTTTAGTTCTGTTTTGAGACAGGGTCTTGCTGTATTGCCCAGGCTGCAGTATGCAGTGGTCCGATCATGGCTCACTGCAGCCTTAAGCCCCAGGGCTCAAGTGATCCACCCACCTTAGCCTCCTAAGTAGCTGGCACGTGCCACCAGGCCCGGCTAATTTTCGTATCTTTTGTAGAGACAGGGTTTCACCATGCTGCCCAGGCTCGAGAGTTGATTTAGTGTTCAGCTCATTCCATAACCAGACCCCAGCCTGCTTCCCTGCCTGACCCCCCTCCCCACTACTGTACAGAAGCAATTCCTTCCTCTTGAGCCAAGAAGTCGGATCTTCCCCATTTCTTCAATACACTGTGCACCTCCTGCCTCCGTGTTTCTCTGACTCCACCTAGACTAGTTTCTCTTCTTTCTTTAAGGCAGTGGTGTTTAATGTTTTTAAATATTAGGTCTTGGACCCCTCTGGGAAGCTAATGAAAGCTATGGAATCTCTCCCCAACAACATGCACGTTGGTTACGTACAAGTTTGTTTCATGTTCAGGGATTCGCAGACTTCAAGCTAAGACTCTTGGGTGGGTTTTCCTGCCTCTTCCTGTACAGCCTCTCCTGCCCACCCAGGCCAGAAGTTGTCTATCCTTCCCCTGATCCCTGACATGACCTCACATAGGCACTCCTTCCTGTCGTACTTATTCATGTATCTGTCTAAAGAGTTTGTCGGTTCAGGGTGAATGGAGCGTATCATGTACTTTTAGGGGTCTCTCAAAGCAGCAAACACGGTGTTGGGAAAGTATTTGTTTACTGAAGAAATCAATCACAAAGCCATGAAATAAACAGCAGAAGCAAGAAATTTCCTTCAGCTTACCTTATGTATATGTCCTCTCTCTTCTTTTCTTTATAAAAGTTCTGCCAGGAAAAAAAAGGATCACAGAATCCCAACATAAATCAAGAGCTATTGACACAAAAATAGACAAACCACTATTGTTGCTTTTCAAAAGTTTCACTTTTCCAAAGAGATCACTGTTTCCCTTTAACAAATATCCCCATAAGAAAAGGGGATATTTATCCTCAGGATGCAAAAGCACAAGAGTGATATAATGGACTTTGGGAACTCAGTGGGGAAGGTTATAGGAGGGTGAGGGATAAAAGACTACATTTTGGGTACAGTGCTCGGGTGACGGGTGCTCTAAAATCTCAAAAATCACCACTAAAGAAATAACCTATCCAGCCGGGTGCGGTGGCTCACGCCTGTAATCCCAGCACTTTGGGAGGCTGAGGCGTGTGGATCATGAGGTCAGGAGATCGAGACCATCCTGGCCAACATGGTGAAACTCTGTTTCTACTAAAAATACAAAAATTAGCTGGGCATGGTGGCGCGTGCCTGTAATCCCAGCTACTTGGGAGGCTGAGGCAGGAAAATTGCTTGATCCCAGGAGGCGGAGGTTGCGGTGAGCTGAGATCGCACCACTGCACTCCAGCCCGGCAACAGAACGAGACTCCGTCTCAAAAAAAAAAAAAAAAATCCCCAAAACTTATCCATGTAACCAGAAACCACTGTACCCCCAAACCTACTGAAATAAAAATTAAAACAAACAATCAAAAACACACCAAATTTATCCTCAGGGTCTGTGGCTGCTGATACCTGTGAGCTGAGCCAGCCATTCCAATTAGACTTAGGAAGACACCGGCTCCACAAAGGTGCCTCAGGGCGCCTCTGTGTTTGTGGGATCTACCTAGAGCTGAGCTGTAGGGTGCAGGGGCGGCCTGACAGTACCCTCCCATCACACCGGAGGCATGTCACATACCAGCACGTTCACAGTGCAGCTCATACGGTTCTCCTTGCTCTCATCTTGCATGATGATGGTTCTATAGTCCAGCAGGTTCTCTAAGAGGCTGCTGACCAGGAGGGCGAAGACCTCCCCAGAGCTGGAGAGGTATTTGTGTTTCCGGCAATGTTCTAGGAGCCTGGAGGGGCGGAGGGAGAGACAAAAGCCCAGGTTCCATGCTATCATTCCAGCAGCACTGACCAGCACTGACCAGGGTCTCAGCAGTGGCTGGGGCAGGATTTGATGACACAGAACGTCAATGTTAGATATTAAGTGACACAGTTAAGCCGACACACACACACCTCATGCAACACCTTCCTATCCTGTGACCTTCACTTATGCTGCGCTTCTTTGTGGACTCGAGTTCCAGTTTTCTTTAGGACTCAGCTCAAGTCCCAACATCACTTAGAATCTGAGCACACAATGTCCTTCTTTCAATGTCTGTTTTTGTTTGTGTTTTATTCAGTCAACAAACCCTTGCTCAAAAGGTTCGTGTGTGCTCTGTGAGGACTCTAATTAGTTGTATGAGACCATTTTTCCTATGTCTTTATTCTCCCTAAGGCCTGGCACTCAGGGCATCCTCTGAACATTCTGGAATGCCTCGTATGGATGCCCAGCCTAGAGGAACCTGGGAACCTAGTACATCTCCTGCAATGCGGCTCTTTAGATAAAAGTGTTAGCTTCAGAAAAAAATGCAGAGTTATAAAGAAGCAAACTGAGGCTAAACTTTCAGTCTAAATCCTGTCCCTTTGGACCCACACAGAGCCAAGTTCTGGGGCTTATTAGATAATTAAAAGAAAACCTGGGAAAAGAGGGAGAGGGAAAGAGAAAGAAATGGGTCCAACACATTAATCCAGATTTAGGGTTATTCTTGGGCACTGGAGACCTATGTATCCGTATTTTTTCTAAGTTAGTGATCTAGGAAGAATGAAGAAAACAAAGTAAGATCCTTATGTAAAACAAATCAGCTGTAGGATTTAAAAAAGTAGCATATCATGTATAAATATTGTGTGTATATGTGCATAACTTCATTTAATTCCATATAAGATCAGAATTGCAAAAGATATAAACTGGGAGGTTTGAAGCTCAAATGGAGAGACTTAATGGAAACAGGATAAAAAAGACCAATAAAAGGTCTTGTCACTATTAAAAACAAAACAAGAAAGGCTTCTAGTCCTTTAAAATACAGACTATTCATCAATTCAATTATTTTTTTTATTTTTATTTTTTTGAGACGGAGTCTTGCTCTGTAGCCAGGCTGGAGTGCAGTGGTGCAATCTCAGTTCACTGCAATCTCCGCCTCCCAGGTTCAAGTGATTCTCCTGCTTCAGCCTCCCAAGTAGCTGGGACTACAGGCATCCATCACGGTGGCTCACTTGGCTCACTTTGGGAGGCCGAGGCAGGTGGATCACGAGGTCAAGAGATGGAGACCACCCTGGCCAACATCGTGAAACCCCATCTCTACTGAAAATACAATTCAATTCCATTTCTCGGTATTCAGAGTGCTGGTTCCTTAGAGAATCTTCAAAAAAGAATACAGTTGGGAGCACTGTCCTCAAACACAGACTCTCATCCACAAAACTCACACACAACAGGCGAACAGGTGAACAACTAAGTGACTGAGGCAAGCACCCAGCTGGAGATGCAGTTGGTCAACACTAGAAAAGTTCAGGGAACATGAGAAAGCAATGGTCTAGAGTAGTTACAACCTGAATGAAGGGTAGGCCTGTAAATAATAATAATAATAATACTAGGCCAGACGTGGTGGCTCATGCCTGTAAATCCCAGCCCATTAGGAAGCCGAGGCTGGAGGATTGCCTGAGGCCAAGAGTTTCAGACCAGCCTGGGCAACATAGCAAGACCCTGTCTCTACAAAAATAAAAATGAAAACCAGCTGGGCATGGTGGTGCACGCCTACAGTCCTAGCTACTAGGGAGGCTGAAGTGGGAGGATCACTTAAAGCAAAATTTCGAGACCAGCCTTGGCAACACGGCAAGACCCCATTTCTACACAAGTAAAAATAAGAAACAGCTGGGAATGGCGACATATGCCTGTAGTCCTAGTACTTGGGAGTCTGAGGCGGGAGGACTGCTTGAGCCCAGGAGTTCAAGGCTTTAGTGAGCTATCATTGCACCACTGCACTCCAGCCTGGGCAACAGAGAGAGACCCTATCTCTTAAAAACAAACACCAAAAACAAATTGTAATAATAACAACCATGAACACCAGAGCAGCCAATATTTATTAGTCATGAACTCTGCAACAGATGCTATGTTAGCACATCATCTCCTGTAATTCTCATGATGATATCAAAAAATAGATGTTATTCTTGGAGAGGGAAAAAAAATGAAGTGTTGGATAAGCAGAATCACTGGACTAAAGCCAAACTCTTAATATGTGGCGAAAACAGGGTTTGAAGTTCAATCTCTCACTGAGGCCAACACCTATGTGTTTTTAATCACTTTCCCACTCTTCATTACTCCACATGTGCCAAGGAGGGCAAGAGGGTTATAGGTGAGTGTGGTGGTGGGGGAAGAGGGGACAGTGGTGATAATGGGAGCCCAGACAGAGGTACAGATGTGTTGGATGGGGTGGATGACAGGGCAGGAAAAAGACCAACCTGGCTGGAGACAGAACTGCTTTGGTTATATGTCCTTTATGGGTCCTAAGGTATTTTTTACATACACAGCAGACCTTGAAATATTTTTTCCTTTAAATTGTTACTTTGCAGTTATAATTAGAAGTGCTAATACTTTTGTTGAAGTTCAAAAATTCAAACACTGGGCAAAATGCCACCACTCTGCACCTCCTCCTTGCCTCCATCTGCTGTGTTCTCTAGGGCCAGGCTGGCCAGGAAAATACCAGCATTTGACTCCCACGAGATAAACAATGTCAGCTGTGGACAGTATACACCCCATAACCATACTGAAGACCACAGTGGGGGTGGCCCTAGTGACTCTGAGACTACTCAATTGCTCTATTGGTGAAACAGGACCCCTGTTTTTCTCTATTACTAAATGACACCACTGACTTCAGGTTTCGTTCCTGAAATACTCACAGTTTTTCCAGAAGAACCTTGTATTGTTCGTCTCCTCTGCCCCCTTCTACCTCCTGGTCCAGCTTTGTGATCAGCTCATTCTCAAACTGAAAGTAGAGGCAGAATTTCACAGGATAATGTTGCATCCTTAGAAGAAGACATGGCCAACTTTCTAGACTTGGCCAACCCATTCGCTGAGTTGTGAACTGTTTCCAGCACAGACAGGGAGGATCACAGAGGGTCACTCATAAACTGTGCACCAAGGCCCTATCAAAATCTTCTAACAAAGTCTCATGTTACTTTGTCCTTTGCATTACATTTGATTAAAAACATATTATCCAAAACATTGCTTTCTGTTACAACTATTCATATAAAAATAGAATAATAATTCTTGTTTTTCTATTTTACTTCAGTTTCATGTCTAAGTCTCTGCAGTGAGATTGCTTTTGCAGAGGTTCATAGATGCGAAATCGTCCTTTCAATATTAATACACTTTGTAGATAAGAAAACAGAGGCACAGAGAAGACATACCAGGAAAATGACATTCTCAAAGCTACAGAGTAATGGATTAGAACTTAATCCATTGCACTGCTTTCAGCCGTACTATAATAGATAGGTTTTTAAATTCAATTCACTACATTATTCTCTAGGCTATACTGAAACAGCTAGGATTAAAATGCATGAAGTTAACTTCCTTTAATTTTCTACAGACAGGTGTTGCCTTAGGAAAGACATGTAGCAAAAAAATCTTTTCCAGGCTCTGGGTTGCACTGTCTGACTCTATCTCTAATTGCTTTATAAAATGAAATGTAAAGTGAACTTTCAGATCAACATGGACTTGCATTATTAAGGTTACTGCTTCTCTATATAGAAAGAAATGAGTTATGATTTGACTATATGTCCATTTACTAATATTACGCGGTCTGCCACTTCTTACCATATGGAAATTGCCATTTCCA
Source organism: Homo sapiens (assembly GCF_000001405.40). Lineage (NCBI taxonomy): Eukaryota > Metazoa > Chordata > Mammalia > Primates > Hominidae > Homo > Homo sapiens. The sequence continues at coordinate 25,368,703 of NC_000008.11, read as the reverse complement.
CTGAAATTGAACTCACACTGCATCATATCAAAGAAAATGGGGATTGTGGCTTTCCGGAGCTCTACTTCAGGGGTCAGAGTGACCTCCAGAATGGGACCCACCATGGATGGGATGAATTTGATTTTGTGGGGACCTGAAATGAAAGTGAATGAAGATATTAAAAAATTATTTCACTGAAAGTAAAGTGTTAAAATCTTCCTCCACAAGTTCCATAAGAAAAGAAAAGGTTAAAACAACTCAATTCAGAAGTGAGTGACTCAGATTCTGATAGCATGTGGATGCCAGAGTAAGAGACAGTTCATTGTCAATGAAACCCACAAATCAACTTTCACTTCCAGACACACAGACAAATACATCTCAGGGTTATCTGGATTAAAATAAAAAAAAGACTTTATCGTGGGATGCTTATCACTCAGAGGTTGTGATCAGGCCTGTTCAAGGCTAGACACTCACCCAGGTTATACCACATGTCCCGGATTCTAAAGCCGATTTCCTTTCTCATGTCCCCATATCTAGGAAGAAGATCATAAACTAGAAGGAGGATTTTCAGTAGAAATGAATTGCATAAACACAATAAGAAGGAAAGTAAAAACAGTCTGTGTCTCTCTTGGTCACTCTTAAGGCCCAACCTTAAGAGATGAGGTTCATACCTAAACGAGCCCCCAAAAGGAATGAGGCGCACAGAGGCCGGGGGACCTTGTGCCGCAATAAAGCCAAATGGAAACGCTGAAAAATAGCTGAGAAGATGAGATTAACAAACTCACTTCAGGGAGAAGAGTGAGGCACAGACAAAGCCAAACAAAACACGGCAAACACTGATGAAAAGGAAGGTGAATGAAGTATGATCATACAGTACTGTGACTAATGCCTAACAGGTGACTAAATACTTATATACTTTATAGACTGATATTGGGGTAATATACATCCATTCTAGCGTGTTTTTCAAAATATTCACATTGGAAGGCTCTACACCATGCACTCTCAATGGGAGTGATACTGTCCACAAAGGGATAAATATTGGTCCTTGGGAGCAAAAAATACTTTGCTGTTTTTGTATATGTAGGCAGTTTTTGAGGGAGGAACCAGAAGTAGAGGGACACTAAATAATTTTCCTACATATCGCAGATATCCCAACAAGGGGAACACAACTAAAATTTCAAAGTCTTCAAATAATACATTCCTCAAGTTATTTTTTAACGACATGGTCTTTGGATTCCAGTCTCTCAATGAAATGAAATGCTTCCCTAAATCTCTTATCACTTCTGCACATAATTCCATTTTGAATTCCAAACCAGGAATCTGGAGGGCATTTTAATGCAATGTCTGAGACCTGGCTTTCTCTGCTGAAATGGCAGGGAGGTGGAGCAACTGTGCTGAAGGAGTGTGCTTTGTGAAGCGCTATGAATGAGGAGGTACTATGCCTGCAATTTGGGGAAGCTGCCAGCAGAGGCGCAGCTGTTCTTGGGGATGGGCAAGCTGACAGCCAAGGTCCGTCTCCAGGTACAGATTTGATAAAAAGCATGGGATGACTGATGGGAAGATGGTTGGGCCTTAAGAAAAGAGAGCTGAACCTGGGTGAATGTGAGGCCTATTAAGTAATTAGTTGAAGACTTACCTCACTAACAACATGGGTAGCCACTAAATAGTAATTTCTGTGATACCTAAAATATTGCTCTCAATGTAAACAAATGGAAGAAGCCCCTTCCCGATCTTAACTTTAAAAGGACACTTACTTTTTAACAATTTTGTTGCGCTTGGCTTGTGAGAAGGTTTCAAGCTGAAGGGACTCATGGGTGAGAAATGCAACTGCCAAATGGAAGTAATTGTTCCAGAGCTGTTCAAAATTAATTGTGTGGGTAAAGGGAAATGAAAAATAACATTAATAAGGGCCATAATAAAACAATGTCACATGGTAAAAAGTCATTAACAAGAGATTAATGAAAGAACAAAATACAATCTACATTCTTCTTAGGTTTTGATTATTCAATCCTAAAAGTTTTGAGACTTAATGTTAAGCTTTTTAAAAAAATTTAAGCTATTATATTTTTCTTTACTCCTGGGATAAAGGAAAACTGCTGCCAAGAAGTGTATCTATTTATAGTATGTACTTTGGCACTATGTTTCAAAAGTCCTAAAAGTTTGCCAAACTTTTGAATTAGTAAACACTTTTAGGACTTTATCCTGATGAAATAACCATGAATTTTGTTGTTGTTGTTTGATCCAGAGTCTCACTCTGTTGCCCAGGCTGGAGTACAGTGGTACAATCTCGGCTCACTGCAACCTCCGCCTCCCAGGTTCAAGCGTCCTGCCTTATCCTGACGAGTATCTGGGATTACAGGCACCCACTACCAGGCCTAGCTAGTTTTTGCATTTTTAGTAGAGATGGAGTTTCGCCATGTTGGCCAGGCTGGTCTTAAACTCCTGACCTCAGGTGATCTGCCCGCCTTGGCCTCCCAAAGTGCTGAGACTATAGGCGTGAGCCACCGTGCCCAGCCAAGCACGAATATTTTTAAATATTTAAAGGAAGGAAGTCCATCACAGTGTTATTTAATATAATAGAAAATGGAAACAATCTAAATGTTCGTAAGAAGAATTTGGTTAAATACATCATGGACCAGTCATAGAACAGATGATATTCAGCCATTAAAAACAGGAAAATATTCAACATTATTGAAAAGATCACAGATCATTGAAAAAGGAAAACAGATTAACAGAGTACCAAAGAACTGCACAGCTCAATTCCATTTTGGCAAATATACATACACATACATACAATATATATTCATCTATATGTGCATGCATCTCTGTGTGTGTATGTGTGTATACTTTCCTCTACTTATGATTTTCAACTTTTAAAGTTCTGAGGCAGGAAAACAGGGCCTGGAGGCAGGGCACTGAAGGCCAATTCACACTGACTTCCTAGAACTGAATCAAAAGGAAAACCCCACCTCTCCACACCCAAGTAACAAAAGGATCAGAGGCTACCCCTTTGCACTCTGTGGCAGATGAAAAATTGAAAGTACCTCTGATTAGTCCCCTCCCACAATTGGTGGGAGGGTCAGACTGGTCACATGCTACTCCTTCATTTACATAGGGTGTAACCAAGTAACCAATGGGAAAACTTCTACAGGGTATTTAAACGCCAGAAAATTCTGTAACCAGTGCTCTTGAGCTACTTGCTTGAGCCTGCTCCCACTCTGTGGAGTATACTTTCATTTCAATAAATCTGGCTTTTATTGCTTCATTCTTTCATTGCTTTGTTTGTGCATTTTGTTCAAAACGTCAAGAACTTGGACAATCTGTAGTCAAGGACCTCCACTGATAACAGTTCCACAGATACACGCAAAGACAAAGAACACAGAAAGCACATCACCCACAAAATGCAGAGTACTCTGGAAGGTAAGCTCCATGACAGCAAGGAACTTATCTGCCTTCACCAGGGAAATGCCCCTACCAGGGCGCAAAACAGGGCCCTGTACATGTAAGTACTCTAACATTTGTTAAATGGATGAATGGATAAGTAAATGAATGAATGAATGAAAATAGAGCTAGCGGTCATCCGTTTTGCAATTCCTTTGGACTTTCAACAAACTGTGCATAAGAACTGTTCTTTAGAACCAAACTCATTTGTCGGTAGGAGAGTTACCTGTGTGCTTATTTGTAGCCATGTGTGTCTATGTGCATTTGTGTAAATATACAAAGGGTCAACTCCAAATGTTTATAGCGACAAGGAGGACTATTTATATTTTTGATCTTCTACTATTACTCTTTAAGATTTTTTTTTTACATATGTTACCTTTATAGAAAGAAGAAACCACCCCTATTTTGTTGTGTTTGGAGGACAGTGTGACAGGCATATGTGCTTTAGGAAATGAAAAAACACAGGAAAACCTTTTTCATGTGAAAACAGTGAAATCTGAGGAGACATTTTCCAAATTCATATAGTTCTCTTGCCATGGCCAAGAATTCTAGAAGCAGGTAGGTGAGTCACATGCCTACCTGAAGTTCAAAGCTTGCCTGATCCATGAAGAATCTTGTGAGAACTTCAGCAAACTGATTTATAGCACGGAGAAAAACCCTGCGGAAGGAAAACACCAGATAAAGAAGCCAACTGTATGTCCTTTGAAACCTTTTCCCACCTATATTAAGAACTAAACCAAACCAAACCTGAACTTGGCATCATAAGACCTCATAATCTAACAGTGTCCTTGCAGACAACAGCATAACACCATCCGCAGATGGGGCACAGGAGGTCAGTTTACAGAACAAACAAGAAGAGCCACTCAGGGCCACATCCCAATTTAGGTAATTGAAGGTAGATCTGAGACTGCAAACCAGGACTCTTAAGCCTCAGAGGAGGGTAATATATATAGACTCTATTATGATCCTTCTGTTTAAGCTTAGGGTTTCTGGTGTAATTTTTTAAATCTAATCTGTACATAGCAGAGAAGGCTTCTTCTAATCAGGTGTTAGAGTAGAATTACTCAGAATTGGGTATCATGTAGAGTTAATAATAATGCTTACAATAATGGTTTATTTATCTCATTAAACTCTAACACTCTTTTAATATAATATATATTCAGTTCATTTCACTTCTGTTCAACAAGTATTTGTTGTGGGCTAGCAATTGCAAGGCACAGGCTCACGTCTGTGTTGAAAGACACAGTTTCTGATCTTAAGAAATTTACAGCTTGGTTGGGGAAATTAACAACATGTACATCTATTACCCAACATAGAATCTGAAAACAATTCTATAAGAAGGTTTGAATGGGGTATGGAAAATCGAAGGAAGAAGAGATGACATCCAGGTCAGAAAGGCTTCCTCTGGAGGTGACGCTTCAGAAGAACCTTATGGAATAGCTGGAATGCTGACAGCCAGAGGTTATGGGGAAGGCACTGCTAGCGGAAGACCGGTGTGAGGCAGAGCAGACCATGTGTTCAGGGACTGGGCAGAGGCCAGTTTGGTTGGAGTACAGGTAGCATACACAGGGAAGTAGCAGAAGCAACTAGTTAGTTTGGCACTGTGTATCAAAAGCCCTATAATTTCACCAAACTTTTGAACTACTAAATTATTTTAGGAGTATATCCTGATAAAATAACCATGGATATTTTTAAATATGTAAAGCAAGGAAGGCCATGACAGTGCTATTTCACATTAATAGAAAATGGAAAGAATCTAAATGTTCATAAGAAGAATCTGGTTAAATACATCATGGACCGGTCATAGAACAGACACTAACTGGTGAGCCCTGAATATCAGGATGACACAGGCCACGTGGAGCCACGGAAAGGTGCAGTGGAGAGTTGAGGATGACAATTACCATGAGAGCACTGAAGAGACGACGCTAGAGAAGGGAGTAGAGAGCCCGAGGTGGAGCAAAGGCAATTACCCTGGGAAAATCAAGATCACGAGCACATAAATTAGGACCTCTGGAGCAGGAAGATCCTCACTTTACAGATGATGGGTTTGAGGCAAAGGGATTTAAAGACATTTCCCAAAGTTCACACAGCAGCCTTAGGTATTCAGACAAATGCCTCAGGGCCAGCCATGGGCTGTCTCACCTGTTTTGAGTCATATTCATCACCATCCAATCTTTGGCATAGACATTCTTTCCAATCAGGTCCTTGAACATGATAAAAGTTTCCATGAGGAAGTCCTGCGGAGAACAGAGGAGTGGTTGGGGGAAAACTGGGTTACGTTCATAGTCTTTATTCTGGCGTGTATACAAGCAGAACCACAACCTCAGAACAGGATGTTCCTAGCCCCACAGTAACAGCCCATCTTTCAAGGGTTTTAGGAATAACAAAGCATTCTTACAGCTGGCTGTGATGCAATTTGATTTTTATATTGTAGGACCCTATAAGGAAGATGAGGACAAAAAGAATCATCCACATTTTACAAATGGTACAACTGAGGCTGAGAAAAACTAAAGGACTCACTTAAGGGCATAGAAAGTAGGAAGGAGGGTTGGGTGTAGTGGCTTACACCTGTAATCTCAGCACTTTGGGAGGCCGAGGTGGGCAGCTTGGCCAACATAGTGAAATCCCATCTCTACTAAAAATACAAAAATTTGCCGGGCATGGTGGTGTATGCCTGTAGTCCCAGCTACTCGGGAGGCTGAGGCAGGGGAATCGCTTGAACCCAGGAGGCAGAGGTTGCAGTGAGCCAAGATTGTGCCATTGCACTCCAGCCTGGGCAGCAGAGTGAGACTCTATCTCAAAAAAAAAAAAAAAAAAAAAAGAAAAGAAAAGAAAAGAAAAGAAAAAAGGAAAAAAAGAAAGTGGGAAGGAGAAGAGCTGGATGAGAACTTGGAGCTTTGGACCCCAAGTTTGCAACCCTTATCTCTTTCTTCCTCTGCTGCCACAGGTTGTCAGAATGTATCTCATGCACTTAAACATAATTCACCAACAATTGTGGGGAAATGGATACTTTTAATAGATTTCAGTTCAATTCTCCTTTATTATGGTTAGAAAAGGACACAGTGATACACACAAGAAGCAGAATCACCACTCTTCCTGCGCCAGGGACGTTATCATGTGCAGCCTGGAAGAAAGGTCCTAAACGGTCCTTCAAAATGGATCGTAACAGTGGCTGGTGATGACTAATAACTAATCACTTAAGCATACAGAGCTCTTCTGCTCCAAAGGGGGCTGTGAGCAAAAACTAATTCAGAAATAGAACAATCAGAGTTGAAATCAAAGCTAAAATGTTTTGAAGGCATTTTTATTAGTTAGCTAAATTTAGACCTTTTCCACTGGGATTCTTGAAAGTCCTGTCCAGTTTCTCTGGCACTAACCTACACAGTTCTGCCTGGACACAGTATGTGAGAGACAGGAGGCCCAGGTCCTATTGCTAACCATATTTTTCTGAGATGCTGGTCAAGCTGGGTAACTTCCTATACTTTGGATGCTGAACGGCATGGGGAATGACTCTCCCTGGCCGGCCAGTGTGTGTGTGCAACTGTGGATTCTCCCCTGGTTTTATGGCGAGTTAGACATACCCACCCTCAGTTCTGAAATCCTAGACATAATTAATGAATTCAAATTCGTTTCATCATATATTTTATTTACTTATTTATTTATTTATTTCGAGATGGAGTCTTGCTTTGTCGCCCAGGCTGGAGTGCAGCGGCACAATCTCGACTTACTGCAACCTCCACCTCACGGGTTCAAGCGATTCTGCTGCCTCAGCCACCCCAGGAGCTGGGATTACGGGTGTCTGCCATCACCCCTGGGTAATTATTTTTTGTATTTTTAGTAGAGATGGGGTTTCATCACGTGGGCTAGGCTGGTCTCGAACTCCTGACTTCCAGTGATCCACCTGCCTCAGCCTCCCAAAGTGCTGAGATTACAGGCATGAGTCACCACATCCGGCCTCATTATATATTTTAAGTGCTTCCACCAATTTATTGGCCATTCTGTTAACTTTTCTTCTAAATCCATAAGAATTCATGGTTTGTGAAGCAAGGATTGAATTTAGATACTTGTTATTTGCTTCAGATACAGACTCTCTATTTAACTCCTGGAAATCTAAATTAATGAGACGGCATGATGGAACTCACAGGGAATCCCAAAGCCTGGTTTTATCCACCACTTCCCAAGGGCCTTCATGCGGTTCACTCAGAAGGCAGCATGAGGGACTGAAAGGCCACTGGGAGGCAAAGGCCTAGCTGTGCACGGTAGCTCAGCCACCGGGGACTAAATTCAGGCAAGTTCCCTCATTTCTCCAGGTCTTAGTTCCCTCGTGAGGATAATGATCCTCTTTTAATTACATAATACAGCTGGAGGAGCTCAACACCATGCTGGCAAACAGGAGGTACGCCCCTTTTTTTCTTACTTAACAATGGAGCCAAATTGTCACGGTTTGACCTTAAAACCTCCCTATTTTGCCTGCTCTCTGAAGGAAATTTGAAACAAAATCCCTAGAATTTTTATTGTTAATTTTACTTTATATAGCAATAATAATACAATTATTGTTACAAACAGCTAGTCCTCATAGGCATTAGCTACATGCCTACCTGCACGAAGCTGGGCATTTCCCATGCATGGAGCCAAGCAACACTTAATTAACCCTCAAGGTGGGTACTATCTTACAGATGAGGAGACTGAAGTTCAGTGAGGTTAAACCGCTTGCCCCAAATTGCATACAAGGGAGTGGAATGGTCAGAATTCAAACCCAGAGCTGCGTGTTCTAAGGCCTGTGCTCTTACCCGCTACACCACCTGCCTGTAGAGAACACATGGCTAACCTTGGGCTTCCTCCTCCACCCCCCACCCCCCATACTGGGCCTCTTGCGCCTGGTCTCCACAGGCACATCTACATATTGCTATGGTTCCCATGCCATGCTGCCTGCCAGGGTATGGCCCAAGCAGAGGCTCATGGAGACCTTCAGCTAAAGCCACGTAGTCTAACACGGCATTGAGAGTCCACCATGGAACCAACTAATAATAACAAACAGCACTTTCCTTCCAATTCCTTGTATGTTTGTCCACCATGTGGGCATGGCAGAAAGGTGGGTAATGGGCAAGGAAGGAGCTGCGAATCCATGGGGGCACTGGCCATCTACTCAGCATGACAGAGGCAGAAAGTGGAAAATCTAGAACAAAGAGACTGGAGTACGCACAGATGATGGGAAGTTATCCAAAGACTAGTGTCAACATGACAACAGTGTGCTAATCCAGCGGCACATCCTGTCCACTGCTCTGCAAAGTCTAATAACACCTTCATGGACGTCTGAAGGGCCACTAATAATCCCCTGAAGGGAAGGTGCCGTGAAGCCACAGCCGGAGGCCTAACTCAGCTTCTTAGATGAGTGCTTCACAGCAACTATGAGAACAATTTTCCTGCTTAAAACAATAGAGAACAAAATATTTTCATCTGAAGATAACTTACAAATATTGTAAAGCAGGAGTCCCCAACCTTTTTGGCACCAGGGACAGGTTTCAGGAAAGACAATTTTTCCACGGATGGGGGCAGGAATGGTTTTGGGATGAAACTGTTCCACCTCAGATCATCAGGCATTAGTGAGATTCACATAAGGAGCTGGCAACCTAGATTCCTCGAATGTGCAGTTCACAATAGGATTCAGCTCCTATGAGAATCTAATGCCTCTGCTGATCTGACAGGAGGCGGAGCTCAGGAGTTAATGCTTGCTGGCCTGCTGCTCATGTCCTGCTGTGCGGCCAGGTTCCTAACAGGCCACACGGACCAGTTGTAAAGGGCAGGGATTACCTCTTTTTGTTGCCCTCTCCAAAATGATGGTATCAACCACGTCTTAGGAGACTTTGCACACCCCTGCCTTCTAAAATCCTTGCCATGAGTAGTTACTGTACCAAGTATTAAGTCCTGTTTTCAGAGCAAAAAACATCTCCCAAATGTTGCTAAATAAGGGCTCTCTCTAAATCCAAGAGAGATTAAAGTGTGTGATAACCTCTTGGTATATGTGTTGTACTCTTTTTCAAATCCTATCAAAGAGAGAAAGTAGGAATCAGCTCTCTCCTTTCTGTAATCACTGTGGACAGCCACATAGCACCGGAGGTGCGTGGGAAGAGAACCCTGGACTCACGATGCTCAGCTTCAGTCATTTTTTTAAACCAAATTTAAGAAGTCTTCAGGTTACCAGGACCAGTAAAGGCAACTTACGATGATGTCTTGTCTGGTTTTGAAAGTGCTGATGTAGTGGCTATAGTGGCTGTCGTCCATTTGCTGCAGCAGGGCAATCATGCAAGCCACAAAACTCCCCTGGAAGGAAAAGGAAAGCACAAATCCAAGACTCCTTAGACCACCAACTGACAAAAACACTATGTGAGCCCCATGAACTTGGCTTTTCCCACCCACTGAGCCACGCAGGTATCCCACCACACTGGAAACACGCTGCATTCTAAAGGTCCAAAGGCCACGTGCTTTGCGGTTTCTGCTTCAAACCACCTCCTTCCAGGTCTGAGTGAAGAAATCTCATTAACAGCTAAGAAGTGTGGAATCCTATAGACAGGACACCTCAATGAGATTACCAGTGAAGATGTAACAACTTGTGGGGCTTTGGGTTTCTTGTTGAGACAGAGCTGTAGTATAGAATTCCATGGAGAAATGTCTGAAATACTTAGATTAGTTAAACAAATCTTAACGGGGAGGAAGGCTAGCAGGAAAAGAGGTGGCAACACTGAGCATGAAGGAGAGGAGGGCAAGCGATGATGATGAAAACTCCCTGCTAGAATACCTGTGATATGCTTTGGCTGTGTCCCCACCCAAATCTCATCTTGAATTGTAGTTCCCATTATCCCCATGTGTTGTGGGAGGGGCCCAGTGGGAGGTAATTTAATCATGGGAACGGTTACACTCATGCTAGTCTCGTGATAGTGAGTGAGTTCTCACGAGATCTGATGGTTTTACAAGGGGTTTTCCTCCTTTTTGCTTGGCACTTCTTGCTGCCGCCATGTGATGAAGGACGTTTGCTTCCTCTTCTGCCATGATTGTAGGTTTCCTGAGGCCTCCCCAGCCATGCTGAACTGTGAGTCAATTAAACCTCTTTCCTCTATAAACTACCCAATTTATAAACTACCCAGTCTCAGGTATGTCTTTATTAGCAGCATGAGAACGGACTAATACAACCTGATACCGCTTCTCCAACTCCAGAGCCCTTCAGCCAGTTGTTCCAACATACTACCCACGTGAATTGTGACCCTGACTTGAAGAGAAAAAATCAATAACTAGATGATTCATTAACACTGCTTCCATTTGTGAGTTCAGGAATTACATATTCAAGGTGCTATCCCCTAGACCAAAAAAATGTGAATTATAGACTTAGTTTTTTAGACAGGGAGTAAAGATCCAGGGGTGCTAACCTCCTGTATTCATGCAGCTATGAAAATAACACAAAGGAATTTAGCACAGGACAGATGAACATACAGCTGTTTCTAAAACAGAGGGAAAGATTCCCCAAGCAGAACAATGAAAGACTGTCCATGTCTATCTCTTTCTGAACGTATGCCTTAGACTGTCTCTTTTGTTTTAAAAAGTTTATTTTTTAGGCCTGGTGGGGTGGTTCACACCTGTAATCCCAGCACTTTGGGAGGCCAAGGTGGGCGGATCACTTGAGGTCAGGAGTTTGAGACCAGTCTGGCCAACATGGTGAAACCCCATCTCTATTAAAAATACAAAAATTAGCCAGGCATGGTGGTGGGCACCTATAATCCCAGCTACTCGGGAGGCTGAGGCAGGAAAATTGCTTGAACCTGGGAGGCAGAGACGCAGTGAGCCGAGATTCTGCCACTGCACTCCAGCCTGGGTGACAGAGCCAGAGCCTGTCTCAAAAAAAAAAAAAAAAAAAAAAAGTTTATTTTTTCAATTATAAAGCAGTATAAACTTATTGTACTAAGGCCTTTGATATATATATATTGCCAAATTATCATATAGCTTGTTTTCCCAACGGTGTCTAACACAATTTGTTTCTCCAAGACCTTGCCTATTCTGAGTATTAGAGGTTTAATACTCAGAATTTAACACTGAGGTTTAATACTCAGAGGTTTAATCTCACTTTGCACTTTCATTTCCTTTTCTCTAAATTAAACAGTCTGTCCATGAACTTTTTGGCCATTTAGCTTTCTCATGTTGCTGTTTGCACCCATTCTTTACTCATTTTTCTACTAAAACAATATCTTTGCTTAGTGGCTTATAATAGCTTTTGTATATTAAGTTTATTAGCCACCTGTCACCTATATTACAAAATTTTTAAAGCTTGGGACTTGACATTTAATTTGCATATATATATATATATATATATATATATATATATATATAATCTTCATATAGAGGGATTTAAAATTTTATCTAGTAAAATTGTTTTCTTGTATTTTAACTATAAAAAATCCATGAATCCTATTCCTCCTCAAATCAGTTATCTATTTATTATTTTATTCTAGTGCTTTATGATACAACTTTTTTTAATTGAACACTTCACTCTGACATTTATTTTGTGGGTATAGCATGAAGTTGAACAAATTTTTTCCAAATTGTTAACTAATTTTCTTTTTCTTTCTTTGAGACAGGGTCTCGTTCTGTCACTCAGGCTACAGTGCAGTGGCGATCATGGCTGACTGTAGCCTCGACTTCCCTGGGGCTCAAGCGATCCTCACATCTTAGCCTCCTGAGTAGCTGGGATTACAGGCGCATGTCACCATGCCTGGCTAATTTTTGTGTATTTTTTTTAAGACAGGGTCTTGCCATGTTTCTCAGGCTGGTCTCCAACTCCTGGGATCAAGCAATCTGCTAGGTTCAGCCTCCCGAAGTGCTAGGATCACAGGCATGAGCCACCGCACCCAGCCCCAAATTGTTAACTAATTTTCTAAATAACATTTACTAAAAACCTTCATTTTCCCTTTAGAAAGGTAATGAAATGTTCATATAATCCAAAGTCTCCTTTTCACTTATCATGGTTCTGTTCTGCTGATATGTGTCCACTAAGTCTGACAGGCAAGCTCTCCATTATTATGTATTTTTTGTTTTTTTCGAGACGGAGTCTCGCTCTGTCACCAGGCTGGAGTGCAGTGGCGCGATCTCAGCTCACTGAAAGCTCTGCCTCCGGGGTTCAAGTGATTCCCCCTGCCTCAGCCTCCCAATAGCTCGGACTACAGCCATGCATCACCACAACTGGCTATTTTTTTTTTTTTTTTGTATTTTAATAGAGACGGGGTTTCACCATATTGGCCAGGATGGTCTCGATCTCCTGACCTCATGATCTGCCCGCCTCAGCCTCCCAAAGTGCAGGGATTACAGGCGTGAGCCACCATGCCAGGCCCCATTATTATTTCTATTTGGCTATTTATTTGTAACTAGTATTTATTTTTACTCTGATATTTTTGTGACTAAATTAAATAGAATTTCTTATTTATAATCTCTAAATAGCTTCCATTGTTAAAGAACAGGCATTAAATATCATTTATTTTAAAACAGGTTAGAGGCTGGGTGCAGTGGCTCATGCCTGTAATCCCAGCACTTTAGGATGCTAAGGCGGGTGGATCATTTGAGGTCAGGAGATCAAGACTAGCCCGGCCAACATGGCAAAACCTCGTCTCTGCTAAAAATACAAAAATTAGCTGGGTGTCAGGGCACACACTTGTAACCCCAGCTATTTGGGAGGCTGAGGTAGGACAATCACTTGAACCTGGGAGGTGGAGGTCGCAGTGAGCCGAGATAGCACCCCTGCACTCCAGCCTGGCTGACAGAGTGACACCCTGTCTCAAAACAAAATAAATAAACAGGTTAGTTTAATAAATTGTTTATTAGTTTTACTAAAATTTGAGTAAACCCTCTTGGGTTTTGTAGATATGCTGGTCATTTCAGCTAAAAATAATGACAATTATTTTTACTTTTACAATATTTATGTTTAGTATCTTTTTCTTATTACATTGGCTAGAAATTATAGAAAAAGCTAAACAACAGTGTTGAAATTAAATACCTTTTTTTTTCTAAATAGAGACAGGTTCTCATTCTGTCACCCAGGCTGAAGCACAGTGGCACCTTCACAGCTCACTGCAGCCTCAATTTCCTGAGTTCAAGCAAGCCTCCTGCCTCATCCTCCTAAGCAGCTGGGGCTACAGGCACATGCTGCCATGCCTGGCTAACTTTTAATTTTTTTGTAGAGACAGGGTCTTGCTATGTTGCCCACACTAGTCTCAAACTCCTGGCTTTAAGCAATACTCCTGCCTCAGCCTCCCAAAGTGCTGGGATTACAGGTGTGAGCCATTGTGCTTGGCCTAAATATCTTGATTCCCTTTTTTAACGACCATTGAGTATCATGATGCCTGGTGATTTCACGCTAAAAAGTTCCCTCCTCTTCTTGATTTGGGAAAAAATGTAACAATAATCAGATACCATTTTGGCATCTATGAAGAAAATTATAAGGCTTTTTTCCTTTTATTGAATTGATGTTATTTTATAAATGTATTTCCTAATATTTAACCATTCTTGAATATCTGGAATAAACTGTATCAAGCCATGTAGATTTTCTTTTTCCACATCTCTCTTCGCGACTGTCTGTGTCTGTCTGTACATTTTCCCCTCACTTTTTTTCCTTCTTATGCTTATCATTCCCACTTCACTTTGCTTCTTTTGGCACCGCCATCACTCCGTGGATCTAAGTCATTCCCACTCTCATTTCATGTTAGCGGAAGCACGGCGGGAGTACTGCTGCCTTTACATCCAGTCCTGCCCTTCCCTTCAAACATATGGAGCTGATGTCCTTGAGTGAGTTTAAACAAGGGAGACAACATGCAATTTGATTCCTAAAAGGAGCTCAGGAAATTTGAATTCAAGTATGTAATTATCTATAGCCAATATATCATTTCCCATATCAATCTTTCTTTATAATGTATGATAGAAATGGCTTGGCAATAGCAATTAATGGTACATTGTCTTTTCTTAAATTTCACAAAATATGTAAAATACTCTAAAAGTATATCAGTTTTAGCATAACGCAATGTTCTTCAATCCTGTTTTTTTCCATCTTGATCTGCTAAATTGCACTCCATCTGTTAGTAATTTCAGTAAATTATAAAGGGATTAGTGAAGCAATGCTGTTAAAACATGCCCAACTTTTAAACATATAAAACATATAAGTGATTTGACTAGTTTTCTCTCCTACGTTTTTTTTTTTGTTTGTTTTTTTTTTTTTTTTTTTTTAAGACAAAGTCTCACTCTGTCACCCAGGGTGGAGTGCAGTGGCGTGACCTTGGCTCATTGCAACCTCAACCTCCACCTCTTGGGTTTAAACAATTCTCCTACCTCAGCCTCCGGAGTAGCTGGGGTTACAGATGTGTCACCACACCTGGCTAACTTTTGTATATTTAGTAGAGACAGAGTTTCACCATGTTGGCCAGGCTGGTCTCGAACTCCTGACCTCAGGTGATCTGCCCGCCTCAGCCTTCCAAAGTGCTGATATTACAGGCATGAGCCACCGCACCCAGCTTCCTAAGTCATTCTTACCCTTCAATAGTCAATGGGTGGAAAAGACAGATCAGTTAAGCTATAGATTTTATTTTTGCACAAGTGATTAACAGCAATATTATCAGGGCCTAGAAATAAAAAGTAATTGATAGATTTTAGGTTTTATTCCCTCTTTCTGTTGGTAAAAAAAAAAATAGTATTTCCTTGCCAACAATCTGACTGTTCTAAAGATAAAAGCCTTGATTTTACATGAGGAATTCTCCAATTTCCATATTAGTCTTTGTTCCCTCAGATACTTCCTTGAGAAAAAGATGTAGGACTAGTCTAGTTAACTGATAATCCACTAATACAAGATCTAAATCCTTTTATAATATGTTTTGGATGAGCTTGGATTTTTATTTTATTTTGTTTTATTTTATATTTTGAAACAGGGTCTTACTCAGTCACCCAGGCTGAAGTGCAATGGCGAGATCATAGCTCATTGCAGCCTTGATCTCCTGGGTTCAAGCGATCCTCCTGCCTCAGCCTCCAGAGTAGCTGGGCGTACAGGCACTAATCACTGCACCTGGCTAATTTTTTAAAAAATTTTTGTAGAGATGGGGTCTTGCTGTGTTGCCCAGGCCAGTCTCGAACTCCTCGGCTCAGAGATTGGGTTTTAATCCAGCAGAAAGACAGTTTTACTTGCAATCGTTTCTCTTTATTCTTATTAGGATCAGCTCCATCACCCTACAGGTTCTGACCAGGCATGTCTTAGGGTTTCTGCTATGGCTGTGGCCTCTCCCTGGAAGACCCTTCCCAGATAGCCACATGGCTCACTCCCTTACCTTCCTCAAGTTTTTACCCAAATTTTACCCTCTCTGGTAAAATTCCTAATCATCTTATTTAAAGGTGTGACTCCCCACCCTCACTTCCCTTATCCTGCTCATTTTTTTTCTCTCTAGCCCCTGTTGCCTCCTAACACTATGTAGTTTATTTTGCTGTAACTGCTGTCATTATTGTTGGAATGTCAGCTCCTCAAAGGCAGTGATTTTTCTGTTTTGTTTATGGGTACCTCTTCAGTGTCCAGAGCAGTGCCTGTTTTATGGCAGTTTTTAAATACGTATTTGTGAAATAAATGAATTTTTCTTATCTGATAGGAATTTGAAATAGTTCTTTTCCTATGTCCTCTAATTAAAATCTAATTCGATTTTAATATAGGAAGCTTTTAATATAGGAAGTAAAAGATGCTTCACTTTAATGATGACACCACTTAGCCTTTCAACAGCTACCTATGGCCTCTATCATAGTTGTTACCCGGCATCTGTTTAGATAGAGTGCACAGAAAATAAGAGGCCAGACCAACAATGGCCTTTCCACAAGCATGCTAACCACAGGTTCTTTAAAATGTTTGGTTTCTTCCTTGAATCAAAGGGGCTGGGTGGTTCATACTGGATCATTTTCTTTCTTTTCTCTTTTCTTCTTTTCTCTCCTTTTTTCCTTCCTTCCTTCCTCCCTCCCTCCCTCCCTCCCTTCCCTCCCTGCTTGCTGCTTTTTTTTTTTTTTTCTTTTTCAAAGGCAGGCTATTGCTCTGTTGTCCAGGCTAGGATGCAATGGTGCAATCACAGCTCACTGCAGCCTCGACATCTCACGTTTAAGTGATCCTCCCACCTTAGCCTCCTGAGTAGCTGCAACCACAGGCACGTGCCACCACCACACCCAGCTAATTTTTTAAATTTTTTGTAGGGATGGGGTCTCACTATATTGCCTAGGCTGGATTATTTTCTCTCAACAGAAAATCCATGTCAGAATCAAGATCTGCTAAGGTTATAACCAATGACCCATGATGTGAGAGGCCCATGTGAAGAATAGTCTCAAGCCACTGGCCCCGAAGGCCTCCCGATAGGCAAAGGGGACAGAGAAACAGCAGCGGCCGTGGGATCCAACAAAGAGATACTCACGATGTGGGGAGACTGCCGGTTCATCCCAATCACTGTCCGGTTGATCCTTCTCAGCAGCCGTTCCATTATAAGCTGAATGTGCACCGCAGTGGCACCCTGCAGGGAACACAGGATTTGACTCCATTCCTTCTGACTCAGTTTCACTTTCTTTAAGGAACCTCAGATAGATGAGTTTTGTCTTTAGATCTCTTTTTGGCTTTTCCCTACAAAGCAATCTCTTGTCCAAAAGTGGAAAATGGTCTCACAGAATAATATATAACTTTATGAAGAAAATAGTTGAAAATGATCAGTCATAACACTTAAAAGATGAATGTGGCTGTGCAGGGATGAGTGCCTTCTTAATAACTCAGATTGCTCAGGTTCACTGAGAGCTCACTGTGGCCACTGACTCAACAAATAGTTTTGGGGGACCCCCATTAGCATGACGTATTCTGTTCTGAGGTTGAGCAGATTAGAATCGCTCAGGTCAGGCCAGGTGCGGTGGCTCACGCCTGTAATCCCAGCACTTTGGGAGGCTGAGGCGGGCGGATTACAAGGTCAGGAGTTCGAGACCATCCTGGCTAATACAGTGAAACCCCGTCTCTACTAAAAAATACAAAACATTAGCCGGGCGTGGTGGCGGGCATCTGTAGTCCCAGCTAATCGGGAGGCTGAGGCAGGAGAATGGCGGGAACCCAGGAGGTGGAGCTTGCAGTGAGCTGAGATCACGCCACTGCACTCCAGCCTGGGTGACAGAGCCAGACTCCATCTCAAAAAAATAAAAATAAAAATAAAAATAAAAGAATTGCTCAGGTCAATTAGGCACATGTGTGGGAAATTAAAGGCAAAAATACAAAGCTCTTACCACCTTCTGTGTTGGAGGGAAAAAAACAAGAAATTCAAGTCAAGGGAATTGTTATGGAGTAAATGTTTGTGTCTCCTCCAGATTCATATGTGAAGCCCTAACCCCCATCGTGATGGTATTAGGAGATGCAGCTCTTGAGATGTAATGAAGGTTAGATGAGGTCATGAGGGTGGGGCCCTGGACTGACGGGATAAATGCTCTTAGTAAATGAGTATCACAGATGTGGATCTCTCTCTCCACCAGGTGAGCACACAGCAAGAAGGTAGCTGTCTGCAAGCTGGGAAGAGAGACCTAACCAAAACTTAACCACGCTGGCACCCTGATCTCAGAAACTCAGTCTCCAGAACTGTGAGAAAATAAATGTCTGTTGTTTAAGCCACGCAGTCTGTGGTATTTTGTTATAGAAGACTGACTGAGCAGACTAATACAAGGATTTTGTATTCTGACTGTGTCATGTGTGACTTTGAGCAATTATTCAACTTCGCTGAGCTTGCAGTTTTCATAGCTGCAAAAGGGGGACAGTAACAGTTTTCTTATTGGAATTAGTAGGGCTGATGTACACATTCTTTCTTTCACCTTCTTTCCTTTTTTGTAGCTAGATATTACCCTCATTTGGCTCCGACTTACCCACATGCAACTTGACTTTTCATAGCCTCTATCTGTCCTTGCTTTATGATAGATACTTTGAAACTCCTGCTTAATGCTTCAAATAACTAAATCATTGCTATTTGTATTTTTTTGCTTAACATTTTTATTATCTTTTACAAATTTAACTGGCAAAGACTGTACTTATCCAGCGTGTACAACA
Source organism: Homo sapiens (assembly GCF_000001405.40). NCBI lineage: Eukaryota > Metazoa > Chordata > Mammalia > Primates > Hominidae > Homo > Homo sapiens. The sequence continues at coordinate 25,350,174 of NC_000008.11, read as the reverse complement.
TGAAGATTTGATCCACGTAATCGTGTAATGATTTCCACGGTCAAATTAACACATCTATTGCCACCCATGCCATACATTAGATTCCCAGAACTTGCTCATCCTATAACCGACACTTTCTACCCTTTGATCAACATCTCCCCATCCTGCCCCTGGTAAAGAATGTTCTACTCTCTGCTTCTAGGAGTCTAACTTTTTTAGATTCCACATAGAAGTCAGATCAGGTAGGATTTGTCTATGGCTGTAGGAATTTTCTTTTTGATTTCAATAGTTTTGGGGGTACGAGTGGTTTCTGGTTACATGGATGAGTTCTTTATTGGTGATTCTGAGATTTTTGTTTACCCATCACCCAAGCAGTGTACACTGTACCCAATGCGTAGTCTTTTATCGCTCACCCACCTCTTAGCCTTTCCCCGGAAAGTCCACAAAGTCCATAATATCACTCTTAAGCCTTTGCATTCTCATAGCTTAGCTCCCACTTATAAGTGAGAACATATAATATTTGATTTTCCATTCTTGAGTTACTTCACTTAGAATAATGGCCTCCATCTCCACCTAAGTTATTGCAAAAGACATTATTTTGTTCCTTTTTATGAGTGAGTAATATTCCATGATGCATATATACCACACTTTATCCACTCATTGGTCAATGGACACTTAGATGGGTTTCATATCTTTGCTATTGCAAATTGTGCTGCTATAAACATGCACGTGCATGTATCTTTTTCATATAATGACTTATTTTCCTTTGGGTAGATGCCCAGGAGTGGAATTGCTGGATTGAATGGTACTTCTACTTTTAGTTCTTTAAACATGTTTCATAGTTGTCATACTAATAATTTGCATTCCCTGTTTTTCATAGTCTGTTTTTCATAGTTTTTCATACTGTTTTTCATAGTCGTCGTACTAATAATTTGCATTCCCCCAGCAGTGTAACAATGTTCCCCTTTCACCACGTCTATGCCCACATCTATTGTTTTTTGACTTCTCAATTATGGTATGGCTATATGTATTTTAATTACAGTATCAAGTACCTGGGGTCCACCCTCCCTCTCTGCTTCCCTCTGTCCCTTCTTCTCTTCCTCCTTCACTTTTTATTAGTCATTTACTTGTTTCCCATTTCCCTGAATGAAAGTGATTCATAAAATCAGCCTCTCCAGGAGATGCTGCTTTCACTTCCATTTACATAACATTTCCTTAGTGTGGCCCTAAATAGTTGTGCAAGTTACACGCTGTGCCTTGTGGGGAGGGTATGAAATGAATAAGGCTCCTCTGAGCCTTTAGAGATTTCTATTGTGGGGGTGCGGGTGAGTGGTACATAAATTTTTTTTTTTTTTTTTGAGACAGAGTCTCGCTCTGTTGCCCAAGCTGGAGTGCAGTGGTGTGATCTTGGCTCACTGCAACCTCTGCCTCCCGGGTTCAAGTGATTCTCCCGCCTCAGCCTCCAGAGTAGCTGGGGTTACAGGTGCGCACCACCACGCCCAGCTAATTTTTGTATTTTTAGTAGAGATGGGGTTTTATCATGTTGGTCAGGCTGGTCTCGAACTCCTGATCTCGTGATCTACCTGTCTCAGCCTCCCAAAGTGCTGGGATTACAGGCCTGAGCCACTGCACCCAGCTGGGACATACATTTAAATAAGCATAACACAAGAATCTCCCTAGAAGGTGGGCTCCTGGGGGTAGGGTGCTTGCTTCTCTAGTTCACTGTCATAGCCCTAGCTGATCCCAGTGCCTGGAGCATAAGAGCAGCTTCCCAAGGATTTGTGAGCTGCATTCCTAACTCAATGTACAAAGTGATAAAATCCTCAAAAGAAACTCAAAGGGAGCATGAAAAGAATGAGTAGAATTTGGCAGGACCACACCAGAGACAACTTCACAGAGGTGCTTACTGCAGCTGGACTTGAAAGAACCAGGACAATTCCAAAACAGAGCTGTGGGGAGAGGAGGGAATCCTGCAATGTTTAAAAAAATAAAACAAAAGGCAGGAAGAACAAATATCAGTAATTAGAGCTTTGAGTTAACTAAGGAGATGAGAGGATAAGAGAAGAGATATTGAACTAGTGCACATATTTCAAAATGTTTATGAAGAAAAAAAGGTACCATCATGATGGACAAAAAACGATTGGACTTACTACTTTACCAGAGCTCCAAGATCGATAATTTTGAATGTCTCTGCTCATTACAGGGAACATAATATTGGGAATACCAAAATAAAAAGCTAACTTAAATCTCCTTGCACAGGATTTAAATACATTCAAGTCATTTCCAAAGAGTCTTTCTGGGTGGTGAGAAGGTTGGTAGAGATGTGATGTATTAAACAATAGGGTCAGAAGTGGAAGAGACTAAAGAGGTCGTCTAGAACAATTCCTACATACAATGGACTGGGTTAGGAGACTGAGGCACTGAGATATTTGACTAAGGACAAATAGCTGCAGAGTGGTAATATTGGGACTAGAATCCAATGCTCTGATTCTTGTGTTTTACATTAACTTTGGATCATAAACATATGATTTCTAGAACACTGATCCCTGGCTAAACCAATGTGCCAGGTACATTGCTGCCAAATTTATAGGGCGTGGAGCTTTACTTTATTATTTTAAGGAATTATTGAATTATAAGAGTTACTTTTAAAAAAGTATTGAGTTTATGACGTGATTGGTCACATTTACGTATTTGGTGCAAAGTCCTTGGTTAGGAACCAAATCTCCAATCGCAACATGCTTTGAGAAAATGTATTCCATTTTATAATGTGGTTTCTATAAACATACTTAATGAAAAAAAGGGGGAATGATCTATAATGAATAAATATCAAGTAAGCAGTGCAAAGAGTAAGTGGGCTACAGGGGCTTAGGGAAGTGGAGGGACAGAGATTGGCGGAGCAGCTAGAGATGGCAATGGTACCCTCACATACTTCTGAGGCTGCAATGTGGATTCACAGAAATGTAGACATCCCAGTGCAAACCATGAGCAGGAGAAAAGGTGGGCTGTAGTCAAACGGTGGTGGACCCTGACAAGTGAACTAACGGTTTAGCTATGGGAAAAGGTGTAGTATTCATATCCTTTGGTAGGACAGAATCCCAAGATACTGGAAAGATAAAGACTTTAGGTGATGACAAAGAGTGGTTTTCCTGTTCTGTGGGAACACCTGTGCCATGAAACCACCATAGACGTGGTAACTATAATTTGTGGTAAGATGCTTTTTTTTTCTCAGCCCTCAACTGTTCGAGTGAACACATTCTGCAAAGTTCTCCAGCTTCCTGTGTGGGGGCTCTGCTAGGCCTGTGGGCTGCACTATTTCTAGGACATGGTGAATCCAGACAGGTTCAGCCCTATGTTTTCTTTTTTTTTTTTTTGGAGTTGGAGTCTCAATCTATTACCCAGGCTGGAGTGCAGTGGCACAATCTTGGCTCACTGCAACCTCCGCCTCCCAGGTTCAAGGGATTCTCCTGCCTCGGCCTCCCGAGTAGCTGGGACTATAGGCGCGTGCCACCACGCCCAGCTAATTTTGGTATTTTTAGTAGAGACAGGGTTTCACTGTGTTAGCCAGGATGGTCTCGATCTCCTGACCTCGTGATCCATCCACCTCGGCCTCCCAAAGTGCTGGGGTTACAGGCGTGAGCCACCACGCCCGGCCTTAGCCCTGTGTTTTCAAGAGGGATGGGGGCCAGGTCACAGAGAAAACGCAAGATGAGAAAACATAATTTCCATTAGGTTCCAGAGAAAGTATCAGTGTCCAAGAGGATATGGAAATGAGAACTTCTCAGCAGCTCAGAAATATCAGGTTGTTAGGCATCAGAGGATAAGAAGGAAGAGGTGTCTGCATAAAAACAGAAAGGCCTTTGATTCTTTATTTTTTATTATTATTATTATTTTTTAGAGAGACAAAGTCTTACTAAGTTGCCCAGGCTGGTCAGTCTTGAACTCCTGGACTCAAGTGATCCTCCTGACTTGGCCTCCCAAAGTGCTGGGATTACAGGCCTGAGCCACCATGCCCAGTCAGGTCTTTGATTCTTAAGAATAGTCACAGGGGCTGGGCGCGATGGCTCATGCCTGTAATCCCACCACTTTGGGAGGCCGAGATGGGTGGATCACGAGGTCAGGAGATCGAGACTATCCTGGCTAACACAGTGAAACCCCGTCTCTACTAAAAATACAAAAAAATTAGCCGGGCGTGGTGGCGGGCGCCTGTAGTCCCAGCTACTCGGGAGGCTGGGACAGGAGAATGGCGTGAACCCGGGAGGCGGAGCTTGCAGTGAGCCGAGATCGCGCCACTGCACTCCAGCCTGGGCGACAGAGCGAGACTCCCTCTCAAAAAAAAAAAGTCACAGGGATCTCAATAGTGCGCACACTGGGCAAGCCAGGAAAATCAGCCTGCAGAAGGCCCCAGCAGTAATCTGACTTTGCACTGGAGGCTCTGGCCTCCCTAATTATCTCTAAAATGGGCACAGCCTGCCCTAATACCGGAGCTGGAAACTACCTGAGAATAGGAAGGCCACGGAGTCACTCCTGTCTGGTGCAAAGGGGACAGTGTGAACTCTGTGCAGCATCAGTGATGACTCAACTCACCACATCCTTCCTGTCCAGCACCTCCAGGATGTTGCTCAGAAGCTGCGAGCTTGCCTCGTGGTCAGGCTTGTTGGAGTTGTCATCTAACTGGCCGCTGAGCTGGTCTGTCAGCAGTGGCAGCAGCACTTCTCTGCACTCTGAGAAGGAAAACACAGACAGCTCACACACAGCAGTGCCACCTCCTGAACTGCCTGTCTCCTTCCTGCAACTCTTCCTCGACCAGTACCAGTAGCTCTAAGCTCTGCAATCAGCCCTGCAGGGATGCAGCCCCTCCAGGCCACCCAGGAACACCTGGTTTTAGGCACGGAACTTTACCCTTGTTCAATGCGCAGATGAATGAATTAAAAAAAAAAAAAATGACCCTTCTCACAGGTGAAGGTGGGAACTTAGCAAAATGTTTAAATTATTTAACAATTTCTCTAGCTTTTCAAAACGCCAACCTAATGCACGAAATTGAGGGTCATATGAAACAAATAAAACCAAGCAAGTTATACATTTTTTTTTTCAAAAATTTTTTCACCTAATGGAGAAAATTTACTGAAAGAAGTTCCTATAAATAAAGTTCCTATAAATACTGAGCTTCCCTAGTACATGTCAATGACATTCTGCTCATGTCTGTGCAGGCGTGTGGATTTCAGAAAGTAAGGTATGACCTATTATGTCTTCTGAGATCTTTGCTATTGTAACACATTTTATAATGAGTTCAGGTACTCTGAATGCTACAGAAATGACTGTTAACCGTGATCACACTCTAAGTAGAACTATCCAGTGCATGCTTGCTCTTCTGCTCAAACACCTTATCTTTACTATCTCAATTACCTTTTCTGTATCCTTAAAAAGTGATCAAAGCATATTAAAATGTTTAGTAATAATTTGCTTTAGTAATAAATGTTTTCTACTTATGAGCATTCACTAACCTTTTGCAGGCATTACCTCTACCTCCAATTGTGTCTTAGGAACATTTGCAATTTCAAAGTGCAAATTCATAGGGTCAGAAAATATCAGAGCCCAAGGAGGCTACTGATACGATCTAGCTCAAGTCCTTCCTTCCACAGAACTGGAGGCTGAGACTTAGAGAAGGCCACTCATTTGTCCAGTTACATAACTAGCCAGGGGCAAAGCCAGGAAGGCTCTCCCACCAACAATCCACTCAACTTGTTTAACGTTGAGGAGTCCTGCTGGTCTTCAGATCTCCAGGCAATATACATACATAAAATGAGGTTACACTCTGGGAGCCCCTGACCAGGTAGTTAGCCCCAGAAGAAGTCTCCGTGGCTGCCTCACTCTAGCAAGTCTTGAGTTTATTGGGAAGGCCCAGGTGCTGGACCTCCTGTTTATATCAGCTTTGGGACAGAAACACTTGGTGGCTATTTGCTAGACTCTACTTACAAAATGAAAAGTATTTTATCAGTGTAAGAGTTTTTCCCCTCCATGCCCCACTCCTCTCCCAGCAGAATACTAGTAATCTGGCTTCTGCCAGCCTACCCCCTAAAGAAAACAGCTTGGCCAGGTGCAGTGGCTCATGCCTATAATCCCAGCACTCTGGGAGGCCAAGGTGGGTGGATCACCTGAGGTCAGGAGCTTGAGACAAGCTGGCCAACATGGTGAAACCCTGGCTTTACTAAGATTACAAAAAAAATTAGCTGGGCATGGTGGTGCACACCTGTAATCCCAGCTACTTGGGAGGCTGAGGCAGGAGAATTGCTTGAACCTGGGAGGTGGAGGTTGCAGTGAGCCAAGTTCATGCTGCTGCATTCCAGCCTGGGCGAAAGAGTGAGACTCCATCTCAAAACAAAACAAAACAAAAAAACGCTTGCTTTATCATGTTTGCCAGTTACCCTGGTGTAAAGACTTCCACCATGGTCAATTTCCAGCTACTAATGTGATATCACTGAACGTGGGGTTGAGAAGGGATGCATGTAACCAGCTCTCCTGTGGGATCCAACACATTGCTGTTTCCCTGTCCCCTGGTTTTTAAGGTCATGCAATAAGTATAGACTAAAGAAGAATAATTTCTTTTAAAAGGGTCATCTTTTCCTACTTGCTTGTTACTTCCTGAGGTTCCTGTTTTAAAGACAAAATTCTCTAATTAATGAACCACTTGCAGATTGTTCTAATTAAAGATTAAGGAACACATGATTTTGCTCTTTTAGGAACTGTTGGAAATACCGAGCTGACTTTAGATTCTCCTTAAAACCGCTCTCCCAGGAGGTCCTTACATACAACTGGCAACAATATTAATGTTGCCAACAAACAACTGGCAAGAATATTAATGACATTTTTAAAAAAGAAAAGTCAAGTGCTGACTGGGCACGGTAATTATGCCTGTAATCCCAGTACTTTGGGAGGCCAAGTTGGGCAGATCACTTGAGGTCAGGAGTTTGAGGCCAGCCTGGCCAACATTGTGAAACCCCCCCTCTCCCAAAAATACAAAAAAAAAAAAAAATTAGCTGGGTGTGGTGATGTACACCTGTAATCCCAGCTACTCAGGGGGCTGAGGCAGGAGAATCACTTGAACCTGGGAAGCAGAGGTTAGAGGGAGCAGAGACAGTGCCACAGAACTCCAGCCTAGGTGAGGGAGTGAGATTCCGTCTTAAAAAACAAACAAGCCGGACGCGGTGGCTCACGCCTGTAATCCCAACACTTTGGGAGGCCGAGGCGGGTGGATCACGAGGTCAGGAGATCAAGACCATCCTGGCTAACGTGGTGAAACCCCGTCTTTACTAAAAATAAAAATAAAAAAAAATTAGCTGGGCTTGGTGGCAGGTCCTTGTAGTCCCAGCTACTTGGGAGGCTGAGGCAGGAGAATTGCTTGAACCTGGGAGGCCGAGGTTGCAGTGAGCCGAGATTGCGCCACTGCACTCCAGCCTGGGTGACAGAATGAGACTCCGTCTCAAAAAAAAAAAAAAAAAAAAAAAAACAAGAAAAAACAAACAAACAACAAAACCCAAGTGTTAGCTGCAGAAATGGGGCTGTCATCTCAGCATGCAGCAGCTTGTTTTAGCTTTTTGAGATGGAGTCTTGTTCTGTCACCCAGGCTGGAGTGCAATGGTGCAATCTCAGCTCACTGCAACCTCATGCAGCAAGTTTTGAAGGAGACTTACCTGACTGTCGAAAAAGAGTGCTCTCTACTATCTTGGTCATGCAGTTAAGTTTCTGCCGAACCAGCTGGTTGTCAGGAATGCTTTGAATGAATTTGCAGAAGAGCACGCTGGGAGAGAAACCTCAGGGTTAGTAGTGTCTTCGTTCTGCCAAATTGAAGGCATCATTATAAACTTTTCTCCTCCACTCTGAGATTTGGGCATGGAGAGATTTACCTGGAAAACTACAAAATGACCTGAGAGTTTATGACATGGCAGCAAGGGAGATTTTATCCTCACTTACTGGAGGGCTCTGCCTTAGAGCTGAGTATTTAAATTGCCAAAGAACACCCACGTCCATCATCACTTTCCAGACCCGCCTTTATGAAAATGGCTTTCTTGGCAACTCCACTCTCATGTTGATTGCAGTCTGACTTTGCACTGCTGGGATACTTAGGGGTAGGGCTGGAAGCATGTCATTATACACTATCTTTTGTAATCGATTTTATGTCTGCATGTCTTGTTTTCCCAGAGAAAGTGCAAACCTCTCTCAGGGCAGGTTTTGGATGTTCTTTTGCATCTTCCACAGAACTGAGCACAAAAAGGTATTCAGTTAATACTTCTTAGAAAAATAAAAGCCAGGTGTAGCAGCCCAGGCTCCAGCCAAGCAGGGGAGCTGTTTCTGTTAGAGTTAAGGAACAAAATTTTGTTTTGCTATTTACCTGAGCTCAACAGGATCAAATACAAGTTTGACATCATTAATTATGCTAGGAAGGTACTTCAAAGCTGCCCCCTGTAAGAAAAACACCAAAGGCAAATTCAGTTGCCAGGCAAGACAAATACAGTATTTACTGCTTGATCCCAGGAAGAAAAGGCTGTGCTTGGAACTTATATAGGGAACTGGACACAGATACCCTTACAATAAAAAGGAAAGCTGGCATTGCTCTACACGATCTCCTAAAATGCTTTTCCTGAAGATGCCAGGGGGTACAGCTTTCTGGTTTCTACTGCCAGCAGGCTCTGTCCACTTGGAGTTCATTTCTCTGCCTAAGGAGGTGGTTAAATTCTTGAAGCCTCTCTTGCAACATGGCCATAAAGAGCAAAAAATAAATATTAATAGTAAAGTTCACATTTGAGCCTTCAGGGATTATATATTTCATATTTTTTAAAAAAATTATGATAATAAAGATGGTGACTTTGCACTTCTGGGTAAAATGAGGGACAAAAAATAAAAATTTGTCACCTGTAGTGCATTGGGATCAGTTTGCTGAAATCATGGGGTCAAACAGGGTTCACAATGGCCTTTCAAGGGATGTCTAATTGGGTAGCTTGTCTTTGGCAAGTTGACACTTGAAAATACAAGCTCTGTAGAAGTTAAAATGGATTTTTTTTCCTTTATTTTCTGTAAATCATACTAAAATTCATAAGCTATGCATGAACCATGATTCACTTTGTTTCTCCCTCATGATGGCCAATTCTAAGCGGTCCCAGAACATCCTTACCACAGCCTAAGAAGAGTTACCCATGATGCTGCCAGGCTGACCTTGATCTTGACGGCTTCCTCCAGAGGCCTGTCCATCAGCATATTGAAAGCAAGAAATAACTGGCGAATTGAATTATTAAACTCATCTCCATCTTTGCTCTGCCCATAAAATCTTAATAGGAAAAAGACAAAAGCAGTTGGACTTTCCATTGTTAAAAGAAATTTTAAAATAGATTTGTTGCCTCCCTCACTTCTCCTTCATCGTATCACCCTAATCATTCTGACTCACCTAATTAAGCCCCAGTCATCTGAAGTTTCAGGCAATGGGTTAGAGAAGCCGCTCAACCCGGAAAGGCTCTGATCCCCAACCCAGCCTACAAAACCATTTGTTCCACTTTAGCCACTGAACTGCCCGTGCCGATGCTGGCCTGCTCTACCATAAGGGCCTTCCAGGACAAGACCCCTTAGTCTTCGCTGATACATGCTTGCCTTAATTAAAGTACTCTACTTGTCTCCAAAAGATCTGTCCACCAACTCAAAAGTGGGTTCTTTCTCATAAGTAGAAATCAAGAGATATTTGGGCACTTTCCAAGACACACAAAAGTCCCAAATGAAAGTGCATATGCACATATAATAGGTGGCAATTTCACCACTAACTGGTCAAGAATAGGATGGCTTGAATTCAAAATTTCATGCACACACTCAAATACACACATGTACATTTAAATTCATCTCCTCCATTCACCTATACCTTATATAGTACCCAAAGAATATGAACTTCACTGAGATCGTTAATCAGAGGGTTAATGGTAATTCTCAATTCACCCATTTTACAGAACTAGAAAAGAACTTTATTTGCAATGTAGTCCCCAAAGTATCTCAAAATTAACACACCTACAACAGAATTCGCTTGATTTCCCTGCTCAACTCTAAGTATTACAAATGTCAGCAAACAGCATCACCTCGAACCTAGATCCACCCCAAACCTAGATGTTATCTATGTTTCTTCTCTTTCTCTCATTGCCCCATCAAACCCAACAGCAAATCCTACGAGCTCGAATCAGTCCATTCTCTCCATCTGCCTCTGAGATGGGGCTGGAGTATCTCACATTTAAACCACAATGGCCTCTTAAAGTGGTCACTGGCTTCTACCTGTAGCCTTCGATAATCCATTTTCCATGTGGGAGATGAGATGATCATTTAAAATATAAGCCAGATTTTATTACTTCTCTAGTTGTCCCCCAACGGCTTCCCACTACACTTGGAATAAAATCCAAGCTCCTCACTATGGCCTACAAGGCCCCACATCATTTACTATTTGCTGGCCACTCCCGCTCTCTCTCCCGACACTGGGTTCTCGTTACTCCTCACGCATCCACATTTGGTGCCCTATAGGTCCCTGCCTGGGGCAGGTCCTGCTCCCACTAACCCTTACCTGACATCTCTGGAGGCTGCTTCTTCATCTTTCAGTCTCAGCTCACATGATACCACCTCCTCCTCCACCCAGCTCAGCTCAGGCAGCCTTCCCTGCTGGTTCCACCACTCCAACACTGCCTTCATTTAGGGGTTGATTTCTTTACTCCTTGCCTCCCTGAACTCCATGGAACCCACACACACCATCATAGTGGGAGCCTGGTCACATATGCTGCAAAAGCCCTGCACCAATGCAGAACACTTGGCACTCTACGTATGTGACTTGATTTTTTTTTTAAGTACTAATGATAGGGGGCTAAGGGATTAAGATCAAGCTTCTCAACATCCTATTGGGAGCAATTTACAATTTTTTCTTGGTGTTTTGCTGATTGAGGTGAAATCCAGCCAGGTAATGAGCTCATAAGAGAGATTTAAGCTCTGCGGAAGGCAACAGGGGGCCCAGGGACCAGGTGACATTCCACTGCAGCCTCCAGACATGGCCAGTGCACTGAAGTGACCATTAAATCTAAGCAACCAGGGGACGCACATTGCCAGTCTCTTCCCCAGCTCAGGTTCTTCTTTAATAACATATAAGGGAAAAGTAACCACACGCAGGCCATCACAGACAGTGTGTAATGAAGCAACTCTCCTAGTCAATTTCATGGGTCCTCTGTCGCCCTAACCTTTTGTTTTCCACACTCACCATCCTTTACTGTCCTATCTGGTGTCTAGAATGAGGACTCTGATGTGCCTCAACAAATGAAGAGGAAATGAACTAGTGAACCATCCATAAGAAAATATATTTTAATTTCACACTCAGGTTTTCTTTCTGTGGTTTAAAGTTGATACTGATTTTTGGACATCAGGGTTTACTATACATACAAACTTTTGGGTAAGAGAATATTCCCTTGGTCGAACACTCCATGCCCCAACCATTCTGAATACATGGAAATGTACCATAACTGGAAAATATAATGAAACAACTTTAAAAGAAGACCTTCTGAAAAGAAAGCAAATACAGAGACTGAGCATAAATTATGTGTGGGGAAAACACTGCCCACTTCCACCTGGAAAGGAGGGACAGTCATTCAGCCAGATGGGTTTCAAGTCATTAAACATTTTTTAAAAACAATCAGAAAGGTACATATTCATTTAAAAATTCAAAAAAATATAAAAAATAGCAAATAAAAATAGAATAATAAATGTAAATCAAATGCTGAAAGAATAAAAACATAAAGAATGAAAAAATAAATTACAACCCTGTCACATGAAGTTTTCATACTATTGACATTTCAGACCAGGCACGGTGGCTCACGCCTGTAATTCCAGCACTTTGGGAGGCGGAGGTGGGCAGATCCCTTGAGCCCAGGAGTTTGAGACCAGACTGGGTAACATAGAGAGACCCTGTCTCTACAAAAAATATAAACATTAGCTGGGCATGGTGACGTGCCCTTTGGTCCCAGCTACTTGGGGGGCTAAGGTTGGAGGATCGCTTGAGCCCGGGAAGCAGAGTGCAGTGACCCAACATCATGCCACTGAACTCTCGCCTGGGTGACAGAGCCAGACCCTGTCTCAAAAACAAAAACAAAAAACCCTAAAAAACTCTAAAGAAACAACAACAAAAAAACACTTTAGCATGTGATCTATCCAGTCTTCTTTACTATACATATTTCAAATCTGTATTATTTTAAAAGGAAGATCATACTGTACTCATGCTTAATACCTTTGTTTTATCATTTAAGAATGTATCGGGCCAGGCGCAGTGGCTCATGCCTGTAATTCCAGCACTTTCGGAGGCCGAGGCGGGGGGATCACGAGGTCAGGAGATCGAGACCATCCTGGCTAACATGTCAAACCCCATCGCTACTAAAAATACAAAAAAATTAGCTGGGCATGGTGGTATGCACCTGTAGTCCCAGCTACTCGGGAGGCTGAGGCACGAGAATCGCTTGAACCTGTAAGGTGGAGGCTGCAGTGAGCCAAGATTACACCACTGCACTCCAGCCTGGGCGACAGAGCAAGACTCCATCTCAAAAAAAAAAAAAAAAAAGAATCTATCATGGTCGTCTTTCCTCATTAACATACCCTACATTTGAAATGACTGAATGTACATACTTTCACATTCATTTTTGTCATACCTGATAAGATTTTTTTTTTCCATTAGATAAATTTCTAGATGAGGTATTACTGGACAAATGTGACACTTTTTCCTTTCCCTTAAAAATCTTCTTTTTTGTTTTTATTCAGACTATCTATTTCTATCCTGAAGAATTTATATCTCCATTAGCATCAAAACTGAAATACAGGACCAATTTTTGCCCAATCTCATCAAGGACAAAGATGTCTAATCTTTTTCAAATGTATAGGTAAAAGATGGTGTGTGTGTGCATGCATGTGTGTGCGTCTGTATCAAAATTCTTTTGATAGTATGAAATTTTTTAAAAAGTTTATTGACCATTTAAGTTTTTCTTTTGTAAATTACCTGTTTTTGTTTTCCATTAGGGCTATTTATCATTCTTTTATTGATTTATAAAAGCTTTAACTGAGAAAAGCTATTAAACTTTCATCTGTACTATATGTAACCTTTTTGCAGGTTGTTTGCCTTTAATTTTATTTTTTTCAATAAAGTTTCTTTTAAAAATACATATGCTCAATTCTACAAACCTTTTCTTTCTTCCTTAGAAAAAAATTTTAACAGTTTGGAAATACAGCTATTTCTGAAGGGTAGGAAAGTCACTGGGGTTGTGAATGTTCCCTGCAAAGGTACTTGCTCTTTTGCAGTTTCTTCTGTTTTTGATGGAACTGTTATGCTAGAAATCCAAACAGGGAATAATCCTGTCTCTAGTGCTTAGTTGCCCAGGTAGCTAAGCACAGTGTCAACAAGGAAACACTCATCTCAGGCAACACCTCCCCTGAGATGACTGCTGCTTCTGCTAGCGACAGCAGATCATGATCCTAGATTTGCACACTCAATATTGTCATGAAGTCATCTGCTGTATTAGGTACAATCTTTCCACAGGAATCTGCTTCCCCAAGTCCTGAGGTCATTACTGCCCCAGAATTTTGCTGATCTACAAAAACTTCTCATGAGTCTTCTCCAACAGACACGCAGCCCAAATCCATCTTCAGCCCTGCAGTTCTGAAATAAGGCAATTCTAAGAACTAACTGCTCACAGAGCTGAACACCACTGTGCAGAGTGAGGGAAAAAGCACACAGAGTGACAGCTGATAATCTAAACATCTTCACTGCAGTTAACATTACCTCAAGTAGAGCACTCGGGATTGGATGATGAATCTAAACAAGTACTTCAAGGCTTTCAACGCAGCAAAAAGCAGTTCAGTCTTGCTGGAGTCATCTGCATTAGCCACATAGAAGTTCAGTACCTTGGAGAGTTTCCTTAGAAGAATGAGAAAGAAAAATTAAGCCAATGAGCAACAGGATACTCTGAGGCTTGGGTAAGTTATCTAAGAGGGGAACATGGCATCCTGGAAGTAGAAGTCATAACTAATTATATCTTCTAGAATATGCCCTGAACAGCAAAATTAACTCTTTTCCAATTAAGTTTCCTCATCTGCCATCTAGGTTTGGAACTACCTTCTGCTGAGAAATACTAGAAAAGGTTTCTTTCCCTTTGTGGGATTAAACCGGAGGGTTATGAAATGAAATGGTTGAAGTGACCCAAATTGCTAGGATATTTTAATCTCTGGTATGCAATTCTGACATCTTCAGATGCTCCCATAAATGAGGGATTATGCCTGCCTACAGGAGTTGACTTAAAAGAAGCCTAATTCCTTTTATTCTGCCTCAACCCATTGGGATCCATCAATATGGAGCCAGATAGAAACTTTATGGAGTGAAGAAAGAGGAGCTCACTCTCCAGAACATTCATGGTTCTAAGCATTCAACAGATAAAGCTGTTCTGGGGTTATAGGTTGCTCTTTGTGTCTTTCTAGAGTTTTTGGGCTAGGAATGGTCTTCATTTTGTGCTATCCCTTAGACTTTGGAGGGCACTGATATTTTAAACTTAAACTTTCCTTCTGGGGATCCTTGAGCTTTCCTAGAATAATAATAATAGTTATATACAATAATAGTCATACATAATAATATAATAATAGTCACTTATAATTATTATTATTATTATTATTTAGATGGAGTCTCATTCTGTCACCCAGGATGGAGTGCAGTGGCGTGATCTCTGCCTCCTGGGTTCAAGCACTCGGCCGAATTATTATTTTTTAAAAAGGAAACATATAGAATTGATCAAGTCTTGCAAGTAAACCCAGATTACTACCACCTGGAGTGCTGCATTTGGCTCGGTATGATCACAGTGATGGGATTTCCTCATTTGTAGCTATTGCCCACCTGGATGTGAGGCTCCTGGGTGGAACGGCCACTGTCACTGGTGTTCTTGCTGACAAGTCAGTGGGCAGCAATCTACAGGATGTGGCTTAAGCCACTGTCATAAGAAGATCATGGACCAATCCAGCTACATTCCTTTCACTATTTATCACATTCTGCACAATAACTGGAAGGCAACGGGTGGGTGTGGCAGGCACACACAATGCCATGGTGAGCTGAGTGCTCTGGGGAGGAATGCGGAGTGGACATCAGTTGCTTTCCTTAGTCAGGGGCCCATAAACCAATGATAGAAGGCAGGCTGCACTACAAAAAAGGTAGAGACCACTGCCTCTTATGCAAAAGATGGGAAAACGAAATCTTCTCATATCCTGTAAGCAATACATTTTACAAAGCATTTGTGGTACAGGGTTGAGGGCATGACCTTTTCTTCTATCAAACTTGGTCTTGTTTAATTCATGGTTTGATCTCCTTGATGTCCCACGCCAATCCCACTGACATTCAACCTCTGAGATCCTGGGTTGAGTCATTTGTTATTGATTTTGCTCGATTTTTTTTTTTTTTTTAGATACTAAGTCTTGCTCTGTCACTTAGGCTGGAGTGCAATGGCATGATCACAGCTCACTGCAGCCTTGACTTCCCTGGGCTTAAGCAATCCTCTCACCTAAGCCTCTCGAGTAGCTAGGACTACAGGTGTGTGTCACCACACCTGGCTAACTTTTTAATTTTTTGTAAAGATAGGTTCTTGTTATGTTGCCTAGGCTGGTCTTGAATTCCTGGCCTCAAGCAATCCTCCCCACAAAGTGCTGGAATTGCAGGTATGAGCAACCACGCCTGGCCTATTCTGGATCCTTAAGGAAATTTCGCCTGATCCAGAATGAAGGCCCTGATCTTAGCCCCCTTTCCAGAGTTAGAATACTTAGATGGTTCCCTTTTTCCACCCGGAAGCTTAGAATAAGAGTTCTGCCTTAACAGGCGTATTTACTGAATAGTAATAGGTCCGTCTCGTTTCTCAACAATCCAGTCCTAAGAGTACAAATCCAAAGATCCAACAACATGTAGTTCCTTCAGATCATACTTACACATATGCCAAAGTGGCGCTGAAGTGCTTGTAAATGTAGGTTTCAAGTACAGGATTAAAATGCTGGAACTTGATGTCTCCTATCAGTGAAATAATAAATACCTGCCAAAAGTGAAAAATAGAAATAGCAGCACTGCACAATCCCAAGTATTCTGTCAACAAGCCGCATTTTAACATCTCGGTGCCTTCTTTCCTCTCTGGATCTTTTCTGCAGCATTCCCACTCTACTATTCCAGAGCTGATGTCAAGTCTTGAGGATTGTATTTATTTAGCATAAATAGAGAGACTATTATGTGTCAGGCACTATGTTAAATGCTGTGAAGAAACCAACTCAAGCCAGCATCCTTGGCCTCAGGGAGCTGACTATCTCAAAGACAGGGGAGTCGATGCCCAGGTAACCTAACGGGCAGGAGGAAGGAGGCTCTGGAAAGGTGTTTTCTCTAATCCAAGGATGCAGCTAATGAAACATTCCATGACATTTTTCTCCTGTGTACACTATGAGTGCCCCCAGTAACAACTGCACCAGAGTTTTATCTCCCAATTACCTCTTGTATATTCTCTTGCACTGCTATCAGGCACATGACCTAAAATCAGCCACACTACCCTGTTTAAGACAGAGGGGTCAGAAGAAAGAGGCATTTGGGATTTCCATCTATGCCCACTGCCAGCTGCTATGTCCCTCAGGAATCTGTTTCCAGACCTTGTCCCACAGCAACCATAACCACTGTCTCTCTTTCCCATAAACCCAAGTCCAACCAGTTGGATCTCAAGTAGGTGGCCTTTTCTTTCTTTATCTTAAACCTTAGCTTTAATACCCTAATCATTTCCTAAACTGACTAGTTTCTCAAAGCTGGTAAATCGCCTAAAGCTGCAACTGACCTTCCTCCTCAGCTGTGGCATTCAGGTAAAATCCTGTCCTGAAATTTCACCCCACCAAGGTGAAAACGATGCTTGCTTTGAGCCTTTCAGCTTCTTCCCCTCCACCCTCACCTCTGGCTTTCCCAGATTCTGATATCACTTATCCCTGATCTGATTTCAATTCTTGCAATGGGTTGTAGGTTTAAGTGCTTTGTGCGACAAATTCAATTTTCTGCTGGGTTGAATATTCTGCCTAATGAGGCTCAGATTCACCTCTGACTTGTGAATTCAGTCTCCCTTGCATAAACACACCAGTGCACACACAAATCCAACATGTAACAATGCTCCAGATCATGGTAATGTGAGTTAAAATGATTCCTGATTTCTAATAAAAATAAAACATCTTATCTTCTCTAATGAGAAAGAGCATATCAAAAAATGAGACCTAACAGGAAACAAACAAAGGCCTGAAATATAAGTCATTTGTTTCTAATAGTACTTCTAGGAATTCAGCCTAAAACAATAACCAGAGAGATGTAAACAAATATTTATGTGAGAAGATATTCACACAATCACTTATAATAGTGAAATATTGAAAACTACAAAGTTGCAACAATAAACACTAGTTAATATGTTTAACTGCTTACCAGTGCGTCAAACACAAGGAAGTCATAGGTTTCACTGTCTGACATTTCCATCATTATGTTAAAGAGTGCATCTAGTGTATCTTGCAAAAACTGAAGATAAGAAAAACGGAGAGGTTATTTTGATGCTTTCATTCAGCCCCACACCACAGAAATCTGGGTACAACTAGTTTAAATCAAAGAGGTTTAAAATAGCATTTTTTAAAAAACTAGCACACTTGTTTAACAACGTAGATTTTATATTTACAATGAATGATTTAATTTTAAATGGTGAACCAATTAGGTATAATTAGATAGGTATATATATGTAGGTATGTGTATTTCTAACTATGAATATATAAACATACCTTAACAATCTCTCCTCCATCCACTTCCATTAACTTCTTTAGGTTGTGTTTAATGTTCTGGGAGTTGGAACGCCAATTTAACAAGCCTAACAGGTCAACTAGGAAGAACAACCACAAACATTAGATACAGGTGAGAACAACCCAGACCATTTCAGGACATAGCTAAAGAATTCTCTAGAACAGGTAATTGCTCTCAATAGTGGCTAATTCAAGATGCCTTATATATTCTTTTAATTTACTATCTCCTATCTAAGTCAGAGAAAACCTTGTGGTCCTCTTTCATTCTTCAAAGAGAAAAAAATTAACTATTAATGCATAAGAACTTAGAATATCTGACTGAAACTAACATTTCTCAAATAATGACATCATGGTCATAAGAAGTAAAGCTAAGAAGCATGCTAATGTAACCTTCCTACTTTTAATTTGCTGCCTTATTTAAATTGTCCCTTATCACTACCTATGTCTGGGTGGATTCAGAGGGAAAGAGGAACATAGGTATGTGTGTATCTCTCTCTCTCTCTCTCTCTCTCTCTCTCTCTCTCTCTCTATATATATATATATATATATGCATTAATTTATTTCAACATCATGACTGCACAGATTTTATTTTTTTCATCTTTTAGATGAGGAAACTGAGGCTTTGTGAAGTTAAATTACATGTCTTAGGAGAGGTAGAAATGGAATTTTATTACATATTTATCTGATTTGAAAAACCAACTCCTTGCTACTCTATCATACTGTTTTCCCCAGAGTTCTTTGAAGAAATAGACAAGCAAATCAGACAGGTGGCTATTTCAAACAAAAGGTGGAACAGATTCATAACCCTTAGCATAAGTCTGGGATAAAAATCTTAAGACATTTTTTGACTTACAATGGAGAATTTTGAAACTTTAAGCCACTTACAGGTTTAATAAATGTTGAGCTATTAAAAATGTCAAAGGGGCTGGGCACAGTGGCTAACACCTGTAATCCCAACACTTTAGGAAGCCAAGACAGGAGGATTACTTGAGCTCAGGAATTCAAGACCAGCCTGGGCAACATAGAGAGACCCTGTCTCTATTAAGAAATACACATATATGTGTGTGTGTGTGTGTGTGTGTGTGTGTGTGTGTGTGTGTCACAGAGAAACTGCAGTTATCTGGACTGTTACTGTATTATCACCTAGTTTAGTACATCAAGCTACTATTTCTATTCAGAGCACTATCTAGTAAATGTAGCAATACATACTTTTTTTTTCTTTGAGAGACAAGGTCGCTCTGTCACCCGGGCTGGGGTGCAGTAGTGCAATCTCATGCAGTGGTGCAATCACACAATCTCAGCTCATTGCAACCTGCAACCTCCACCTCCCAGGATCAAGCATTCCTCCCACCTCAGCCTCCAGAGTAGCTGGGACTACAGGTGCACCACCACACCTGGCTAATTTTTGTATTTTTTGTAGAGAAGGGCTTTCACCATGTTGCCCAGGCTGGTCTTGAACTCCTGAGCTTCAAAAGCAAGCCTCCTGCCTCGGCCTCCCAGAGTGCCTCCCAAATCCCTCCCAAAGGGATTACAAGTGTGAGCCACTGCGCCCGGCTGATATTTTTCAATCAATGAATTTGTAGAAATATATAAGTAGTTACACATGTATTTTTCATAAATAGTCAAAGTCCTTCTTGAGGGTGTTTATCAACACCCTCCAAAACCTAGTGCCTAGGGATTCCTCGTGTCTACAGGATAAACTTCCAATGCCACATAGAGAATGTAATAAGGCCCCACCTATATCACTCCTGCATACTTCCAACCACCACCATTCTCTTTTACCCTTTAGCAGTCAGAGAAATCCAATCACTACAGCCCAACCATGGCAGGTTCTGAAATATCTCTGTGTCTTTGTGTATATTCTTCCCTTTGCCTGAAATACCCAGAAATACTATGTATTTGGTAAGATGTACTTGGTATCTCCTTGACTCTTCCCATAGTTCTCAGCCATTTGAAGGCAGGAATCATATAGTATTCATTCTTTTATCTTGCCTTAGTACTAGCCATCTATTAGGTGTTCAATACATGTTTGATGAAGGAATAAATGAATGAACGGAAAGGGAACCAGTAGCCCTAAGGAAACTGATAATATGCTCAACCCAATCATTAATATATTCATTCATCCACTAGGCACCATCTACTTCCATATTCTCCAGCTCTTATTTCTGTCACAGGCTAGTCGAAGGTATCACTCATTCCATCACTTGACTCATAGCTGCTGGAGGAAAAGGATTTAGTCCCTTCACCAGGGGTGAATATTCACCCAGCAGCTTCAGCTCTGGCAAAGTACCCATCTATCAGCCCAGAGGTTTATTTCCTAGTGATATCTGCATGCCAGATCACTGCTCACATAGGAAAATATTTTGGCATCTGGTGAATTGTTAAGGTCTTAGGGCCAGGAGAGCAGTGACACGGGGTTACAGAAAGAGCCCCATGCTTGCTGTGTTTCTAAGATTTATACAGGTTTATCCATGTAGCTCTAGTTAATTTTTTTTCTCGCTGTATAGTGTCTATTCAATTGTATGGGTGTACACAATTTGTTTATCCACTCTGCTGCTGATAAACACGTGGGTTGTCTCTAGTTTTTTTGCTATCATAAGCAATTCCGCCATGAACATTCTCATACGTCTCCTGGTATACAGGTAGAGCAGCTTCTCTGGGATAGAAAACTAAGGTGGGATTTCTGGGGCATCAGGAAGAATATCTTCAACCATATTAAATATTATGCAAAGTCACTGTCCTCATTTTACATTCTTGTCAGAAATGTGTAAGAATTCAGGATATTTCAAATCTTCAGTAATGCTGAGTAAAAGCGCAAGTTACATGATTTCACACGTGACACAAGACTTCAATTAGACAGTTCAATTATTAACTACATTAATACTGTAGACTGTATAGTACTGTATACTGTATACTTGAAAATTGCTAAGAGAATAGATTTTGAGTGTTCTCACCACCGAAAAATAAGTAAGGTGGCATGCAAAAGTTGCCAGCTGCAGGAGATTACTGAGCACTTGAAATGTGGCTAGGGCAACTAAGGGACTGACTCATAATTTAATTTATTAACATAAAATTAAAAAATGCAAAATGAAACAATATACCTTAAGGGCTACAGATGTGGCAAAACTATAAAGAGAAGCAAGAGAATAACAATCCCCACATTTAGGGTAGTAACTGCCTTCTACCCTAAAGGAGAGAATTTAAGAACACATACTTTTAAAGAGAAAAGAAAGACAAAGCTATTCAGACTCAAAAGGTTAAAAGTCACTGGAGTTCGTAACAAACAGATCTTGGAGACTCTGTAACTGCAAAACGATAAACTATAAACTGTTTGGAGCTACAAAGAGCTGCTTTCAAAATACAAGTCCACGACTTAGGAGCTTAAGAAAGATTTTTTGCCACTTTAAAACTCAATTTTCTGATCAATAAGCTGGAGATGATCTGGCAAAGTTGGTGCTGGAGGGTGCAATGACTGACTGAGTATGAACCTCCTGGCCCAAGGCCACGCACCTCTGGGGACCTGCACATTCCTCTCTTTTTCCTGGGAAACAAATCTATTCTTACCTTCCAGTGGGCCCAGAAACCAATGATCCCACACAAATTGGTCTGTTTTAGTTTCTAAAAAACAAATCAAGTAAACAAAAGAGTCTCCAAGATCTGTTTGTTAAAACTCCAGTGGCTTTTAACCTTTTGAGTCTGAATAACTCTCCTCAGGCGAAGGAGAAATGCCTTTGTTCACCCTCTCAGTGAGAACACTGCTACCCTCTCTACTCAGTCAACACCCTCACAGAATTAGCTGATGGCTTATTAATGTTCTTCAGCTTTTTATTAAATCAAATTCATTCTTTATAATTTCCATCAAGTCAGAAGAAAGCAAATGCATGAATAATCTGCAATCATTTGTCCCTGGAATACCCCATTTTCCCTGATGCTCGTGATGCCTTTGCCAAGTCTCCGTCTTTCCCTCTCTGTACCCTGTTCCCTCTCCCTGCTCGCAGTCTGTTTGGATGGCAGCTCACTCCTCTCTGACTCAGACAAGGTTTGCCTTTTTAACCCTTCTTTGTAATAAGATATTACTTCTGACTTTTTTTGTATGTGTTATGATGAGTTTGTCTTTTTTTTTAATCAAAACATCAGGAATAAGGATGACAAAATAAAGCATACAGTGTCATCCAAAGGAACATTCTGTGATGATGAAAATGTATATCCGTCTGCCCAACACAAAACTCACCAGCTGCAGAAGACCAGAATGCTTGAAATGCGACTAGGGCAACTAGCGGACTGATTTATAATTTAATTTTATTAATAAAATTTAATTAACAAATAAAAATTGTATGTATTTGCAGTGTACAACATGATGTTCTGACACACACACACACACGGTAGAAGGGTAAATCAAGGTAATTAACACACACATTATCTCACTTATTGTTTGGTGGTGAGAACACTTAAAATCTACTCTCTTACCAATTTTCAAGTATACACTATACTATTAACTATAGACACGAGGATATATAACAGATCTCTTGAACTTATCCCTCTTGTCTAATTGAGCTTTTGTACCTTTTGTCCAACTTCTCCCCAATCTCCCCACCCTCCAATTTTAATTAATTTAAATTTTACAAGCTACATGTGTCTGGGGGCTACCATATCGGGACAGTACAGGCTAGTTAAGAACATTCAGAAGATGGGGTGAAGTAGATGTATCAGCAAACGAAGGGTCTACATTGAGAACTGCGGGTTGTCAGGAAACCCTACATTTTTGACAGGGAGATAACAAACAATGTAACAATATGGTTATCTCTAACAGAAATTCCTTTTGCTTTTCATTACTAGTTAATTTCACAAACTTTTATTCTTGTTTTCTTTATTCTTCTTTAATCTGTAGTCCAGAAAGGATAATCTACTAGATGTTCAATAAGTGTTATCCCTCTCAAATATCCCTTGATAGTTTTAAAAGAACATTAATGCTTTATATAGTATACTACCATACTTAGTTTAAAAAATAACATTTTGACATTTCATAGTTAAAAATTTGGAAAATACCAAAAAGAATAAAGAAAACAAGAATTATCAAACTTTGGGTTAGTCCTATTCATCGTTTTCTGTGTACAAATAGTGATGATGATCGTGATAGCTGACATTATAGTGTTCACTATATAGATCGAATGTGAGTTTTTACGTGTTTTAATTTACTGCATTCTTTGAAATAGATACTATTATTGCTCCCATTTGAAAGACAAGGAAACCAATTCACAGAGATATCAAGTCACTTGCCCAAGATGAAACAGCTAGTAAATGGCAGAGCTGGGATTTGAAGCCAGGCAATCTGCCTGCAGGTTGCTCACATATACTTAAATAAAACTGGGATCATACTGTATATAGTGTTAAAAAGTTCACCGTGTCCTTCACTATGTTTTGAAATACCATATTTAGCAGCTGCATATATTTCATCACTTAATTATATTATAAAACGTGGTTAAACTGACCCTGACTATCAGACATTTGGGTTGTTTCCAGTATTTCCCTGTTACAAATAATAGGGAAACAACATCCTTGTACATAAATCTTCGTGTCCATCTCTCATTGTTTACTTAAGTGCAACTTCCAGGAATCAAATCACAGGCTCAAAGGGTCTGAAGACAGTTAAACTCCTTGATATGCCTTCTAAATTATCTTCCATAAATGTTGTACCCATTAACCTACCAGCAGTTCATTGTTAATGGATTCGCTTTGTCCATAACACGGGGTATGTTGCTGACGGTTTTGTCACGTCTTTTATGTTTCTGGCTTCATTTTTGGTGAGGATGCTTTTACTTGCACATACGGATTAGCCCTAAACTTCACTCTGTGGAGTCTAGCCACTTGTCCAAGTTGAAATACAATCCTTATCTTTTTGTCAACCACGACTTGTTGAAACAAACCTAACACTGAGCCCTTCTAAAGATCAGGGATCTGATCCCTGGGTTTACCCTATAACTACACTTTTTTGTCTATCTTGGCACCCCTTAAGGCAGAGCTCTTGCCTGTACCTCACTCAAACTGTCTACAAGGCCAAAGGCAACAGTCTCTACACGGCATATGGGAGACAGAATTTCTAGCGCAAGTCCCCTAGGCAGCTCATTCTTGGTTTACTACATCCAGTAGGGTTCCTTACACATTACTTAAGTTAAATAAATAAGAAGTTGATATTGGCTAGCACATGTCATAATCTACACAAGAGAGGTTAAAATTGATATCAGAGATTTGAAGGAAAAACCAAATGAATCCCTCTTTGAACTATTCAGCTGAATTTATGGAAAATCCCTGACTGCTTGGAAAAAAATGGGAAAGAAGAGAATATAGGAGGGAAGGACAGAACTCAAACAGGAAGCCCTGCCATACCTGTTTGGACAGGAAACTGATTATATTTCTTTGCCAAGCTCCTCCTCTTACTACCAACATCTCTTCCTGCACATACTACACAGAATGCACTATCAGGGAACATACGGCTTTTGAATTTTACAGTTGCTGTTAATAAATGCATTTATAGGTTTTAAGATATTAAATACTAAAATGTTTTTCATCCTGCTCTAAAGTGGACGATGAAACTTCAGAAGAGGCTGTGCAATGTGATCAGCACTACCCAGAATACCACTTGAAAAGCAGAGAGCAGAATCCAATTGGCCAACATCCTACCTAATAAGACCCAGCCCCATATAGTCCAGCCCTGTGAGCCTAACCAAGGAGCCCAGAAAGGCTGAGCAAGAAGCTTATTTGTGTCAGTGTATTCACCACTCCTACCATTCTGGGTGAGCTTTGTGGAGCAGATGAGGGTGGCAATCTGAAAGCTGTCTTTAGTGCTATCCTTGCTTGGGGTGAAGGTGACCAGGTTTTTGGATGCTTGAAGCTCTTTTTCTTCCATCTCCATCTTGGTTCCAGGCAGGGTCAGGTAGAATTTAGCATCTTCCATTTTTTTGTTGTCACCCTAAAAGGAAGCATGTTAGGAACACCAAATGATGGCCAAAATCTCTTATATGCAAATAAAAACAATTTCTATCATGCATTTTCAGCATGAGAAGCGTGGACTTATCAATTTATCCTGAAGATCCCTTCCACCTCTGAGATACTCTGATATCTTTCTGTAAACATTGAGCCCAGAAATAATTTCATGATTGAATGGAAACAGAATAAGTTGTGAACTAGAAACCAGAATATCCTAGTCTCTGTTAGAGTAAATACACATATTTCAGAATAAGGTTAAATTTCATTTTCTTCAGTCTCTAAATGGGGACAATTCCAACAATGATAGACTGGATTAAGAAAATATGGCACATATACACCATGGAATACTATGCAGCCATAAAAAAGGATGAGTTCATGTCCTTTGTAGGGACATGGATGAAGCTGGAAACCATCATTCTCAGCAAACTATCACAAGGACAAAAAACCAAACACCGCATGTTCTCACTCATAGGTGGGAATTGAACAATGAGAACACATGGACACAGGAAGGGGAACATCACACACCAGGGCCTGTTGTGGCGGGGGCGGGGAGGGGGGAGGGATAGCATTAGGAGATATACCTAATGTTAAATGGCAAGTTAATGGGTGCAGCACACCAACATGGCACATGTATACATCTGTAACAAACCTGCACGTTGTGCACATGTACCCTAAAACTTGAAGTGTAATTAAAAAATGGGGACAATTATACTTTATTGGGTTGATGGAAGAAGAATTAGCTTGCCATCCCTTCCAAAATGATTCATAAACTAAGATGTTAAGAAAAATATTCCTCAGGTAGATGCATCTCAAAAGAGCAGCCAACTGTGGGGAAATCCCCAGATATTGTTGGCTAAATGAGATCTTCCAGCATCTACTTTATACTCTAAAATCTCAGTAGAAGTGGGAGCTCAGCATCAGTTGGAAGGCAAGAACAAAGACAAAACTTTCAGGGAAGGAAATAAGGCCCCCAGAGCACAGAAATAGTATGTGGCTCATGGTGATGGGAAAACCATATCCACCACACACTACTGAAGCCCAACAGTGCACCTGTCCATGTGCCATGCAGGATGATGAAAAGAGCAGATCATGAGAGGCCGACCCCTTACCATTCACTGCTAGGGAACACCATTCACAGGACCTCTCCCGTGAGAGGTCTAAGGAGGTGAGAGCCTCCTTAGAAGACTCAGTAATAATGCAACTCACTCTCTCCAGAAAGCAGGTGGGAAACCACAAAGCTGGAGGGCCCAGAGCCCTCTGGGTTTCTAGATGTTAATGGGCAAGTACAGAAAGCTCTAGAAAGGTTTCTGATGTTTGTACAAATAAATATGAAAGGAGTCTTAAATGCTCATTTGAAAGGGAGTATTTTTCTCAGCCATTTTCTGTTAGCACCACCTTATAAACCACCAGATCGTGCCTCCCATCCTGCAGAGTGGTGCCATCCGGGTTCATCAGCTTCACGAAGGCCACCCCAAATGCTCGCTCCGATTTATCTCTGGCTGAAAAGGCAGAAAGACATGTCTGAGCAGTGCAGAGAGACACCAGGAGGCGATGGCTATGACACGATTTCACATTTTGCTCGGGGGTGCAGCGTTCAACCATATTCTAATAAGCACAACTGAGCAAACTGCAATAAGCCACGTACCATGTGCCACTGAAACTGCCTGGCACCCCCAAGTATGCTCTCCTCTTCCTACATCCCCTAATAAATGAGACTAGCATCTGCCCAGTCATCCAAATCAGAAATGTGGGTGTTGACACCAACTCCACCCCACGTCAACTCCATGTCCTAAACAGCTCTGGAGCCTGTCTCTTCTCTCTCCATCTTGCTGTCCTTCCTGACTTCAGGCCACACTCACCTCTTCTCTTTATTTCTACAAGACCTTCCCAGCGCATCTCTCTGTCTCTAGGCTCTCCCACCAAACACATTCTCTATGTTGGAATGAGGTTTCCAAAGTCCAATCCAATCATGTCAACCACGCTGCTTCAAAACACTTGAATGAGAGATCTCAATTTATGTTGCTCTAAAACAGGCTCTGCAAGATATTTATTCTACTCTAGGGTTTATGGTGCTGCCCAAAGTTTCTTTACCCTTCCTCCCCAGAATACCAGCTCCAGTGCCAGGAAAGAAGATCTGCATGCCCTGTGGCAGCTGGGAGGAGGGTGCAGCTTCATGAGGAGGCAGAGCTCCTCTCTCTTGGTCTTCGGGGCCAGTCTCTGAACTCACCGGGTCCCCTGCTTCAGTGGCTCTGAGTAGGGTAACCTGTGGCCTGTTTTTATCATAGGCACGGCTCTGTGGTCTGCTGTGCCCCTTGGGTCCCCACAGTGGTGGAGTAGTCATCCATTGTATGATCATACCTCAATTTGTTTATCCATTCTCCTATTGATGGGGATTTAGGCTATTCTAGTGTTGGAGTACTATGGGTGAAGCTGTTATGAACATAGACCAACCCCTCCCAAAACCTCAAAACCAGAAACCACCCTTGAATTGCACCTCCTTAACATGGCTGAAAAACATCTTCAGCCTTCATGATCCGGCTCCAGCCCAGCTAGAATCAGATTGTCTGGGTGCTAACCCAGCCTGGTCATATGCTAGCCTTGTGACCACAGGCAAGTGCCTAACCTCTCCATGCCTTAGTTTCTTTGTGTATAAATGTAGATAAAAGTAGAATGTACCTTGTTATATTATTGTGGATACTAAACAGGACCATGTACAAATATAGCTTCACATAATACTTCATACAAACTTGACCTTTGTTAATTGTTAATTGACAATTGTTAGTTATTATGCAGAACCATATGAAATGGCTGATATTTGGCCATTTAGACCTAAAAAATGCCAATTTCACACGATTCAACCTGATACTATTATTGCTCCACTGGTCCTGCTTTAGCCATACTGAGTTCATTTGGTTCTCCAAACACACTTCTCCCATCACCCTTCACTGGGCTAATTTCTACTCACCTTCAAGTCTCAGCTAAGATGTAGGAGGTCATATGCATAAATCCCCCAGACTGGGTAAGGTGCTGTGCTACGCTTCCATTACAAGTCTTTGCCCCTTGTAATGTACATATCATACTATTCCGTACATAACCACCCACTTTTTCGTTCATCTTCCTAACCAGACCACAAAGACTCTGCGTGGGAGTGTCCAGCTGGCTGTCATAGACCAGGGCCTCGCCTGCAGCCTGTTGTGTAGATGGTGTTCAACACATGCATTTTTGGAAGGAGGGGTTACATTTTTATGCAGTGCGAAATGAGAATAAGACGATTCCAGAAATTTTGTGATCAATCTGAAAACAATCAATTTTCTTCTCTGCTTACACTTTAGTGTAGCCATTTCAAGAACTGTGACCTAAGACTTGAAAGAGTTTTTTCATGAGAAAAATGATAATTTGGGGAGACAAGTGAATAAAGAGTTTTCTTGCTACTGCAACATGGCAACACGCATTGTGAACGTCTAGGAGGGAGATACAATGTATATATAGCCTTTCCTATACCTATTTGATTGTGAAATACAACACTTTTTGTTATAGAGCATCTAGTAGCATCTTAGAGCAGGGGACCTCAAACCCCAAGCCATAAACCCATACCAGTCTGTGGCCTGTTAGGAACTGGGCTACACAGCAGGAGGTAAGCGGCGGAGGAGCAAGCAAAGCTTCATCTGTCTTCACAGCTGCTCCCCACTGCTCGCATTATCACCTGAGCTCCGCCTCCTGTTGGATCAGCAGCAGCGTTAGATTCTCACAGGAGCCGAACCCTATTGTGACCTGTGCATGCAAGGGATCTAGGTTGCACATTCCTTGTGGAAATCTAATGCCTGATGATCTGAACTGTCTCGTTGCAGGAAAACAAGCTCAGGGCTCCCACTGATTCTACATTATGGTGAGTTGTATAATTATTTCATTATATATTACAATGTAATAAGAATAAAGAAAACAATAAATGTAATGTGCTTGAATTACCCTGAAACCATCACCCCACCCCTGGTCCTTGGAAAAACTGGCTTTCACAAAACCAGTCTCTGGTGCCAAAGATTGAGGACTGCTGTCTTTGAGAATATTAGTGTTCACAAAACACATTTTGAGGAAATCCTAATATAGAGTGACAACACAGACCTTGCACGCCCAGCAAAATTCATTATGCTGATTTCCTTAGCACCAGTGAGTTACAAAATACAGCTGCCAAGTCTCTAGTTTCCAAATATCTTGTTCTCCAGCTTCACAAGATGGCTGTCAAGCCAGAGCAAATTTTTTTTAAGTGGAAATATGTCATAGACGTCTTAATACTTACTTTCCTGAGATGACCTGTGTCGGAAGGTAAATCTTATATGACAGCGTGTGACTTCTTCTATAGCAATGGATACCTGTGTCATAGTAAGAAATTAATAGTTTACAGACACACAGTACTTTGCAAGCATGGTTTATTTCATGGAATTAGGCTCAATTTTATACTTTCCACAGCACAAATTACTAGAGAGTGAGATTTGGTATAGGTTTCATTCAAAGGAGACTGAGCTATTTTCAAATCAAAAGAATCTCAGATCATCTTGCTGTTTATCATAGATTCTGAGCATAGGGATACTGTGAATTTCTAGCATTTTCTGAAGTAAGAAACAGTAATACTTCAGAGGGGAAATACTGGTATTTTGAGGTCCACACAGGATCTTTCAGACTGCAAGATGTGTATAAATATAGTAATAATTGGATCTATAAGACCTGATTATTCCATAAAGAGGGGGAAAGGTAATAATTAGGGCTCATAAAGCAGTTTTCTGCTGCTTACCTATCTACAGGGGAGAGAAGAAACAGAGCCTTAGGGCACTCAAACGAGCAGAGATTTGTGGTGTGCAGTCAAATCATGGCATGATTATACTTTGGAACCTTATGCAAGTATCTAAAATACATATCTGAAGAATTTATATGCATTGAGATAAGTAGTTTTAAAAAGCACAATATAAATTTGTATCAACAGCATCATTCAAAACATATGAACTATAGAAAACTGTTGAAAATGGTTAATTCTAAATTGAGATATATGAATGCAATTAAAAAATTTTTTTTTCTATGAAGAACTCGTGTGACTTCGACAACCAGAAAGAGCTGATGGAGCCCGGGATTCAGAAGAAGTGGACTCTAGTTTGGGCCCTGATACCAGTCAGCTCTAGGATCCTGGGAAGTCACTGAACTTTGAACTTCAGTACCTAATATGAAAGATGGCGTTACAACACCTGCTTGTTCTAGTTGCAGAGCCCTTGTGGGGCTCAAAGGAGATGACTGATCTGAAAAGCACTTTGGAATGTGTAATACACATATTGAAGTTGAAAAGAGGCCCAGAACACTTGGTGAGAGGCCAAAAATAAAAAAATGTTAGGAAACTGTTTGCACAGTGTGAAAATTTCTGTTTGGTTTTGTACCATCTTGGCAGTCTATTATATCCATCACGTCAACCACAAGCTTTGCTATTCAAATTCTCATACATCACTGAGTTTCTTAATGATAAATGCTCTTAATACAGAATTATAATTACTGATTCATTTCTTACTGCACACCATAGGCAACTTATCTAAAAATTTCAAAATAAAGTAGGAATAATTTGGGGGTAAACAGAAGATAGGAATCTAACTGAGGTTTAACAGATAACAGGGGTTACAAATGACTCATTCTCACCTTGACAGTCTCATACCAACAGGGCTGCTTGACTTGGTAATAGACTACTGATTTGTATTCTGAAATGCCTTCATATCCAGCACCAGGGTGAATTGCTTTCTTCAGATGGAAGGAAAAAATTAGAAGGGAATAATTTTGTTTAGAAAAGTAAGAGGACCCCATATACCATGCACAAGCCCCTCACCCCCAAACACGTCCACACATGCCCTACACTGGCACTGATCGGCTGATTAAGTTTGGGGGATGAAGAACAGAGAAGACTGAATTTCCACCACTTTATTCAAGGGTCTATAATATCAATTTGGTAGCAGCTAAGGAACCCAGCACCGCCTAAATATTCTTCTTTCCTGTAACTTGTATTTTCTCTTCCCTCCCCAGGCATGCATTCTCCTCTGATTCTTTCCTCTTCTCTCTCAGGGAACATGACGATGACGAGAAGTTAGGTGACAACTGCAGACGCGCCGCTATTTGCAGAAAAGCATTTCTCTTTTCCTGTCTACATTCTGTTTTAGGGACTTAGGGTATTGGCACAGCATATTCACTCAACTCAGGGCTGCATCTTTTCCTGGTCATGAACCACTGAGCTTAGTAGAACCAGGCCTTGGTGGGGCACTATCAAACGAAATGACCAACCAGGAGAAGGTGTCTACGTGAAATGAGCTCATGTGCTCTTATCAACAGCACAAATAAAGCACTTTCATACAGTGGCTCATAGCATTCAGTTTCTCCCTCTCATGCAGAATACGACTTGCCTTAGTAAACTGCCTAGCTATCTGCTTCCTTAATAGATTATAACATCCATGGCAAGTGATGAAATTGTATTTCATTGTAGCCTCAAACAACTATGCAACAGGACACTCAGTGAGTCAAGTCAATCAAGAGCTTGGTCCTTGGTTACCAAAGCAGTTAACTACGGCTCATACGAGAAGAGGTGGAGTTCAGCAGAGGCCATGCAGCCTCCTGTGACCACCTCCTGCCTATCCTCTTTGATGTCAGAATTGGGACTCACTTCTTTATGTGGGCAGAAAGCTGGCAGATACCTGCATTAGATCTTGTCTTAATTAAAAAAAAAAAAAAAAAAAAAGAAGGAAAGAAAATGGAAAAGAAAGGAAAATAGAAGAAGGGAAGTGGAGGGGGAAGGGGAGGAGAAGGGAGGGGAGGGGAAGTGGGGGAGGAGAGGAAAAGTGGGGGAGGGGAGTGGAGAGGAGAGAAGGGAAGGGAGCGGAAAGACAGAGAAAAAAAAAGAAAAGAAAAGAAAGAAGAAAGTAAAGTAAAGCAAAGCAAAGCAGGCAGCACATGGTGGCTCATGCCTGTAATCCCAGCACTTTGGGAGGCTGAGGCAGGCAGATCATGAGGTCAGGAGTTCGAGACCAGCCTGGCTAACATAGTGAAACCCCGTCTCTACTAAAAATATAAAAAAAATCAGTCGAGCATGGTGGCGAGCACCTGTAATCTCAGCTCTCCAGAGGCTGAGGCAGGAGAATTGCTTGAACCTGGGAGGCAGAGGTTGCAGCAGGCAGAGATTGTGCCACTGCACTTCATCCTGGGTGACAGTGCAAGACTCCATCAAACAACAACAACAACAGCAACAAAAGAAAGAAAAGAAAAGAAAAGAAAAAGCTGCCAGAGTTGGAGGAACACTGGACTGGAATTCAGGATACTTAGATACCCTCCCAGCTCTGCCACTAACTCCTGTGTTTCCCAGAGACAATAACTCATCCTTTTAAAGTTTCTTACAGTTTCCTGTTCATTAAAACTAAAGAGTAGGCTGGGCACAGTGGCTCACGCCTGTAATCCCAGCACTCTGGGAGGCCAAGGTAGGTGGATCACAAGGTCAGGAGATCGAGACCATCCTGGCTAACATGGTGAAACCCCGTCTCTAATAAAAATACAAAAAAATTAGCCGGGCGTGGTGGTGGGCGCTTGTAGTCCCAGCTACTTGGGAGGCTAAGGCTGGAGAATGGGGTGCACCCGGGAGGCGGAGCTTGCAGTGAGTGGAGATCGTGCCACTGCACTCCAGCCTGGGCGACAGAGCAAGACTCCGTCTCAAAAAAACAAACAAACAAACAAACTAAAGAGCAGTGGTAGCGGATGCCTACCCCAGGGCTCTTCCAGTTTCAGTCTCTGATGAGCACATCTCCTTTGGTTCTGCTCACCCAGGGAAGGAAACATGCTTTCTGATGCTATTCGAGCACCCAGGCCACTTAGCTCAAGCCTAAGAGGAACTGATCAAGCTTGAAAGTGGCTAACTAAGTTGAAAACGATAAATAACATCTGCATTGGAAGCTTACACATAAAATCATTAGTGGCTGGAGCTATTTCTTAGCACAGGAGAAATATAAAAATAAGAGTCTAGAAGAGTCTAGATAGCTTCCTTAGTGAAACTGCTCACTGCTAATCACAAATTTAACAGGCTTTATATTTCTTTTCTCAGGAAAAATCAAACCCATCCTGATGCAAAGAAGAATTAAAATACGGCCAAGATTCTATCGTGATTGTAAAGACGGATGCGATGGTAGCAGGATTTCTGGGCCATGCCGCGCACCTCCAAGAGCTTGCCCTCCTCATCGTGCACAGACATCGTCACCTCCACATTCTTTGGCGTCTTCTTCTTCCCTTTGTCAAACTCACCGTGGATCAGGGTGACATAAATGTCATTCCGAACATCTCCTGCAACATGATAAGCATGCTGTGAGTGTTGCTGAGAGAAGTCATTCTAAGTTTCAGAATGTCATACGACATAAAAGGTAAAGACAACACGAAATGGTCTGGTTTTATACTGAACTACTCATCCGACAAAAGGCTTTCATATGCGTTTGCTGTCTTCAGCTTATCACATTTTACCTTTCCATGCATACCAAGATGTCTTTGCACTGTAGTTTTACAGAAAATTAAGTAGTAATTCTTTCTCTATTAAAAATTTCTATCTAATAATAAATACATAGTATATATTGTTAGGTTACAGTGGCAGACGGTTTTTCAATAGTGCCTTGGAGAGTGTGATATTTTGAATACATCTGATAATAATGAAGGCAATTGTCTATTGAGTGCTTATTATATGCTGTGCCAGGCAATGGTCAAAATGTCTTATATGTATTAATGTAATCGATTATAGACTAACTTGTTAATCTACAGAACAACCTGATGAGGTAGACACTCTTTCTGAAAGCCTATAGAGTATGTTTTTCTTTTTTTTGATACATGATCTTGCTCTGTTGCCCAGGCTGGAGTGCAGTGGTGCAATCTCGGCTCACTGCAACATTGGCCTCTTGGGCTCAAGTGATTCTCTCACCTCAGCCTCCCAAGTAGCTGGAATTACAAGCACACATCACCACACCTGGCTAATGTTTTGTATTTTTTGTAGAGAAGGGGTCTCACTACATTGCCCAGACTGGTCTCAAACTCCTGGACTCAAGCAATCTGCCCACCTCAGCCTCCCAAAGTGCTGGGATCACAGGTGTGAGCCACCATGCCCAGCCTAGAGTACTTTTTATTTCTTTAAATCAGTTTACTTGATTTTATCAATGAAAGAATGCTTTCTGCTGCTCTTTTTCTTTTTTGTTACCCAGCAAAAAAAATTTTAATTAATAAATGTGTGGCCCACATATTGAAGAAAAATATTAAATGTTATTGAGGTACATAAAAGAAACTTGGAATAAATGTGAAGTATATTAAACTCCTAGATGAAAAAAGTATTGAAAAAATGATTCCAACACCTGCACTATATTAAACTGCCACCCAATGTAAAAAACAAAACCTTTTAACACTATAAGAAAACAGGAGTGCATATTTAGAGCACTGATCGTTTTCATCATTTCCTCAACTGGAAAAAAATAAGATACTGCTTATCACTTGCTGAGGATGAAGAAAAAGGGGCTTATTCACACAGCACAGTTTGAAATCTTACTTGACACACTCTTTGTCAATGGAGAAACTGAAAATGTGTCAAAAGTCTTAATACAGCAATCCCACTGGTAATATTTGTCTCAAAGTATTAAAAATGTGGGCAATAATTTATCTGTAAGGATATTCATTGCGGTGTTTATAAAAGTGGAAACATGGAAACAGTCTCGATTTCCAAGCACAGGGAATTAGTTGAATAAATTATGGTATAATCACGTAATGGAGGTAACATTCATTTTAAAAAGTGCTTGAGCTCCTACTCTGCAGCAGGCGTGTGCTGGGTGTCTGGGTGGCTATGGTGAGCCACTCACCAGCCTTGCCCCAACTCAGGTTACAGTCTAGTGCCAGAGAGAAGCACCAGTCAAATAATCTGCACAAGTAAACCCACCATTAGCAATGGAGGAATGTGCCAGGCTCTGTGAATGCACAATACCAGGTCCTGACCTCGTCTGCAGGGTATGGGAATCTTTCCTTTCAGCTGTTAGCACAGTCAGGGAGAGTGGCCTGTGCAAAGGCCCAGAGGTAGGAGACAACCTGACTGACATCCTCACAGTGAGGGGGTGTCTGGTGTGAGATGAGGCTGCAGAGACAGATATAAGTCAGATCCCCCTGAGGCCGGTGGGCAAATTAAGAATTTTAATATTTACCCTCAACATAAATGAAAGTCAGTAAGATGTTTTCAGCGAGGGAGGAGCGGGATGAGATCAGGTGTGCTTACAGAATAGAACATTCAGGATGCAGTAAGGAGAAGAGAAAATGAGCAAAGAAAGAACAGAAACATGAAAACCAGGTAGGAAGCTACGGCAGTTGTCCAGGGAAGAGGTCATCGTAGCTCCAATTTGGGTAGTGACAATGCAGATGGAGAGAAGGGAGAGAGAGACTTGAGAGTCCTTTCAAAGGTAATGCTGACAGGTCTTATCTACTAATTTATGTGAGTTATAAAGGAAAAGGAGATATCAAGGGTGACTTTCTGGCTTCTTGCTTGTGCAGTGGATGGATAGGTGGGTGGATGGATGGGTGGGTGGGTGGAGGGAGGGATGGATGGGTGGATAGAGGTTGGGTACGTGGATGGATGGATGGATGGATGGATAGATACATGGATGGATAGAGGTTGGATAGGTGGAC